>NC_000002.12:239231995-239559943 GCF_000001405.40 Homo sapiens
CGCCCCTGTCCTCAATCGAGGCTGCTGAGCACCTGCTCCCGGATGCCTGAGGTAGGCGTCCTCCCCGAAGCACCCCTCTCCTCAATCGAGGCTGCTGAGCGCCTGCAAGGCCTGGCTGGAAGCCAGCTCGACCTCCAGCCTTGGAACCCAACACCCACCACTTTAGTGATTTTTTTCTACAATAAACATACATTGCTTTTATAATCAGGAAGGGGAGGAGTTTTAGCTACAATGAATCTGAAACAAATGACTGAGTAGTAATAGTTTTTAAGTTCCCCGTAATTCAGCCCTTGGGCATAGTTGGGTTTATAATCCTGTATGACATTTTGCTGGTCTCTCCTGGCTGACTAATTCCATACCTTCTCCTCTGTCCTCAAACTGCAACATCTCCCCAGCCTAACTCAGTCAATGGCTCTGTTTGCTCACTCCATGGGAAAACACAAGGCTCTGGCAGAGAACCGGGGGTCACGAGCTCCCGCCCCCACCCCACCCTGCCACCATGTCTCCGCCTGGGATCTGCCTCGGTGTCAAGTCTCCTCCAAGGGTGGCCCTTCCCCTCACCAAGCCAAGGGTGGCCCTTCCCTCACCAAGCCAAGGGTGGCCCTTCCCCTCACCAAGCCAAGGGTGGCCCTTCCCCTCACCAAGCCAAGGGTGGCCCTTCCCCTCACCAAGCCAAGGGTGGCCCTTCCCCTCACCAAGCCAAGGGTGGCCCTTCCCTCACCAAGCCAAGGGTGGCCCTTCCCCTCACCAAGCCAAGGTGGCCCTTCCCTCTCCAAGCCAAGGGCGGCCCTTCCCCTCACCAAGCCAAGGGTGGCCCTTCCCTCACCAAGCCAAGGGTGGCCCTTCCCTCACCAAGCCAAGGGTGGCCCTTCCCCTCACCAAGCCAAGGGTGGCCCTTCCCTCACCAAGCCAAGGGTGGCCCTTCCCCTCAGCAAGCCAAGGGTGGCCCTTCCCTCACCAAGCCAAGGGTGGCCCTTCCCCTCAGCAAGCAGACAACAACTCCCAGGAAGGGGGAAGAGCAAAGCCACGTCCACAACTGTGACATTCCACTTATTCAAAACGCAAAGAAATAGGAGGCAAAGATGGAATAATACTAACAACATGTCTGTTATATCTTAGTGGTAGGCAAATGGTTATGTGTTTTCTTTTATGATAGAGCTACTTTACAATTAAAATTTTTAAAACATTTTAAAAAAGAAAGAGAACAAAGTCTACAGATAAAAAGTTATGAGGGAAGTTGAAGAAATCAAAGTTGATCTAAGACAAATGGCATTTTGGCTTTTTCCTCCTCCAGTACAGCTGACAATATCCCAAACCCAAAAACCAAAATCCAAAATGCCTCCAAATCCAAAACTTTTTCACGGTGACACTCAAAGGCAATGCTCATTGGGGCATTTCTGATTTTGAATTTTTACACTTAGGATGCTCAACCAGTAAGAATAATGCAAATATTCCAAAATCCGAAAAAAAAAAAAACAAACCCAAAATCCAAAACACTTCTGCTTCCAAGCATTACAGATAAGAGATACTCAACCTGTATAGACTTTCCCAAAGCACATGATATGCTCACCTGACGTTTCTAAAATCTCAAGATGGCACACGAATACATGGTATGAATAATGCTTTTCTGTTGGAAGTGGGAATTTATTAGGACTAAGTGTATTGAAAAAGAACCATAATCAGAAAAAGACCTGTGTTGAACATAACGGCATTCACACGAGGGAATGGTCAGGAAACAGGACAGATCAACAGTGGGGAGGGCTGCCCGGGCGCCCTTCCTGCTCCAAGTACACACTCATCTGTTCAAAGGGAGCGAGCTCTCACAGTGACTGCTGGAGTCATTCCTGACAATTGAGTGTGTGTGTGTATCAGTCTGTTTCCACACCTTCAAACATCAAAATGTCTAAAGAATAGTTAAGATTAAATTCAATCATTAGGAAATGTATAACAGCAATTGAGGACTGACATAACATATACCTAAAAATGTTTATACTCCCATACCATAAAAATGTGGCTTTAAAGACATTTTCCTATCAATTTTCCAGTTATCACCTAACCTGAGATTAATATTTCTTTGCAGTATTTTTCAGTGGGTTGAAATGACCAAAATGCAGTTTGAAAGAACACGCTTCACATTAGAGGCTTCTAAGGCACAGGCCACTGTGCAGGCTCAATGATGGATGTCATACAGGACTGCTGCACATGCATGCATGCTTTCTCTGCCCACTGTTCCTGGGCATCGCTGCTACGTTATTTAAAATTACCCTGCAAACACTCCCACCACGCCCACCAACCCATGCCTGAATATGCAATAAATGCCAGGAGACACGGCACTCTCTCTGACTCAGACCAATGGGAACCTGATGACAAGGGAGGTAAATGGCCAGCGTCATGGGGCAGCCTTCCCAACATGCCACTTCTCAAGTCCGGCGGCTCACCCCAAAGGAAGAGAATGAGGGTGACAGGCTGCAGGAGAGGTCCAGGCCTTGAACGGGGATATAAAGGCTACATCACACACATTCCTCAGTACTAGTCAACGGGACACTGAGATGACATTTATTGAGGAACTACTAAAAAGCTGACACATATCTTTCATCTTTATGAGAACTCTGTAGAGAGGCATTATCATCCCCGGCTAAGAAATGAGAAAACAAAACTGAGCTATTCAGCAACTCGCCTAAGCTCCCACGCAAACAGGCAGCAGAGGCGGGCCCCAGGTGCCCTCTGTGGGAGGCTGAAGCCCCGGCCTGTCCTCACACCAGGCAGGGATCCCATGGCAGGTCTCGACAGGCAGGGTGCGCTTCCCAAGCCAGAATATTAATTTGAAGCCCACCTTTTTTGGTTCACTTGGAAACTATGCATATTTACCATCTTTTCCCAGCCCATCAAGCTATCAGAAAATCCTCTTACCCTCGTGCCACGCCTGGTTAAGCACAAGCAAGTTGTCTCAAAAATGCCCCAGCCACAGAATTCAGTGTTTACACGAAAACAACACCGGCAAAGTGAACTTGAGAGAAAGTGAAAACCAAAACTGTCGACATAAGCCAAAATTTTAAAATTGTGCATCTTCATCTGGTACTTAAAGCTCCCCACCGCTCCCCCAGGCTCCAGTGTGCTGGGGTAAAAAATAAACTGCTTGATCAGTAATAATGCAGAGTAAAATCAAGGTGTAAAAAACAGACAGAAAGGAGCCCCCCGAACACCCCCCAAGAGGCCAGGGGACCGTACCCCACAGACACAGAGAGCCTTCCCGGAGCAGGGCAAAGACACCTCCAGAACTCCGGGTTTGGAAAATGACAGAAAACCTGGCCGACTTGGAAGAATCACAAGGCAAAGAAGGAAATCTCTTCTTGGAAACGTTCAGCCTGGCTTCAAGCTGGCTTCAACTTCCTTTCGGGGTGATGAGTGGGTCTAACTGGGGCACCGGAGGGCACAGGCGGCAGCAAAGGCTGACTGTCAAGGAAGGTGCAGCAGAGCCAAAACCAGAGACCCAGGCCTCGGGACGCAGTCCCTGCAAGGCCCAGCCACACTGCCCTGCAGGACGCATGTGGAACGGAACACTGGTTCCCTCAGCCCCACGCCATCAGGAGGTTCAGGTTTTATTCTCGGAGAGGCTGCATGGCTGGGAAGAATGGTACCCTCACAAGGAGTTTAAACCCTGGAGGATTCTATGTGGAAACGGGTTTTACAGACAAAGAAAAGGGGGAAAAAGTCTGTTTCCATGGCCTATAGACTTGGAGTACCTTAAAATGTTACCTATGGGGCTGGGCGCGGTGGCTCACGCCTGTAATTCCAGCACTTTGGGAGGCCGAGGCAGGCAGATTACTTGAGCTCAGGAGTTCAAGACCAGCCTGGCCAACATGGTAAAACCCCGTCTCTACTAAAAATGCAAAATTAGCCAGGTGTGGTGGCACACACCTGTAATCCCAGCTACTTGGGGAGACTGAGGCAGGAGAATCGCTTGAACCCGGGAGGTGGAGGTTGCAGTGAGCCAAGATTACGCCACTCCACTCCAGCCTGGGCGACAGAGTGAGATTCCGTCTCCAAATAGACAAATGCATAAATAACTAAAAATTACCTATGGAATGAAATATTTCTGATCACCACCGATACTTTTTTTTGTTAAAGAGCTGAAAGGTACTTGGAAGACAGATGATGCCACTGACTCATTTAACCAACAAAAGCTGGTGGCAATGGAAAAGGCGCGGTCTGTCCACGGTCACGTGGCCAGTGGGACCCAGCCCCGCCCACTGCAAGCTCAGAGGTCTTTCCTACAGGCCCTCACGGGGATCAGGGCCAGGGGTTACACCTAAGCCAGGCAGTTGGTGCCTTTGGGAAGAACACATCCTTTAGCACCAGAGAGAAAAAAAACAACAAAAAATCAGCATTTCTCTACCATTTACATGGCACGGAGCCATTTCATTTCCAAAAAGGATGGCCTCTTTTACCACCAGGAAGAGCACCCAAATTCAGTGAACCTGATACCCCACACCTCCCCCCTCGCCCTCTCTGCACTCCTCCAATAAGGCAGAGCGTCTGAACACCTCTTTGGCTCAGCGCAGGGCCGGCCGGACAGGGCAGGGGTGGGCGGACTTACCCGTGCTGGGCATGTGGTTCACGCGGGCAGGATTCAGCAGCTCCACTGGCTGGTCTCGGCCAGAAAGTCCATCTGGAGAACAGAGAAGGCACTGGCTTCAGAAACTGCGCGCATTTCAGCCAACATACTTTATGCTGGGAGTCTGCAGGGAGTAACTCCCCAAACAATGAAATGCATGTGTCCTTCCTACTTTTACAGGGGGACACTTTCAGCTTCATCATAGATTATTTGTATTTGCCAATGTAGAATAATCAAAATAGCCTCCTACTGAGATATGGCAAACGCCCGTTTCTGGCCTAAGAGCCACTGGCTTAGCAATTTGGGTTTACTTCTGTTCAGCAACCACATTATACCCACTCGTGCTGATCAGAAGTCGGCTCTTCTGCAGACCACAAGCATTAAGATAACAAAAAGAGAAGAGCAGCTCTTCCTCTTCTCAGATAGTGACAAACGGTCTGGACGCTCACAGAAACACAGCACAGGGAGCCCTCGGAACCCGCCAGGTGTGCAGACAGGGAAGGAGGCAAGCTGAGGCCACTCTAGCTGCAAATAGGCATGGAGGAGAACGCTTCACCAGGTGTTCTCAAGGTATAGAGTCCTTTCTTTTAAATCCATTTTTAGACTGTATTATGGAGCGGTTTCCATCTATTCAGACTCACTGCAAAGATGAGACTGGAACCCACCCACCACCTAAACCTGGCACAGGCTGGATTTAGACCGCCTGGGATTTTTCTATATTCTCCCAAGCAGAAAGGAAAGAAAACTCTGGCAAGATTTCCAGGAATCACACTTTTCTTTTAAAATTAGCTTCTGACAAGTGGTGTAAAATGCCCTGCAATAATATGCATATCATTACAGACTTGCACGCGGAGGTCATTTTCCTTACTAAGCGAAGGAGAGCACCAGTTTCGCAGGGCAGCCATGGAACTCTGTAGATACAAGTTTTAAAACAGGACAAAAACGACTAACATCAGGTCAAATGACTGCAAAAAAAAAAAAACCCATTTTTTTATCCAAAATAGATAATTCCTAGCATTGCCAACCCGTGCATGTCCTTGGAGATGTTCAATATTCAAGAACGGAAACAAGGGTCCCAGGAGATTGGAGGGCATGCTCTTGAAGTTAGAACTGGGAAAGTGTGAGGCCAACATGGACCTGCAGGAGCTCAGCAGGTGAGGCTGCTCTTGGGCAATGCAGAGATCAAACGTGGGTGCCAGAAATAAAAATCAAAATGAAGACAACAACAAAAAACCACGGGGACCTCTCCAACCAACCAGCAGCTCCTCCCAAGTCTCGGCAACTCTTAAGGTTTGAAAACAGAAGTAAAGACAGTAAGACACTGGGCATATTCGGAGGCAAAACAGTTCTGCTTCCCTGGGTCAGGAGAAAGACCGGCAGGTCATAGTTACACCTTAGAAGCAACCACCAGACCTGAGCAATCGCCCCAAGTCTTCACACATTCCAGGGCTTTCTCAAAGAACATGGCCACCTTAGGAGATGGCCTGGATGCTGAATTGTAAACATGATGCCATGTCTCAAGAGAACCTTCACTGCAACTCAGAAAGAGACCCCAGATAGTGGTGGAAAGTACTTTTCAAGCCTTTTTTTCCCCTAAAAATAAATATATTTGTATTCATTTTTATAATAAATAAAAATAAATAAATGCTCATTGTAGACAAAAAATAAAAAATTCGAAAAGGTGCCTGTATGTATGTATGTTTATATGTGTGTGTGTATTTAACCCAAATCCCACTATAAATACTTTCAGAAACAGCAGAAGGCCCTTTTGAAGATCTCAATGTAGCTGCAGTTTTCCAATGGGAAGGGGTCAAGAGGAGGGGGCTTGGGGGGACCACCCTGGTCAGGGTTCTGCAACAGTTCCTACGAGCCAATGCCTGTCCCCCAGAACTGCCTCCCCTGTAGTCAGCTCAACGCCCAACCTTAGCTTCCACCTCAGCAAAAGCCCTAGAACCAGAAAGTTTGGAAACCAAGAAGCCCCCAGTGGTGAGCAGCAGCGGTGGGGCCAGAGTCCCAGCTCACATGAAGCCCTTTCTTGAGTTTGGAAGTGAACTGCTTATGCCTGAGCCCAAAAGGCGGATCCCTCCAGCACCGAGTTCATACATGAGGCCTAATTACAAGTTACTTTTACTACACTGAAGCAGGAAGACACATCAGATCTCAGTGCAACCGATTTGACTTGTAAGTCACGATACGTGGTGTTCCTGTATCCACAAGCATCACTCGTGTGTTTCAGATCAAGGTGCAGCTTAGTGGGTCTTGGCTCACCTACATTTCTGGGCACTGGGCTGGTCCGCGTCCCACCTACCCTTCAAGAAGACATTTATTGCATGCTTGCACTAGCTGGCACACCAAGGAGAATGCCGTTCGATAACAGCATGTGGATTCCCTGCGTAAACCAGACCTTGACCTTAACATGTCCAATCCTGTATACTGGCGGGTGGGGTGGTTTCTGACACCAGCCAACTGGCACCAACTGGGCGTCCAATGATCCAGTTCCACTCTGACAATAACTGCCCAGAGCTAGCACACACGCCACAGGGGCTCAGGTCCACAAGGCTGCCCCCATTTCAGACACAAGTCCTGGGCCTCCTGGACTTCTAAAGATCGGCTATAAATCAGGAGTTCCCACAAGCCCCTCTCAGGTTCTGTAATTTGCTAGAAGGGCTCACAAAACTCAGAAAAACACTTTACCATGTTGATGGGTTTATTGTAAAAGATGCAAATAAACAGTAACATGAAGGCAGGGTCTGGAGGGGTCCTGAGTGCAGGAGCCTCTGTGTCAGTACCACTGGGGTCAGCAGGTGCGGCTGAACATGCTGCTCCTCTCGTCTCTGCGTCCTGGTGACTGGCCCCATCCCGAGGCTATCCAGGGGTCCTGCCCTAAGTCACTTCATTAGCATAAACTCAGAAGCACATAAGAAGCTCCTCCTTAGGAATAACGAAAGGCTCGCTGGACACTCAGGAAGCTCCTGGGATCCTAAGAGCTCCCTGCCAGGAACGAGGACAAAGACCAGATAAGGCTTATTCTTCCACCACACAGAGATGCTGCTTGTTCTCGTTGTGTGCCACTGGGCCTGGCTAGTCTCATAACAACCTGTACATTCAAACCCCCAACACTGCCATGTTCACATCTTTGTAGAATGACATGGAAATGCTCGAAGGGAAAGCTGTTCTGAGGCGGCACTGGGTTAATAGGAAGTGCCTGCCTCTCGCGGAACAGGGCAGCCATGTGGAACTATCAGAAAACAGCAGGAGTGTCTCAAGCACAGGCGGCCTTGGAGGCGGCGGCACAGACATGGGTCTCAGTGCCGGACGCTAACCCCACATGTGGAGGCCCCGTGAGCCCCAGCCAGCTGGAAGCACGGCCACAGTCTCTTTAAGACAAGATCCCGGCCTGAGCCGTCCTTGGTCGTCCACCTGGACAGCATGACAGATGCCGCATCCCTCATTATGAAAGGCTGGGGCTCAGGGCAGCAGCCATGATCGAGAAGCCAAACACTAAAGGCGTTTTGCCAGAGGTGGCTGGTGGAACACAATCCTGGGGGTAAAGCAGTGGCGGTGAGTGCACTTTGCAGGCGCAGGGGCCACCAGGCCTGGGAAAGACAGCTTTGGAACGGACCTAAACAAAGCGTGGCCAGTGGGGCAAAGAACGTCTGTCACCAGGGTGAAATAGACAAGCTGCGGTACACAGCCAGCTGGAACGCATGACGGCATCCGTGAATGTGCACAGAATAGATTCTTAACGCTGTGTTTTTTCAGATATCATATTCCAGAGTGAGTTAAAATGAAATTAGTGATGAGAGGTGGAATTTCCATATTTATCTGCCTCTGGGCTGAAATTTCTCAGGCTGAGGAGAAAGCGGTGCTAAGAACCCAGCGTTTACAAGCAGGAAAATAATGAAGATGGGAAGCAAAGTACCACTTCCTCATCACACGCCTGCTGCAAGCAGGTTCCCCCTTATCTGTCTCCGCTTGAGAATCTATTTTTGGAAACCCTGCTGGACAGGGACGATCGTACTGAGTGTCCTCAAACAGCATTTAATCAGCGCTGGGGCTGCAGACCAGATGCACACTGAGAGGGAGGCCGAGGAGCACGGGTACCTCGTGTCCTCACCAGCACATGATGTGCCCCAGTGTGCTCAATGCACCCACAGTCAACTGCAGTGACCACATCACTCTTGCCAGGAGTCCCTTTCGCGCCGACAGGACCCAGCCTGAACTGAGCATTGTTTGAGACTCGGAGTCCGCCCATGGGAGGAACAGGACTAAGACAGACAGTGCTTTTGCTTTTCAGAATCCACCTTGCATCAGACGGGTAGGTATGTCTAACCAGAAACCCGGCCTTCTGGAGCCAAAGGAACCTCACTTTCACCCGGAGGGCCCAGGCCCCCCACTTCACACTTGGGGAAATGGCCTCAAGGGCTGTGCAGTTTCCTAGGATCACGGAGTGAGCACCAGCCGGAATCCAGTTCTGTCTCAATTAAACCAGCGGCTTGTCTGAAGCTGGACCTTGAGCAAACAGGTACCCACCAAGACCAGTGCCCTCCACCAAGGGTTTCACATCACAATACCGACACACAAGAAAGGAGGTTTCTTGAGCCAATAAAGAAAGTACATGAAAGCCCCACGCACAGGCTCCTGAACTGGGAGGGGAAGGGAGTGGGGAGAAAGTGTGGTTTCCACCCTTGGGACCTGCCTGGGAACACCTAGTCCTGCCCAGGTTGGGGTGAAAGGGTGTCTCTTGAAGGTTTCATTTGTCTTTCCCAGATGACCAATGACACTGACCATCTTCTTACATGTTTATTGGCTTTTTCACTGGCTGTTTTGGATTCATGTCTTTTTGACCTGTTTTTTGCCCCCAGTTGGGTTGTCTTTTTCTTATTGATTCAGAGGAATTCTTTACAAATTCTGAACATTAATCCTCTGTCAATTAAATGCTGCAGATATCCTCTCAAAGGTCCTATTTCTCAATCTTTCAAAGCTTCTGCTTTTATGTCAGGTTCAAGAAACTCTTCTCTTCCTGGAGGCTGCAGAGATATTTTAACATATTTTTACCCTGAAACTTTGCAGTGTTCCCTTTTATATGTAAGTCTCTCATCTACTGGCACTGATGTTTGTATACGCTATGAGACAGGGGTTTGGGGTATGTTTTCCTATGATAACAGCCAAATGTCCCCTCAGTGTTATTAAGAGGTCTTATCTTTCACCATGGATGGGCAACATTAGTTCCCTTATAAGCCAAATCTCAATCCTGTTGGCCAACTTGTTTTTGGTTTTGCCAATAATCACACTGTCTTAACCACCATAACTGTACAATAACTCTTAATATTGGCAAGGCAAAAAACCCTACTTTTTTCTTCCAGATCATCTTGGGCAAAATTGGCCTTTTACTCCGCCACATAAATTTTAAAATTAACTTGACAAGTTCCACCAAAAGAAAAGAAAAGAGAAAAAGAAAGAAAGAGAAGGAAGGAAGGAAGGAAGGAAGGAGAAAAAAAGAAAGAAAGAAAGAAGGAGAAAGAGAAAGAAAGAAAGAAAGAGAAAGAAAGAAAAGAGAAAGAAAGAGAGAGAGAGAAAGAGGGAGAGAAAGAGAGAGGACGAGAGAGGAAGGAGGGGAAGGGAGGGAGGGAGGGAGGGAGGGAGGGAAACGAACAGTGCCTGGGATTGCACTGCATCTGTCATTTTGAGAGAAGATAATCTTTACAGTACTGCATCTTTCAATCCATGAACATGGGCTATTACCTCCTTTCATTTCTCTCAGAAATGTTTCAGAATTTTCAGTGTTGCGGTCTTGAACATCTTTAGATTTATTACTAGGTATTTGATATTTGATTTCCATTATCAATTTCTGTTTGCTTGCATATGGAAACACAATTAATTTTTACTTATTGGTTCTGTATCGTAGAATATTAATTTCAATCATTTTTCTGTAGTTATCGTGTATTTTCTACATATAGAATCAGGTCACGTACAAATAATGACAGTTGTTTCCACCTTCCAGACCTCACACCTTTTCTTCTTCTTTATTCTGCTGGCTCAGTCCTACAGTACAGTAACTAAAGAGAAATGGTGATAAAAGACACTTTGGTCTTGTTTCTGATCTTACGAAGGATATTTCAATGTTTTACTGGAAAGTGTATTGCTTGCTGCAGGTGTCCAACAGGTAACTATCAGATTAAGGAAGTTCCCATCTACTCCTAGTTTGCCAAGACATATTTTTAAATCACATGTTTGCTTAACTGTATTAAACTTTTCTGCATCAATTCAGCTTATTAAATAATTTCCCCTTCCATCTGATAACGTAGTAAACTTTTTTTTCTCATGTCAAACTAACTTTGCATTCCTGTGACAAACCAGCGTGGTCAGGCCCAGGGGGTTTTTGGGAACAGGAAGGCAGCAAGAGCTCCACACAAGCTACACCTAAACTCTTTTCCACGCTTGATTCTGAAGACTTGGAGACCTCAGTCCCACATTTCACCTTAGCACCTCACTTCAATATTTCGTTATGAGCATAAAATGAGAATTGGATAAATTAACATTCCTTTTTTTTTTTTTTTGAGACATTGTCTCGCTCTGTTGCCCAGGCTGGACTGCAGTGGCTGGATCTCAGCTCACTGCAAGCTCCGCCTCCCAGGTTCACGCCATTCTCCTGCCTCAGCCTCCCGAATAGGTGAGACTACAGGCACCCGCCACCAAGCCCAGCTAGTATTTTGTATTTTTAGTAGAGACGGGGTTTCACCATGTTAGCCAGGATGGTCTCGATCTCCTGACCTTGTGATCCGCCTGCCTCGGCCTCCCAAAGTGCTGGGATTACAGGCGTGAGCCACCGCTCCCGGCTGGATAAATTAACATTCTAAAGTGTGTTTGGTGGGGGGTTGCTGACATAGACAAAAACAATGAAACCGCTGTGACTCAAGAGTAGTATAGGTCACACCTCACTGTGCACACCCCACTGTGCTAACAGAGCTGCTTTTCAGACACGGGAACGGAAGCTTAGGGCTACTGGGAAACAGTAACGACACAGTCTTCATTGCAGCCAATCTCCCCATCCTTTCATATTTTTCAAACAAAGGTGTTGTTTTAGAACAGCTGTGAGTTTATAGAAAAATTAAAGCTAGTAGAGACTTATCCTATACTCTGCACCCTCCATGCCCTACAACTAACATCTTCCATTCCTGTACTCTGCACCCTCCATGCCCTACAACTAACACCTTCCATCAGGATGCTGTGCTTAGGTGTCATGACAGAAAAAGCCCGGACTTGATTCAGATTTCCTCCGTTTTTCCCTGGTGCCCATTTTCTGTCCTAGCGCCCATCCAGGGTCCTGCCTCTCTTGGCTGCAACAGTATCTCAGACCTTCCTTGTTTTTGACCACCTTGACAGCTTTAAGCAATCCTGCTTGGGTATTTTATAGAATGTGCTTCAACTGGGGTTTGTCCCAGGGCCTCACTGGGACTCCAGGGACTGAGCTGCGTGAACACCTAAGCAAGGGCTGACGTCAGACCAGAGAAGCCCCGATACCTTCAAACCGAACTTCATGGGCAACGGCAGAGTTCCCATGGTTTAAAGAAAGAGCTTAGCCTTAAAGCAAAGACAAAAGAAACCACTTGGTTCTCGTGTCTGGGGCAAAAGGACTTGTCTTTTGCCTGAATAAGGAGGGACGGAAAACTCCTTCTGCTGGGAGGATTGGCCATGAGGAAAACAGCCTCTTGGCCTGCACCAAACTGGCAGGTGTCTGTGAGAAAGCGCTGCGCGAGGGCCCATGTGGCCCACCAAGACCTGCACCTCCTGGAGGGCGTGGTGCGGTGCACACTCACATGCAAACCTTCCCTCCACACGGCGTGTGAGTCAATGTGGAATGAAGTGGGTATCTATTTGGGTTTGGGGCCATCATGCCATCCCCTCAGGCCTCTAACCTGTGTGACCAGAGGTAGTAGAATTTTACTGGCACTCTGATGCCCTTGTTCAATTAAATTATAAAAGGAAGTTCAGTGGGCTGAAATGTCATGGCTTGGAAACAAAATGATCTACAAGGTCAGCCAAATACTCAAATTCCCCCTAGGTCCTTCCCCTGACCTGAACCCCCAGAGGGGTCTCCATCTGCCACCTCAAGCAGGACCTGCACCTGCGCTGGCCTCCTCCCAGCTCAGCCTCCTGCTTTGCTGAGTGACCCCAGCAGCCCATCCTCCCTCCACTGTGCGGCCCACACCCTGGCACTACCCCTGGGCCTGGCAGATACTAGGCATAGGCTTGATGCTCCATAAACTTGTGCCCACCCAACCGGCCCTCCCTGGGAGCTCTGCTTATAGCCTCGAGCATCCCAGGCCACTAGATTCTGCTTTTCCCCACTGCGCAGGTTACTGAAAATTACCAAAGTTCCATAACAGTGCTTGCATCTGCCCATTAATAGAAATTAAACTTTAATGAGTAAGTGCTGTGAATTCCTCAGGCATGTCCAACATAGTTTATGTGCATTTATTAGAGAAAATGAAAATGGAAAAAGATTCTTTCCCTAAGCAATATTTTTCCTTCAGGGTAATCAGGCAGTCTTAAAATGTCAAGGATAACCTAAGAAGTATTCCTGTTGTCTCTCCACTAAGAATCAAAACTAGCTGTAGCTGCCGGCTTACAGGAAGTACGGGTTTGGCAGAACCTGCTAAAGGACACTGGATTGGCTATGATCAGTCAAGCCCTGAAACAGAAAATCCCAGGACAAAGGACTCAGTGAGGCGGAGAGTGGGCAGGGGAAATTTCAGATATGCCCACCAGTCCCGATGTTTTGGTCTGGATTTGAACAACTGGCTGTAAAAAGACAGTTTTTAAGACAACCAGTAAAAATTAAACATCGTTTGGGTATAAGATGATATGTAGGAATCATGATTCCTTCTGCTGAGTGTGATAATGGGGTTGGATCTGTTAGAAACACACATTCAAGTATTTAAGGGATGGTGCTGTGGCCTCTGAGATCGGTTTTAAATTCTCCAGAAAATAAAGGTGTGGAGAGATGAAGTGGTCACGATGGAGAGCCTCAGGGATTTCCTGGCGGGAGGTGGCTGTGGGCACTCGCTCTATGCACTGGTCTCTTTCCTTTCATATATCTTTGAAACTTTTCATAACAAT
The DNA here is from genome assembly GCF_000001405.40 of Homo sapiens. Lineage (NCBI taxonomy): Eukaryota > Metazoa > Chordata > Mammalia > Primates > Hominidae > Homo > Homo sapiens. The sequence continues at coordinate 239,245,734 of NC_000002.12, forward strand.
TTTTCAAGAGATGCCAGGAATAAAGACGAGCCTGCCCCCACCTTCTATTCAATATGTCTTTCCTGAGCATCTGCTGGGTGATCTACCTAACTTGTTCCTTCACGAATATCCCAACAGTCTTCAGTTCATCCCCAGCCCCTATGTGTTCAAGCAGACACACACGTCTGGTTCACAGCTCAGCGAGCAGGCCCTGAGCGTCTGGGAACGTGAGAGTGAGCAACGCAGAGGCCTGGCCCCGGCCCAGCAGAACCGGCAACCCACACTGGCTGCCTGCGTCCAGTCCCGCCATGGGGTCTGCCTGGTGCCAGCACCTGCCCAGACACAGGGCAGAGGAGACTGCAGGGGGGTGTCCAGCTGCTCTCACGTGCCAGGCCAGGCTTGCTAACACCTGTGGCTTAGTCGGGTGATAGGGACAAAACGTGCAAACTGAGCCCGCTGGACACGCAGACTCAGCAGGCAGGCAGAGCCCGGTGGGGAGGCAAACGCGGGCAGGAGTGAGCCACGGGGGAAAGGGAACAGCAGGTTACTCGGGGATTTTCCCAGGGAAAATGTGGCAGTGGAAACACAGCACCTCGCCCCTTCCCCTCCCCCGTCGGAGAAACCATCCATGCACCCAGGAGGCGTGGCAGCCGGAGAAGCACCGGGGTTGCTGCAGGCCACAGGACGCGAGGAGCAGTGTCAGGAATCAGTGTGGAAAAGGGGCTGCCCGGGGGCTGAATGGGGCTGTCCTGTTGCCACAGGTCCTGGCACCGAGCATAGAGCCAGGTGTGTGGGCGGGGGCCGGCCAGGCGCTGGCTGAGCAGGTGATGGCCACGGCGCCGGCAGGAGTGAAAGCAAGCCGCTCTTCCTGCTCCGCAGGGCCCTGCTCTGTGCTCTAAGGGCCGGAGAACAGCGTTTCCTGGAGGGAGTGTCTCAGGGCCTCTCCTAGACGGTTCTGCAGGGCCTGGCATGGCCAGGCTGCTTCCTCCCTAAGTAAGACAACACGGAGAGACAGCTCTCAGCTACCCCTACCTACCAAGTGGCACAGGCCAGCTGAAGCGTTCATAAGTGATTTAGCAAATCAGGAGAAAATGTCCTCGCCTGCCTTTGAAAACAGCACCATCTCTGCTCCTGAGAGGATGTCCACTGCCCAGTGGCGAGGGCACATGTGGGTGCGTCACTGCACAGCTGTGCTGTACAGCGCTGGGAGCGTGCGAGGAGGATCACCTGGCATGCACCGTGTGCAGTTTCACCAGAGCCAGTGGGAGGAGTCACACACAACAGACGTCAAATAGGAACGCTGCAAAACACACAAATAGCATCTCCACAGCTAATGTAAAATAGTTTTCTGGATAGGTTCCCTTCAGTTAATGATGAAAGGTGATGCAGCTATCGGCAATGGCTGGAGACTAGCTCTGCGGTCTGCTCGTGGATAACCGCGCTCCCTCGCTGCCGGGCCACCCGCACAGCCGGGCAAACCAAAAGGCCCACTTTTTCATGCTGTACCCACCACTTCTGTTTCCCCGCAGGCATCCTACTTTCTAAACTAACACCTTTTCACTCCCGAGAATTCTAACAAATATTATACAATTCCTACCCGCATCTACCCTCCACCTGGACGTAGAACCCGTGTGGGAGGCAGTCCTGCAGGGTTTGGGGTGGAATATCCCCCCTGTCGAGTGGAGACGAGGCTGACATGAGGAGTGAATAAACGAACACAGATAAAGAACGAGGCACACAGTACGTGCGGGGCGAGAGACTCCCTTTGCTCCTCCCGCTTCACCTTTGCTTCAGTGCCGCAGCCGGGGCCCGTGCCCTCCACGCCAGGGCATCTGAGCCGAACAAGCTGCTCACCAAACGTGACTCAGCAACGAAAACCACTATACAGACGAACCATTCTCCCAGAATATTTTCCACACTGCTGAACATCACAAACTCGCTAAAGGTGCTTGTGGTTAGGTGGCAGGAAGCTGGAAAATAGGTGCATGTTAATAAGTAGCTCACGAAAAATGAGTCACTAATTTAGAACAATAAACTCAAAGTGGCCATTTGCGGAAAGTCTAGGCAGGCACATTAACTGCGCGGCTGGGAGCATCAAAGCAGAGATCCCTCCCTGGAGCGAGGTGGAGAACGGAGGGCGCTGACCACAGTGGACCACACCCTCTCCTCCTCTCACCAAACCAGACCTGAAAGCACCGCTCATTCTCTGTGCAGAAAAAGGATCCTTTGATGCCAAGTTTAAGGCAGCATTTCGGAAGTGACCAATCTGTGGTCAGTGGCCAGTGAGATGGGGAGAGAGTGAGGCTGGGGCTCCCCCAGCGCCCATAACACTCGGTGATGTTCTGTGCGAGTCAGGCTGACCCTGCCAGCAGCTACCCAAGTGACAGGCCGGTGGCTTCACCCAGCAAAAGTCTGCTCCAAGGTGCTTCAGCCAACACGCCCCTTGGGTTGAAAGACTTACTCCTCTTGCACTTTTTTTTTTTTTTGAGATGGAGTCTCGCTCTGTCACCCAGGCTGAAGTGCAGTGGCGTGATCTCGGCTCACTGCAACCTCCGCCTCCCGGGTTCAAGCAATTCTCCTGCCTCAGCCTCCCGAATAGCTGGGACTACAGGCGCCGGCCACCACGCCTGGCTAATTTTTTTGTATTTTTAGTAGGGATGGGGTTTCACCGTGTTAGCCAGGATGGTGTCAATCTCCTGACCTCATGATCCGCAGCCTCAACCTCCCAAAGTGCTGGGATTACAGGCATGAGCTGCAGAGCCCGGCCACCTCTAGCGCTTTTTAGGACAATATTTGCCTCAATTCACTGAAAATGTATTTCATTTTCTAAACTATTGTTGCCATATCTTGCTAGAACTAAACATAACATCCTGCTTACATTCTAAATGAGAAACAATAACAGCTAAGTAACTCCTAGCAGGAGCTGACGATGGTCAGGCACTTATCTCTGGGTTTCATTCACAGAAGTAGTACTCATGGTTCTCACCAGAGAAATAACTGGCACAGATACTGTTATTGTCCCCATTTTAAAGAAGCCAGGGAGATGATAAAGACCATCCTGATCAAGGTTGGGACCAACTTTCAAAAGCAAACTGACCCCCACTCTGCTGTTCTGCCTCTCCACACGGACTCATTCAAGCCTCAAGGTCAACATCCCATCACTGGCTCATTCATTCAAGTTTTCCTGAACTAGCGATTAAGTGATGGCCACAATTTTGGGGACACAGTGTTGTAAGTCCCTGCACCCCAAACTTCCACTGCTGAAGAGGTGATGACACGTAAATTAGAAGACCGTGTGGGATCACGTGCTGGAATAACAATCACGCAGGCGGAACACGGCAGGGACTGTTCTTTTAGACAAAGTGACCTGAGAGGGCCCTGTGAGGTGGTGGCATTTGAGCCGACACCTGAAGGACATGTGGGATCAACGATCCCAACGAGGTACACACGAGGTGGAGGGAACAGCAAGGGCAAGGCCTGGGAGGGGAACAAGCCTGGGGGTTCCCACGGGGCAGACAGAGGAGACACGGCTGCAGGTCCGAAGGCCATGGTAAGGACCTTCCATTCCGACTTCAGCCACCATGCGGAGTGTCGCCCAGGGCGGGGAGGGGCTGCGGAAGGCGGGGGAGGCGGAGAGAGAGCTGGGAGAGATGGGGAAAGGGATCCATCAGGACTCTGCGATGGACTTGGCGTGGGTGTGCCACACTCACCCAGGTAGGGAAGACAGAGAGACTTGAGTGGGGAGAAGCAAGCCGGAAATCCAAAATGCAGATTTGATGGAACCTGCTGATTTTAAGAGAGCCAATCACCATTTTGAAGAGCAAACAGTACGTCTAAACCTCCTTTGAATCATTACTTTGTGACTTTCTCAGGAAAAAAAAAATCCAAAATGTTCAGAATTTGTGTCAATGGTTCAAAATTCAAGTTCTCCATATTCTACAACAACATGTATTTCAGCAGCATCCTTTACTCTACCCGAAATCTCACTATCCAAATACCACGCCATCCTGGGAGGGGCTCTAATCTTCTAAAATATTTATTCATTCCTTTAGCTGAGCTATTAAAGAAAAAAAAAAAACAAGGAGCTGAATATTAAGTGACACACACTGCACTCAAAACTCTTGTGTCAGGAAAGAATGTGCACAAAATATACATAAGCAGTGAAGACTCGTTTAATGTGTCAGCTGGCTGCTCCACACTGGTTCTGCCGTCTCTCACCCCGCGACAGCTGTGCTCCTTCCTGCTGTGACGCGTCATCCAAGGGGAAGCTCTGCTTCCGGGCCTCCCGCCTCTGGAAGGAGGCCGTGCACAGCCCTCCCGCCTCTGGAAGGAGGCCCAGCGCAGCATCCTCCGTGATGGCCACCGCGGCCTCTCCCATCGGAATTGCAGGGAATACCCCGCTCCACATCTCCTATGAGGATGCGTGGATGTCCTCTGGTTAAACAAAGCACCCTGCTTTTATTCCATGACTCTGACAAGCACTATCAGGAGACACGTGTGGTCCAGACATCACCTTAGGTGCTGAGAACCCAGCTGATGAAGACACAGAGTCGGCCCCCAGGGGTCCGAGAGGAGAGGTCCAGGTGATAACATCACTGTGTCTTCAGTACCCGGTCTCTAACCCTGCAGGTGGCTCCCCAGAGATCCCGGGGCCACCTGGCCAGAACCAGTGGGGAAGAACAAGGAATTGAAGGCTGTGAAAATGTGACATGAGATTCAGATAGTCCAGGGCCCCGCACGGCCCAGCTCCAGGCAGTCAGCTCCACGTGCCTTCCTGCCACTGGGGCTGCCACTGGCTGGAGCCTCCAGCAGCTTGTCTTGGGGCAGACACAGTGGGTACAAAATCAAGCACTGGTTCACACAGCAGGCCATTCTCCTGAAGTATCCAGAAGCTGCTATGGGTTCAGCGTGCACTGGCAGTGGTGACACAGGCATCGGGCCTCCTTTAGAGGAACGTCTTGGCCTCTCCAAGGAGAAGGGGCCAGAAGAGGCACTTCCTCCCTGGGACCTCGACAGAAAGGACGGTTTTCAGTGGCCTGACTGTGGACTGCTGTGTTCCAGCCAGAAGCCCGCTGCCAGAGGCCACAGCGAAGGGGCACGACAGTGGACTGGCTCATGGGCCTCCCCAGCAGAAGAGCTGCCAGAGATGGGACTCGGGGGCGGTTTTCCCTCACCCTTGGCGGGATCCTCCCCTCTGCAGACCCGGGGAACCTGCCCACGTGTGTTCACGTGCCCCCGCCACACGCCTGGTTCACCTCGAGACCTGCATCAACTTACCGGTGCAGCCAGCACGTCTGGAAAGAGACTCGTCAGCTGGCACCTGGCCCTGTGGGCGCCGTCAGCTCCCTTAGAGGATGACGTGGGGTGGAAAGGGCCTTTCCACATGAGTGGTTTCCATGTCCTCAACTTTAAACGATTTCAAGACGTTTTACTCTCCTTAATTTTGGTACTACCGAATAATATACACCACGTAGTTTTATTTTCATATCTAAAATGTTTTCAAACAAAATTTTATTTCTAAAAAGTGAAGATGGGGGAGACACACAGATGCCACCACAGCTAGCGTCGTGGGTGATCTGGGTAAAGATTTCCATTCCCAGCCAGGCACAGTGGTTCACGCCTGTAATCCCAACACTTTGGGAGGAATGAGGCGGGAATATTGCTTGAGGTCAGGAATTCAAGACCAGCCTCAGTAACATAATGAGACCCTGTCCCTATCAACAATACAAAAAATCAGCTGGGTGTGGTGGCGTGTGACTGTAGTCCCAGCTACTTGGGAGGCTGAGGCACGAGGATCTCTCGAGCAAGATCACACCACTGCACTACAGCCTGGGTGACAGAGCAAGACCTGCCTCCAAAAATAAAAATAAAAAATAAAAACAAAGAGTTCCATTCTCCACACACTGGCCCCAGCTGTAACCACACAGTACCTGCAGTCCTAGCTCCTGCTTGAGATGCCCCAATCTACCTCCTTGTATTCTAGAACACGCTCTCCCACTGCACAAGGCTCATTATTCAATGGTACAAATGTACATTCAAGATAATCACATCATTATTATTTAATTCAATAGTACTCCAGCACACTCCTCCCTCCAACAAAACCAGCTTTTCTGGATCCTCTAAGAAGCAGGTGTACCATGTGCAGAAATCACTATTACATTTCTGTTATGCACAGAATGAATATACCCTACACATCACAACCTCCCCTACACCAAGACTAACTTAATCTTATCACTATTCCTTTTTATACAACAGAAGCTTCAGTTTCTAAATATACAGTGATTTCTTTGTATTGCATTCTATTTTAATCTTCTAAAAATAGAGCCACCACCAGGAGAAGCGACTTGCTGTTGGATGTTCACTACGCTAATGTCACTGGCAGGATGTGGATTTCTGCCCCTTCCAGACTTTCCAGCTTGTGGTTTCCACATGACGACTGTCATGGTGGTTCCAGGATTCTGGCCGGGAGTGTGGGAGCAGGATCGCCCAGCATCAAAGCCAGGATCCACTCCCAGGAGCCTGTGATGCCACATGAGCCAGCTGATCAGTGTGGGCCTCACCGTCAACAGCCATCGAATGGGTGCCAGGATGCTCTCCAACCTTGCAGGACTGAGAGGACTGGACTAAGCACCCACAAACGTACTCACAAGCCGCAGTGCCACAGATAGCCTATGCCATGGACATGGCCCACGCCACCATGGACACAGCCCACGTCACCATGGACACAGCCCACGTTGTGGGAGCAAGTCCTCTGACTTTCCCCTCCTTCAGCAGATTGGCTGAGAGCATTTCTCAGGTTTTAGCAGAAAGTTAAAGAGAAAAATCAAAAGGCACGAGGGAAAGAGCAGAACAAAAAGGAAGCTGTTGCCTCCAAGAGCTCTCATGTCCCACGGAAGTTCCTTCTTGAGGATGGGAAGATGGTCTGTGCCCGCCACCTCCTCCCCTTGCTTCTCCGCCAAAGGACAAACACTGCACCAAACCAGAGGGCAGTCAATAGGTTAAAATGTTTTCTTAAACGATTTTCCAAGGTTTTAAATGCTTCATAGCTCTAAGAACAGAGTTATCCAAAATTTTAAAAATATAATCCCTTATCTTCTGTTTAATAAAGTTATTTTTGAATTTTGAAGAAGCAGAAATCCGATCATTTCTCTCCTCCCTCCCTGACGCACACACCCTTAAGACCCAGCCTGTTCTCCGCCAGGAACGCACCACCTGCGCTTCGCCGGCCACCGGTTTTGCAACGGAGAGCCCGCTGGCCACGGCGGCCCGCACTGCACACTTCCTAGCAGGCTTCCTGTGTAGCTGGCAGTGTGCCTGGCAGAGCAGAGGCACAACACACATTCCCATCACACTTCATACGCGGCATTAAGCTCATGACATATTTTCATCTTCTCCTAAGATATTAGAGTCTCGGGAACAAATCCACTTCCTATCACTCAACGTGCAACTCAGATGATAAATCTTGTACCACTGCGTTAGCGTGGTAAAAATCAGAATCATACGGCAAAGAAAACACAGAAATTACATCAAAACAAAACAAAGATGCAGCTTTCGTAATCTAAAGCAAATTTCTTTGGTTTTATACCCATAAAGTCCCACACTTGGGCATGAAGGCAATCTTGAATTAAAACGAACACCCCTGTATGCTGTTATGACCGATGTCACATCTAATATTCAGACAACTAGAAAGAAGGGCTAGCCTTTTAACTCAACTACAAGAAAAGAGGAACTGGAAAACAGCAGTGGCTGAATGTGTACTCCTTGCTTTGATGTTCTGAATTAACACGCGCCTGTAGTAAAAGCCAATTTTACACTTTGAAAAGCACAGAGCCTCCTCATGTCCACAACACAGAGCTACAGAACACAGCAAGTCAACCAGAACTTTAGGTTCCCAAACCTTACTGCACTGACTCGATAAGGATCCCTCGCTTCCCACTGTAAGAACAAAGAAACAGTTATGAAGATAGAATAAAATCTCGCCCTAATATTGTAGGCAGAGTTGAATTCAAGAGAAGACCCCAATTACCAGAAAGGAAAGAAAGCAAACGGCCCTCTGAGCAGGTGCACTAAGACCCAGCTGCCTGTTCCTGGGGCCCAAGAGTCATCAGAACTGGAGACAGGCACCAGGGAGCCAGTGGGCGGCTGCATATCTGGGTGGGCAGGAGAGGTGGCCATGAGCGTGGCTTGGACAGGGAACTGGAACTGAGACCCTGTGTCCGGGCAGAACTCTTGGAGGACTGTCTGGTCTATGAAAAGAGAACTAGAAAACCCCACCCACCAGGCCTGGGAAGCAATAGAGGGTTGCTAGGAAGAGGCTTCAGTGAGAATCTAAGACCCTAAACCTGGGTCCCTGTGGATGTGGCCTCCAGATTCATATTCTTTGAGTAGTTCTGGAATCTCAAGTCTAGAAATAAGGGTAAAACTAGTCTAGAACCTGGGAAACCCTGTAGCCCCAGGAAGACAAAGAAAAATAGCTCCTTAGGGCTACACCCACAATCCACAGCACACAAAACACACAAAGAAGGATGAGAGGAAGGGAGGGAGGAAAGTCCCCTGCTGAAGAGTTTACCATGCAAATTTAACATCACAAATGATAGATGGAAACAACCCACCATGTGGGAATCGGCAAGAACAACAAAACCGAGAAATGACTCCAAAATGTCCACAAATATTAAAACAATGTGGAAAAGACAACAAGCTGCGCTAAAAAAAAAAAAAAGTTAAATGAAGAAGAGAAACTATCATGAAGGAAAAAAACCTGGAAATGGGAGATGAGAAGTTTTTAAAAAGAATTAAGTGAATTTTCTATAATTGAGAAGAACAGATTAGATCTAGTTAAAGATAAAAACAGCAAATTAGATATAAAGATAAAACTAGATCTAGATAACTAACCAGAATGCAGCACAAAGATAGGAAAAGATAAAGGAGAGAAGCAAGGATAAAAGAATAAGATGGTCCAACATAGACCTAGTATGAGTTCCTAAAGAATGGAAAAAATGTACAAATGCAGTATTAAAACAGATAACGAATGAGAATATTCCAGAATTCAGACATAACAGTCCTTAGATTTAAGAAGCATGCTAAGTCTCTATTAGGATAAATAAGTGTGAATCGACATCTAGACACAGTGCAATAAAACATTTAAACACTAAACATGGAAAAAGATCTTAAAAGCACCAAGGTAGGAAAGTTAGATGATCTAAGAACATTGAATTGAGAGGCAATGTTTCAACAGCAACAAAAGTAGCCAAAAGATAATGAAATGTCTTCAAACATGCTGAAAGACACAGCAACCTGCAATTCTACACCTATCTAAACTATCATTCGGGTAAAAGGGAAAACAAAAACATTTTCAGATAAACAAAACTTGAGTACTTACCATTCAGAAACCATTGCTGAACTAACAAGGGATTATGTCAGAAGGAAGAAAATCATATCCCAGGTGAAAGAGTAAGATGACAGAAGCAATGGTAAGGCAAAAACACTAGTAAATCATGTAAGTACACATTAATAACTACTGAATATTCAATTAATACAAAGGTTCATACAGATACCGAGACTATGTGTAATCTTGTTTTCTCACTGTGTGTGTGTGTGTGTGTGTGTGTGTGTGTTTCAAAGTCACTGTTTAAAACACCTGGTTGGTTTCCTCTTAAGAACAACATAGACCTTAAAATTAAAGGGCTTCCCTTTTTCCTTTGACAGCTAAGAAACTCAGAGCCAATTATGCAGGGTTTATGACCTGCATCTCCGGGCTCTACTTCTCTTTGAGAGACCGTCATTTTTTCTTTGCTCTGAGTCCTTTGTCTTTATTCTTACACAGCCTTCACTAATGAAATAAGAATTAAGTACAGCTGTCCCTGAAATTGTACGCACAGGCACCAAAACACTTGACACGCCAACATGCCACAGCCTTGGCTTCTTCTCATTATAAGGAGGAAGAGGAGGCCACTGAAATATGGTCTAGTGTGAGTAACTCTGCACAACTCTGCTGAAACAAAGTTCAGTACCACTAAAAGCAGGGTACGAGCTCAGCAATCCTACTCTGAAACACAAAAAGCTCCCAAGAGCATGACTGACAGCAATCACTGCCAGGCACATGGGCCATTCTTCCTGTGCTGCACTCAACATCACACGTGCATGTCGGAGAGCCCGTCTTTGGAAACAGCTACACACTTGGGCAAAAGCAATTCTTTGTGAGAAATAATCAGCAAAAGATTGCTTATCCTTTCTACACTCAGAAATTAGTTAAGAGTAACCAGCTCTTGGAAAAGGATAAACCACTCTATGCAAATACTCCTGCAAAGGTTCTCGATTAATGCAAATATTATGTTTGTCTTTTATTTTAATGCAAACAGCATCTGTTCTGCACAGTCCATGCCATCACTTTGTAGTCTGTGTGGAGCATCTCAAGTGTGTTCCAGCTGCGTTTCAGAGTTTGAAACATTCTCAGAGAGGCAGAGCCACAGAAAGCGGTTCACTGAAGAAAACAGCAAACAAGTTCAGTGGGGCTCCTTCTAGGAGGCTTCTTTCTCTTTTAAGGCAGGAGAGAAACAAATCCAAGAATGAATTCCCAAATTTACTTCTGCAGAGGTCTGGCTTTAAGTGTGGGATTTTTCTTTTTTAATAGTTTTGACTAAGGAAAAAATTAGGTTTGCTTTTTCTGTGAATTCTGTCGCAGGGGAAAGAGATTCAGAACAACACATGGGGGAAAGGACAGGCTGGTCGGGGCCAGGCTGCCATCCAGAGCACTGACCCAGCGCCGAGGCGGGTTCCAGCCCCTCCCAGAAGGCCAGGACTTCACCCCAGCAGCATCCTCCTCTTTCATAGAAGGTGTTGGCCATCTAGAAGGCTCCCTGCCAACACTGGCTTCCTCAGATCGCTCCACTGATACTGTTCTGTGTCTGCCCCTAAGAGGGGCATACCCTTGTCTGTTTTTGTGTCCATGACCCTGAAGCAATGACTAGTTCAGCAGCAGAAGGGACTGGATGGGCAGATGACTGGATGAATAAATCAAGCTACCTATGGGGAAACAGATAATGTGGAGAAACACTGACTTGTCACCCTTCAGATTTCAAATATAGTCAACTTCCAAATCTCTACCCAAGCAAGAGTACCTGGAAACAGTTTGACCTTAACATGCTAATAATACTAATTTTACCATTCCATTTGTTAGAATGCAGGTATACTGCTAATCGGATCCACTAGACCAAGAATCCACGTGGGATAGCCTAAGAAGACAGAAGAACCTGGGTATTTTCAGATGTCCCTCAACAGAAACACCTATTCTCACATAAACTTGCTGTTAAAACTCTAAAATATCCATGTAGACAAATAACTCTGGGTAAATAACAGAATAAGCATTCCTATAAACCCTTTAATAATTATCTTAGTTATTAATTTCATTTCAAATTGCCTGATTTTCCATATATACTGCTAATCATCTTATAGAAGAATTTTGTTTTTGACCAAAAAAACTCTGAATATCGATATTTAATAAACATGACTGCTTCAAAAAACACAAGTGCAAAAAAAAAAAGAAAAAAGGTGAAATAGGCCATGTGGTCCAGCCTTAGCAGAGAGAAAAATCACAAAAGCTGGACAAATATAAACACATCTTCTTGATGACACTACTAAGTTAAAAAAAAACAGTGAAGAATTACAGGACCAGACAAAGGCTGGGGGGTGAAGATGGCATTTGGGGCTGATTTTCCCCTGTTGGTATTTGCAGAGCCCCACCCCCAGCCATCTAAGAATCTTTAGTACTTTTGACCGCCTCTTGCAGATATTAGGGTTAGGAGGAGAACTCCAGGGACTGACAGGCAGGAGAGAAGGAGGGAAATGTGGGTTGGGATCTGGAAGCAACCCCTAGGGAAAAAAAGAGACTCCACAATAAATGGACCCTCAACAATTGCAGCTCTGCTTCTAATGACTCTGTAATCCTTGAAATAGAACTGAAGTGATGACTCATTGCTAGGGCCCCCAAGCACCAGGCAGAAACAAACTTCAGTCTACTAATGAGGATGATGTCATCATCCTAGGCCTCAAACTGTCTCAACAGATTTTGCAAATAATATTTTCAACACACACACTTACACATTCACATATCAGGCAGAGGAAAAGACAACCCAACAAAAAAAACCCAACAGAACAACAAACAATAGAAAAAGACCCTCAGGTGCTCCAGATAATAGAATTCTGAGAAAGAGACTTTGTTACTTATTTGCTGCAATACCAGGACCCATAAACAATAGTTTCAAAGTAGGAATATCAATAGTGTTCTAGTAACGATAAAAGAGTTGAATGCAATTTAAGATCCTGCGGCAGTTTTAGAAATAGATTTTAAAGAAATGATGATTTCTATGTTTAAGAAGATGAGTTGGAAACTTGAAAAGAGAATTCTAGAACTGAAAAATGCAAAAAGTGAAATTAAGGACTCCATCATTTAACAGATTAGACACAGCTAGAGTGAATTTGTGAGTAGGAAGGTGGGCCAGAAGGACATTTCCAGAATGATCTCAAAAGTCAAGGGCAGGAAGTTGGAGAAACAGAAGGCACCGAGACAGAATGTGCAGGCAGACACAGGAAAGGAGACACTGAACGGGTCAAAAGCACGTCTGAAAGGACCCTGGCCAAGAACTACCCCAAATGGCTAAAAGACACCAGGGAAAATTGCTGAAAACAAAAACGGCCGTGGAGGGGGAGGGGGGATTACCTACAAAGAACAGCAGTTAGGATGACTGGTGATTTCTCAACGGAAACACGTAAACCAGAAAACAGTAATATCTTTCACAGTGCAGAAGGACTGCTTAGAAGTACTAGAAGATGGTAACTGTCAAACTAGAATCCTCTAACCAGCACGGGCATTCTTCAAAGAGTCATTTTCCAACAAAGACTGATCATCTTACACCAGAAGACATTCTCACACCTGATCTCAGAGGGAAGACTGGAAATGAACACCCATATAAAGAACAATGAAAAGGGTTTACACGTGTGGATATATGGAAATGAATATTGACAAATAATAAAGTATGCCACAGAAGAGACAGGACAAAGGAGTAAGGGCACAGTGAAATGGCAGATGGGCACACAAACATTCTAGGCAATCATGTTCAATGTAAACAAACTAAAGGCTCTACTCCGAAGTGAAGACTGCCAGACTGCATAGAAGAACATAAACTAAAAAAATTCCCAAACACATGCTTTTCACAAGGAAATATCTAAAACATACAGCTATGCAAAGTATGGAAAGAAAACAGTTGGAAAAATATGTACCTTGCAAATAACAGCCGAAGGAAGGCTGGCATAGCAATATTAACGTCAGACAAAGTAGACTTTAACACAGGTACTGATTCCTGACTTTGACAGCGTATCACCCCATTTTTTTGAATATAATGCAACTAAAGTAAAAATCAACAACAAAAAAGAACTAGGAAAACCTTAAAATACACTTGGCCAGATGCAGTGGCTCACGCCTGTAATCCCCAACACTTTGGGAGGCTGAGGTGGGCTGATCAATTGAGCTCAGGAGTTCAAGACCAGCCTGGGCAACAAGGTGAAACCCTGTCTCTACCAAGAATACACAAAATTAGCCAGGCGTGGTAGAACTGTGGTCACAGCTACTCAGGTGGCTGAGGTGGGGGACTGCTTGAGCCTGGAAGGTGGAGGCTGCAGTGAGCTGAGATCACACCACTGCACTCCAGCCTGAGTGACAGAGCAAGACCCCGTCTCAAAAACAAAACAACAACAAAACAACAACAACCAAAAAAACACTTATAAATTACCTATATGCCAAAGGGAAATTGGGTAATAAAAATAGCACACATTAAATTTTCTGGGAAGCAGCGAAAGCCATGCATAGAGGAAAATGGCCTTAAAATCCTCATATTCGGGTTCCACTTCAAAGGCTTAGAAACAAACGGAAATTAAACTCATAAAAGTGAAAGGAAGTAATAAGAACAGAACTTACTGAAACAGAAAAGAGATATAGACCGAAGTGACAAAACCAAAACCTGGTTGTTTAAAAAGACTAATGAAGAGGAAAGATCTCTGCTGACAATGTTGAAGAAAAAAGGAGTTTCTTCTCAGCCCAGAGCCTGTGGTATGGCGTGAGCCCCAGTCCCTAGATCACAGCCTGCAAGTAGGAAATATGGCCTTGTGGGGCAGGAGAGGAAGAGAGAAGTGACACAGTGAAACGTCCTTTGTCACACAGAGGGCATCTGACAGCCAGCTAAGGAGAAGAGGATCTAAGGGTGAAGCTCCTGCCAGAGCCCAGGAAGGAAGGCTGAAGACTCAAGGAGCCAGATGACACCGCTCCCTTGCCTTCCACCCCCAACGCTGTGATTGATTTCCTAACTGCATGCCAGGCCGCCACCTCTATAAGCTGAGCAATTCCTTTTGGTGAAGTTCAGCTGAAAGACAGAGGTTGGGGTGTCCCATCCAACGGAAGCCCCTCTGCGGACCGCGTGTCCAGACTCTGCAGGCGCCCTGTGACGACTCTCTTGCACACACGCACACACACACGCTCATGCAAAAGCATCGCATGGTGGGTAAGACCGTGGACTCTGAACCCAGACGTGCAATTCAAACCAGACTCCCTCACTCACTAGCTGTCAGATCTTAGGCAAGTTTTATATGTCCCAGTTTCTTCATCATAAAATGGGAAGGACAACGCTTGGATCTCAGGGTGCTGATACGAGTATTAACTAAGTGGTACAAATAACGGGTCTGGAGCAGGGTCTGTTTATTGTCCAATAAACATGCTAAGTTTCTATTATCCTTCATCGTGGTACAGAATGCCCCAAACCGGCCTGCTGGCCTCATCTCTCTTCCCGCCAGCAATCCCAACACTGTAGCCTCAAGTGTCTCTATCAAATGCCTATCAGGCCACTCACTCCTGGGAGTACCGCTTCTCTGTGGCCCTGCTGTGTGGCCTGTGGCCTGTGGCCTCCGGCTCTGCTCCTGCAGCCTGCAAGGTTGGATGTGAGGGGATGTGAGGTCCCCCTGCTGCAGTGTTCTCATGCCTGGCCTCCCCCTGGGCACGCCTTCCACCTGGGGCCCGAGCGCTGCCTCTCTTTCCCATGGAGGGCAGGAAGGCGGCTCACATTGCATTGTGCAAATGGCTCTGTCTTTGCTGGGATGGGGACTCACACCTTGAACCTGAGAAGGAGGCACGGAAGCCTATCCTGTCAGCGGCCACCAAGAAAACCCAGCTTCCTACGTGGAAGATGACAAGGCCAGGGCACTGGGGTGGAGACGGAAGCCAGCCTGGGAGCGGCTGGAGCGGCAGTCTCCGCTCCCCACAGGTACATGCACCTAAACTCGATGCGGCACTAAGGTTTCAGGTGGACGTTCTGGATGTTTTGTTTGTTTCTGTAGAGACAGGATCTTGCTACATTGCCCAGGCTGGGCTTAAGCCTCAGCCTCCTGAGATGGGGTGGCCGGGGTGGTGTTAAAGATAAGACTGAGCCCAGCTGGCCCATTCTGTAAAGGCAAACAGAAAATCAAGAAACGTGCAGGTGAGACAGGTACTGCCGAGGCCTAAATGCACTTTAGGAACTAAATTCAACAGAATGTACACGAGCCCAGGTAACACGCTAGAGATGAGACTAAGGAGGGCGTACAGAAGGCACCAAGTCCAGAACTCCACCCCAGCAGCTGCCGTGTGCTGAGATGGAGCGTGGTCACAGCCAGCCAGGCTCTGCACAGACGGAAGCAAACCGTGGCAGGCCTGGGCTCTGGGAGGTGGGCAGGCCCTGGGGACCCTGTTAGGTGCATCCATGGGGCATCCTAGGACATGACAAAACACGCTTCAACAGTTGCCAAAAATGGGCATCTTACTAGCCTGCCAGCCAGCATGTAGACTTCCCAGGCTGGGAGCCTCAGGTCCACAGAGGAGGAGCCTTCTGGTTCCCCCACAACCCACGGGCTAGAGACAAGGCTGGACAAGGGGTCTCCCTGCTGAAGAAAAGCAGAAGTCAGCGTCCTAAGAGGGCCTGGTGAGATGGTGGCCCAGGCCCACGGGGAGGAAGGGGCAGCAGTGGGCTGGTCCACTCTTAGAAGGCGAGGTTTCCAACTCAAACCACCCCAGAACCTTCCCTCGCTCCTTAACAGTGGCAGGAGCCCGGCAGGGACACCCCCCACCCGGCCCAGCCAGGAGGTTCTGCTGCCAGCCTGCCCAGGGCAACTGAGAGTCTCGAAAAGCCTATGTCGGAGGGTCCTCGGGTTGCCTGGCGCCATGAAAGCACTGCCTTCGTGAGCCCCCGGCCCCTACAGGTTGGCCTCTTCCCTGAAGGCCCCAGACACAGAGGCCCTAGGTGGGAATCCAGCAGGGTGGCATCTGCCCCCTTGTCGCTCCAAGGGAAAGCCCTGAGGGACCCTCCCAACCACGCCAGCGCCGCCTGCAGTGACGCCGGGCCACGCTCACCCCAAGGCCCAAGAAGGAGCCACGGTCCACTGAGACCCACGACAAGGTATCCACGTGGCTTTTTATAAGCTAGTATTTCCTCCTGTGGTGTCTCCTTGGGGGAATCCTAAATTTCTGTGATGTGAGATAAAATTTTAGTGGGATTACAGAAACCTTGGCTTAGTATCAGAGACCACAATAACACACTTTAGAAACAGAGTAGCAATTTGGTTCTCTGCGGAATCGTAAGTGGAAGGGATGTATTTTCCTTGAGATTTTAAAAATAATTAGGAGGAAGAGATAAAAGAGAAGCTTTTGTGAAAGCAGAGATAGAAATTTAATTAGAAACAGACGAGGATCTTCTCAAATCACCCTTGCCTTGTTTGCCCAGGTCCGAGATGAGGTAATGCCATTAGCAGGCAAGACTGATCTCTACTCTGAGGGGGCCAGAGCCTGGCTCTGACACTCTTGGCCAAATGTCCCCATCCTCAGCCTGGCTCCATTTTCTGGGCAAGAGTGTGGGACCAACGAGACCTGGGCTAGTGCAGGGGTGGGCAGGCACCACAAGCGGGACACCCCCAAGGGTGCACACGGCTGAAGGCGCAACGGGCACAGGGCATTCTGTGGGCCACGCTCGCAGCCCAAGAACACAGACGAGGAGGCCTGTGCTCAGGCACTAAGGACACGGAGGGACTGTTCTGGGATCCACCCAGCAGCTCTTGGAAAAGCTGGTGCCCTGGTGAGCAGGAGAGCGTGAGGCTCTAAGGAGTGGATCCCTCACTGGAAGGTCACGGCACCACTGAGACAGCCTGGAAGCTTCTGTGCTTCACGAAAGATCTACGCGTGAAGCCCCCGGGAAGCCAAGCCCCAGGAAGGGCCCATTATGCCGATGAAGACACGAGAGAATGAAGGATGTGGACACTGCCCCAAACACTCGGGACCAAGAGAAGATCCCAGAACCTGCTGCGGCGGTGACACAGGCACATACACACCACTGCAATTACTGCTAGAAAATATGAAAAACACTACCCTCCTTCATGTCTGCTGTGTCGGTGCCCTAGCCTCTGCCCCAGAGGTCAGAATGGCTCCAAGGGCACGGGGCCACTGTGCAACTGCACATCAGCCATCCCGAAGCCCGCCCTGAGGACCCCCGCCCAGCCCAGCCCCCTACACATCAGCTGTCTCGAAGCCCACCCTGAGGACCCCCGCCCATCCCAGCCCCTTGCACATCAGCCGCCCCGAAGCCCGCCCAGTCCCCTGCCTGGAGATCACCCCTTCTCTTCACAACAGGCAGCAGGTGAACAGCTTCCCCCTCGGAGCTGCCCCATGGGCCTCACTGCACAGGTGTGGAGGCGTCCACGTCTACACCACCAGGAACCCCCAGGCAGGGCAGCTCTTGGCACTGATGCCCAACGGGTATTGCTAGGCCCGCACGGAGCTGCTGTCAAGGACAGGGGCAAGGGCAGGGAAGTGAGGCTCTACACACAGCAGCATCTTCATGCCTTGCCTGAGAGTATGTTCTAGAAGGACACGGGAGAGAAGAATAAACAGGGTCAGGACAGTCAGGAAAGGCCTCCAAGTTGGAGGTGTTAACCACATCTGAAGGGGTTCCTGAGAGACACGGGGGCACCGACGGGGGGACAGAGCCCAGTGCTGCTGTCCTGGGCATGCAGAGCAAGCCGCCTGCCTGGCCCCAGCTGTCCGACTCGGCTGAGCCTCGCCTCCTGCTGCTCGATCTAAGCTGGCTGCCCAGTGACGCCACTCTGCCCCTTCTCTGCAGAGGGGAAGCTCCGTGAAGGCAGAGCCCTGTCTGGCCACTGCTCCCCTCAGTCTGAAAGGAAGGGTACGTGGGCACCTCTGAGAGCCAGTGGCTTACTCAGGGCACACAGGACCTTTGGGGTGGGGGCCATCCTCGAGCGGGGGCTCAATGACTGAAAACAAAAGGGGGAAGACACAGCCCTGGAAAGGAGGGGGCTGACTTTCCCAGGCCAGGCGGGGAGCTCGTGGGGAGACGGGCTCTGGCCTCAGCCTAAGGTCACACCCCAAAGGCCATCCCAGACACCGGAGTTCCTGCCGCTCGGGGACTCCCAGCAGGCACAGGCTTCACCTCTTTCTGCTCGGGCCGCCCCAGCCTCCACTGCGGAGGAGCAGATGCGCCTGCCAGGTTCCATTCAGCTTCGGTTTGCAAATGGAAGCACAGGCATTTCCAAATGCAGCTCACATTTGTGAGTGTGGCAAAAGAGCGAAAGACCGTGGGGGCAGGAAACTGGATTTTGTTTGGTTGGTTTCTAAATGTCTGTTAAGAATGTGCTAATGTAAGACTACACATGAAGGTCGCTGGGCAGATGCAGCGGTTTATCTTGGAAAAAGAAGTGTGGCTGCCCACGGCTCTGACAGGACAGCCAACCACATGCGACCAGAGGGAGATGGCTTGGGTGAGCCGAGGCCCTCCTGATCCTAAGTGGCCAACAGGGTGCTTTGAGTGATGCTCCCTAGGGCTCGCAGCCTGAACCTGCAGAGGTTGAGGAAGCTGATGCAACAGTCGAAGAATAGATCAGCCTTCCTGGGTAGAAGCCAAGGTCTCTAGAAGCCCCGTCCTGTCTGCAGCATTTCTTGGGGGGAGGCTCTTCTGAAAGCCATGCCTTGCGGCAGGTCCCAGGGTGTAAACACTGTGCAGGGGGGACACCTGGCCCACTGCTGCCCCGTCGGAGGGTCCTGCCCCTTCCTTCCTACTCGGTGTTCCGGGGACCTGAAGGCCCCCATATGCTGCTGGAGGTGTGGCAATGGGCTTTCTTTTTTCCATGAGCTGGAAGCTGCCTCTCAGAACTGTCCAGCTTCAGAGAACCCTGAAGATGGACTCTCCTGCCCCTCCCCCTGCAGAGCAGGGCAGGCCCAATGCGGGCTGAAGTGGACAGGGGTGCAGAGCCTGACAGGGGCTGGAGAGTGGGGGATGGGGGCCAAAGAGCCAGGGGCCAGCCCTGGGGCTCTCCCACCTCCCTTGAACCACTGTGAACCCGCCCCAGGGGAGGACTTGCTGCTCCAGGTCACCCTTAACCCCCAAGTGACAAGCAGGGCTCCCACATGTGTGCCAACCCCAGGATGGGTCCAGCACACTCAGGAAAAATCACAGCCTCTGACAGTACTCCAGAGGCATCACAGATGAAGTCATAAAACCCTCCCCTTCAAACGTGTGACTTCTCAGCAAACACCGCCACAGACTTTCGTATCAGGAAGTCAATCTTAGCCCAGCAATGGGTGTGGTTTCAAAATAAATCACTCCTCCAGAGAAGCCAAGGCCTCCCACTCAGAAACAGCACTTCCAAAATCAAAGAAAAACCCCACTGTTAGTGGCCTCCCAGCACCACCCCTCTGTGCTTTCTGGGCACTGCATGTGGGACAGGTGAAGAGCCCTCCTGGGGGGAGGTGCGGTGGGGCGGGAACCCAGGCCCTCCCTTTGCCCCTGACTCTCCTGCTCCGCAGAGCCTTGAGGCACAAAGGACAGAGCAGGAACACGAGGTGATGCCAATGCTCACCAGGCCACAGCGCCGGCACCAACACAGGCACCCCACAAAGACACAGCCACCAGGCTGGGTGCAGGCTCAAGGTCAGCCAGCTCTGCAGGATCCCAAACAACAGTGTCAGAGACACCAGGCTTCTTGGAACTTCCAAACACCATTTTAAGGTTATGCATGAGCTCAAGCATTCTGCTAGGTCCTGGGGGTGAATGGGAATGCGGGAACCATGCCATGGGCTGGCTGGTGCTGAGTGGGCAGTGCCCCGATCAGGCTGGAGTACTGACCTCCTGGGCCTGGTGGGATGAGGTGAGGCCAAAGCGAGCTGCCTGTCCATCCTCATACACCAACCGTATGGCAGGAGCGTGGCCTGCCTTGCCCAGCTCCCCCTCTAAGGACAGGGAGGGGGACACAGAGCCCCTAAGCCTGCGCAGAGGCTGCTGTGGCATCCAGAGGGGCTGCCAGCCAGTGAAGGCTGCTGAGACCAGAGGTGAACCATAAGGCCAAGGGGCCAGGCCAGCCGGAGCCCACCACACTGCCATAGCCCCTCGCCGGCATCCCAGCACAGTGCCCGAGGCAGGGAGCCCACACTCCAGGCAGGCCTACTTCCTGTAGCAGAGCCGCTAGGTGGGAAACGTGCCCCTGATTCTCCATAGGCCGGGACCCTGGTCCCAGGAGCCCACACTGAGATTCTGACTGTCCTCAATGCCCTGCACTGCAAGCCACTGGCTTGGCCTGCCCAGCCCTCCATGACCTCCGCACAGCCATCCTGCCTGCAGCACAGATTCACAGCCCACCTGCCCAGGGGGGCCTGGCCCTGTGCTGGCCATGCTACCCCCACCTATTCCAGAGGTGCCTCCGGGGCTGCTGAGGACAAATGAGGCTAACAATTACATACCAGCTGTCCCGAGGCAAGAGTCCACGATTTCATGACACACACCTTTGCTCCCTCTGGGAAATTATAAGCCACTGGCCAAGAAATCATCATGGCTTCCACACACCCAAAGGCAAGCGCTGCAGCTCACAGCTCACATCCCACCCTCTCTCCCTCTGTCTCCACATTCTACATCTGCCTCTTGGGACCCTCCCAATGTCACCATTTCCAGGTAGCCCAAAGGGGACTGTGAGCTTGTAAAGTGGAAGAGGCTCTTCCTTCACTTAGCCAGCACTGACGGTGTCTACAAGGCACCCGCTTGGCCTCTATAGCTCCTGGGACTCCTGCTCCACCCCACACCCAGGTGCTGTGGCCTTCCCCAGGGGACACCAGGTCATTAGTTTCGTCTCCCCCAGCCCTAACCACTGGAGGTCCCCTAAGCCACAGGGGACAAGGCAGGGCTACTGGTAATCTCTCAGGACACCACCCTGGGCATCCTGGGCACAGTGGCTGTGCACAGCTGGTGCTCACAGCTGTGCAGAGGGAGAGTAAGTGCCCACATGGTCTCCGCGGCAGCTGTACACTGCATGGGGGGTGCCGCTTGACCACCTAGCACTCCTGTGGCACTGGACACATTACTTGACCTCTGATGTTGCCATCTATGACCTGGGAGATGGTGGGACCTACCACCGTCCAGGATCTAGGGCAGTGCCCGGCCCACAGAAAGTTCCCATCCACTGCACCTATAATTACACTTCGTAAACACTAATCCGTGACCATGGACACGCATACCACACCCGTCCATATCACACCAGACAGACGGCCTCTGATACAGACCCTCCCGAGGAAGCCGATGGAGTCTGAAGAGCACCAGTGGCCAACAGTTCCCAGCGGAGCACCAGGGCCCATGGCACCACTCAGCAGTTGCCCAGGGTCCCCAGATACAACGGTGGACAGCAAGGACTCCCCAAACCCTTGAGGACGTGCTGAAGGCAGCAAAAATCTACAACTGTTCCCGGAAGGGCTTGGCACAGCTATAGAGAGTTGTACACACAAGAAACTAGCCACAAACCGGAAACGTTAAACCACAGCTCCGTGACACTTCCTCACCAGGAGGCGGAGCCCTGAGCCAAGGCAGACCTGGAGGGCTCCACAGAAGAGGCCTGTGCCAGGGGCCCTGCGCCCTTCTACACGGCAATGGGGACTCAAATCACAGGGACGAGGCCCCTCACGAAGAGCTCTGCCCTGGGGCAGGTCCTCTGCATCCCCTCGCAGGCTTCTCCCTCCGTCAAGGACAGAGACTGCTCCAGCCAGCTGGTTAGTTTCCACCCAAAGCCAGCCGCTTGCCATTGTTCCCAGCTTCTGAGTTCTTACATGGTAATTCTGCACATTCCAAACAGTCTTTCAAATACCGTCTCGTCTAAGAATGAGTGCACTTTCCTAAAAAGACAAATATCAAGCACTTAAAACACACACACCAAGCTACAGGCTATACTTGAATTCCAGGCATAAATCTGAATTTCTCTAACTGTTGTCCAAATTAGGTCAAAGAGTTACCAGAATAATCAGAAAATGTTTTGAGAGGGGTTTAAATTCACTTGGTTGTAATTTTTTTTATTTGCTCAATTCATCCCATTCTCGCTGCTGAGCTTTCTCCTTAGGAAGTTGGAATGGGTGCTGGAGGAAGTGAACTTGGTCCTCAGCAAACTGGGAATGCCAACAGCGCTGGCCACTCCCAGACTCGGGCTGGTGGCCAGGACGGTGGCCCTGGCGGGCCAGGCCCCACTGACAGCCCTAGGCAGGCCTGTCCTGGAAGGAGCAGGGCCCATTCCACACTGTGAAGAGTGACCCAAGAGATCAGAGATTAGACTTGGGTCTAGATTTTTCTCAGGATAAAGTGTGATTTTGAAAAGACGCTGAGTAAATAAGCCACATGTCAAGGATAAAGATATTCATCATGAAAGTAAACAAATTTCTCTCTGAGTTCTAACTTACCACAAAAAGGAATCAACATACTTCTTCCCTGCTGGCTTTTACCAAGCATTTCCACAGTACAATCGGTTTGGTGCTCATGACCACCTGGAGGGACAGAAGAACCTGCCCTGTGACTAGATGGCCTGCAGGCCAAGGAAGACAGGGTAATCCCAGGTGACCACCCATTTCCTGTCAGGGACACAGCCCCTCAGGAGGGCTGGACAGAGAAAAGGGAACAGGACTCCCCAGGAAACCGCAGAGATCCAGGTGTGAGAACTGAACTTCTCTTAGCCTTTTCATCAGTTGTCAACCAAGAACAGGGTCAGACAGGCAAGCTTTTGTGCAGAAGCCTACCAGGGGACCTTAGGGCACCAGGTGGATGGTGCCAGGCTCCCTACCCCCACAAAATGGAAAGAAACAAAGAAATGGCGACATAGAAGAATGGAATTGAGCTGGCTTTTAAAGAAAGACTAATCGCACTGGCAAGAAATCTCAAGGACCCATCACTTCCATAGCTGAGCTTCCAGCGGCTTGATTCTAGGAGCTACCATTGGAAACGTTCAATTAGAAGACCCTCTTACTGTGCACACTAAGACCTAATTTACCAGCAGATGGAAGCCATCCAAGCACCCCCATCATTCAGACGTACATACATTCATTATCTACATACATTCATACATCTACACAATTCACACACCCACATTCACACACCCACACACATTCACACACCCACACACATTCACACACCCACATACATTCACACATCTACACACATTCACACACCCACACATTCACACACCCACACACATTCACACACCCACACACATTCACACACCCACACACATTCACACACCCACATACATTCACACATCTACATACACGTGCATGCATGCATGCACCTAGCAAATATTGTACATTGTCTGTGTGCCCAAGGAAGGGTGGGGTCTGACTTCCTGGCACTGGCCAGGTAACTCCTGCAGGTGTCACCTCAACACCTTTTAGCTGAGTGCCAAACTCCATTCCAGTCTGCAGGAATTCTCTGCAAGCTCCATTCTTCAGAACCCCAGTTTTCCCCACTGAATGAGAAGCATGAGGCCCTGCTGGCCTCCTGGAGGAGGAGGGTCCTTATTCATGCCCCAGTGGGCTGGCCACTGCGAGCCCGTGCGCTTTCCTAAAAAGACAAATATCAAGTACTGGTCACCTCGTGGCCGGGACTGCCGGGTCACCGTGTGTTCAGAGGCTGAGTTTCTACACAGAAGGTTTCTAAGGGAAGATGACTCAAGTCATTTCAACTTAAAGACACAGCAAATCTTCCAAGTTGCTCGAAAAGGGAAAAAGTACAAACTGTCCACACACAACAGTATAATTACAAGGCCAGCAATGATGGGTTTGGTTCTTACGACCCAAGGCTGGCTCGGATCTCATCCCAGCACTTTGTTAATTGCACATTATCATGTGTCAGGGCTTCATAGACAAGAGCAGCGAGTGGACCTGACTTATCTCCCCGCCCCCCAAAATGATGTCCTTACACAAAACACAACAGGCAACTCTGAGAGAGAGTCAACTGCACGCAGGTGGCCCTTGAGGTCCCAGAGCCTACTCTCTGGATGAGCTCAGGATGTCACCAGCCTTTCAGGAGCCTGATGACTCCCACGGCAGCAGGTAAGGACCCAGAGTCCTGGAGGCTGCCCCATCAGCTCTGTCTCGGGCTGCACTGGAGCAGCTGTGTGGACCCTGTGGCCTGTCCACATCCGTATGTGTAAAAATGAATGGATGACGGAAACAGAAAAGCGCCGTTGGTGACACCTTGGAGAGGGAAATTCTGAGCAAGCCGAAAGAACTCGCTGTGGCCTCAATGGGATGCTCATTAGCTGCCCCCCGATGTATTCAACTGGAAAGGAGAAAGAGCAGAGCTGGCAACATGCAGAAAAACAGGAAATTTCATGGTGAGACACAGTGAAGCAGGCGATAGAGAAAAGGAAGACTTTAAAATGAGATAGAATGAGGCGATAGAGAAAAAGAGGCCTTTAAAAATGAGAATCCAGAATAAGCTGAAATAGTCCGGGGGCTAAAAAACCTAGACATTTATAACCTAATCAGGAATATTATAATGCTTTCAAGTCTCCTCGGAACTGGACCACTCCCTTGTTCCAAACAAAGATGTGCTACTTGCATTCAGCATTTGTATAATTTCTTACATGCACTAACAGGGAACTATCTGACATTTCTGAAATCATTAAACCATCTACTTAATGGAAAGGAGTAAGACGACCTGTTGACGGATACGACAGATGTGAGCGTTACTGTGAGCAGCACGTGCAGACTTAAGTGGCTCTTAGTTCAAACCAAAATATGCACAGACCTCCAAAAAACCCCAGATACAGAGTAAATTATACACTGGTAGGCTAGCTTTTGGCAAGGAAAATACAGTGTCCGTTCCTCATTCAGAAACATGGCAAATATGTGCATTAATATTAAATATATCCTAATTAGTTACAAATCTCTGAAAATACTTACAACTCAAAGGACCGGGTTTATCTGATAGACACACAACCTTCACTTTTCTCATTAATTTGGAGCTGAAGGAAATGCAAGATTCAGAATTTAAAACCAGTAAAAAGGTTGGGGCTTAGTATGTTTTTTGGTGTTTTTTGAGACAGGGTCTTGCTCCGGTTGCCCAGGCTGGAATGCAGTGGTGTGATCACGGCTCACTGCAGCCTCGACTTCCTGGGCTCAGGTGATCCTCCCATCTCACACTCCTGAGTAGCTGGAATCATAGGTGCATGCCACCATGCCTGGCTAATTTTTATACTTTTAGTAGAGTAGGGGTTTGAGAAGGGGTTTTGCCATGTTGCCCAGACTGGTCTTGAACTTCTGAGCTCAAGCAATCCATTCACCTTGGTCTCCCAAAGTGTTGGGATTACAGGTGTGAGCCACTGTGCTCGGTCGGCTTAGTGTGTTTTTTGTTTACACATTCTAAGTTTTCAGTGCTGTTGTGTTTGGAATAATGAGGAATACTCAATTCACATGAAAGCAACAGTTCATCTTGGTGATTGTGTTTAGGACTATGAGAGCCGATTCTGCCGGCATCCTCCCTAGAGCTCTCCATCCCCCGATGTGGATCTCCGGATTATCGGGTAGACACTGTCGTCATCCCCATGTTACAGACACAAAGCCTGGGTGGCTGAGGCCGGCACAGCTGCTGAGTGAGAGTCCAGTTCTGGACCCCGAAGACAGGTTGCCCTTCATCCTTCCAAGACGTGGCCTCTCTCCTCAGGATGTGTGTCCCACATTCAGAGTCCCTGATGGCTCCACGTCCCATAATTAACCTCTCAACAGGGAAGATGTCCACCTGGAAGTTACACAGAGCTTCGAAATTTCCTGGAACTTGTGTTTCGAGTGGGGGAAAAGCCACTACAATGCTGCCATACTCAACAAGACCAATACAAGTCTCAGCAGACATCACAACCTGGCGCCAGATTCCAACAAACTCTGCACAGTAATGACAAAAAAGCACAGTTTCAAAAAAAATCAACAAAGAAACCCAGCTCTCTCTGTGAAACCTTCCATTTACTTGGCCACTTTCCCACGGACATTCAATTAAAAACAACTGTGGGAAAAGCGAATCTAGCCATTAGACACTGCAGAAGCTGGCTGGGCAATAAAATCTGCCTCTCTCCTAACAGCCCAGAGAAGCCTTTTAGCATTTACATTCAACAGAAGCCAAAAGCCAGGAGCCCCAAGAGGGGGCCCACATCATCGTTCCAATCCAATCCGAGTTCAATAAATGTCTCTGATAGGACACCAAAACACAGGCAGCAAAAGAAAAAAATAGCCAAACAGGATACCAGCAAAATAAAAATCTTCTGAGCTTCAAAAGACACCATCCAGAAAGGCAACCTACAGAATGGAAAAGAATATTTGCAAACCATATATCTGATCAAGGAGCTGTATCTAGAATATAAAGGGCCAGACAACTCAAACAATAAAAAGGCAAATAATCTAATTTTAAAATGAGCAAAGGATTTAAACAGACATTTCTCCAAAGATGCACAATGGCCCATGAGCATGTGAAAAGATGACTGTCATCACTAGTTGTTAACCTCAGGAAAATGTAAATCAAAATCACAATAAGATGTCACTTTCTATCCACAAGGATGGCCAGGATCAAAAAGATACAAGACCACCCTGACTGTCAAACCCAGCATCGGAACCTCTCGCAGCCAACCATCTGCACTCACCCCCAATGCACCCCTGCGCTGCTGCTGTGGGTGCCCCAGGCGATGCCCTCTGACTCTGGCAGAGCAGGGCAGGCAACTGTAGGGGACAAGAGCAGCAGAGGGGCTCACCTCTGTACCTCCCTAGACCCTTAGACAGGCATCTACCCTGGCCCTCTCGTCCCAAGCTGTCCCTATATTCCTGCAACGGCTTCTTCCCTCCCTAGCGACCTGGCCAGAGAGTTGCCCACGATGAGCGGCAGAGTCAGAGACCAGACCTGCAGGTCTGAGGGCTGAGCACAGGAAGGATAAATGATACCCCACACAGGGTCTACATCCTCATTCCCGGAACCTAGAAATACACCACCTTAGATGCTCAAACGGACTTTACACATGTGATTAAGGATACTGAGATGAGGGATTATCAGATAAATTCCGGGGACAGGAATTATACAAGGTGACAAGGTGTCTTGTCACAGCAGAGCAAGGAAGCAATCAAAGACTGCAAGGGTTATGTCCAAAAGACTCAAGGGCCAACTCCACAGGGCCTCGTGGATCAAGGAGGACAAGGTGAACATCAATGAGAGTAACAGCAGCAAAGGCCTAAAAGGCATGGAGCACACTTAAACCCACAAGCTCACAATTACACACAAAAACAAACGACAAAACTCACCAGTGACCTTCAGATGATGTAAAGCAACGAGCTCATTCCTCTGAAAGATGGTAAATAAAGAAAGCCTTTCCTGTGTGAGCCGAAGAGCTGATGAGGGCACTTCCTCTCTGCAGAAGTCTTTTACCTGATTCAGGAGTGAGTGTCTTGGATTATCACTCTGCAGCCCCCAGGAAGGAAGGAATGAAGCTAGACAGCCACCTTCAGGACCCGCTCATCACCCAGCAGAACGCCCACGCCCCCATGCCACAGTCTTGCCAACTAGCCCCGGTCCGGCGCAGGCTCCAGCTGCAACCGCCAGGTCACCAGAAAGAGAGGGAGGAGGAACTTGCTCAACACGCCACATGGACACAGGCAGTGAGAGCTCTGCCGTGGCCACACAACAGGACAAGCCAAGCTCCCCAACAAATAGACTGGAGAGCAAGAGGGAGGAAACGGCTGTGTCCATCACAAGTGACAGTGGCCCATTAGAACCCACGAACCTTACTTAACACTTATTTGAACAACAGCCACATACAAAAAGAAAAGAGACTGAAAACTTTTTGAGACAATGGGGATTTTAAATGACTGATTATTTGATGGATTCACGTGTTGATGTGTTAAAGCTGTGACAATGGTATTAGGGTCGCATGTTCGGAAGACACCTGCATGACGGTAGAACTGCTTTGGAACAATACAGTGAGGCAGGCCTGGCCCTGCTCAGCCATCGCTGAAGATGGGGACAGCAGCCTAGTCCGCTCCTTATTGTCTTTTCACTTTCGTAAATGTTTGAAATTTTCCGTAATAAAAAATGAAAGATAGCCAGTGAAGGTGCTAGATTTGGACGGGGGTATCACTCTGTTCTGTTTTGCTGTTTATTATTTGTTGCAAACATAAACCTGGGCTCACAATTGTGGAAGGTTACACCCTCCCAGCTCATTCAGAGAGAAATTTCAGAGCCAGGGGACCTCATGGCCACTAAGTTTCCACGATTCCCTGGAAGAGTCACATATAAACACACTTGTGATCATTACCAAACGACAGGACAAGCCCAGTGCACCCCGGCGTCCCCTCCCAGTTTTAAGGACGAATCATGTATGGGCCCCCGCAAGAGATGGGAATGAGCCAGGGCGCCGCTGGTCTCTAAGCCACGAGCCACAGCCATGACTAACTAGGAAACTAGGACAACAGCTACCATTCAACAGCTAATTCAACAACAATACAAGTAACCTTCACGGTAAAAACGAGAACCTCATTTGCCTACCTCGAAAATAACCAAAGCAAAGCAAGCCAGTGAAGCTGGGGGGCCCTGGGAACCCTACTTTCCCAGATGGCCCTCCACGGCGGGGCTCTCTCAGCCCAGCACAGTGCAGAGCTGTCACCGTGACTCAACGGAGGGCAAGCCTCATCCCCAAAGCTGCTCCAGAAAAGAAAAGGCTCAGAAGTCCCAGGTGGATGGCCCTTCCCTAGGCCTGGCCTGGCCCCCACGCTCCTCCCAGCTGTCCTTCTGACCCTGGGCCACTCCCCCTTCTGCTGCTCCTCTTGGTTTGAAGGAGGGGAGGGGCATGGTGACATCTCTTTTTAATTAAGGCTTTCTTACAAGTAATCTTTGCAAAGAGCCCTGTCCTGGAGTGATTTTGTGTGAGAGGGAAGAACAGATCAGCGGAGGGGCTTCCAACCATAAACATTCCCAGAGCTGCGAATATGTGCCCCTGGCCACAGGATTACACGTAGGAAGCCAGCACACGCTACGCTATCATTACCATCTCACCCATCTCCCGTGGCTGACGGGGATCGGGGGAAGAAAGGGTGGGGGCCGGCCGGAAGCCCCGTGGGCCGAAGCCACCCCAGGCCCTCAGCCCAGACCACCAGGCCGCGCAGGCTGGCCTCCTGAGGCTGTCCCTGGCAAGCCGCCCCACGCTGGAGCCAGGCTGCCGGCAAAGCGCTGCTCACTGCCGCTTTCTTCACATGTGGTTTGATTGACGCAAATCAAGAGGCAAGCAAATGATTCATAACTGTCCAAGCACAGGGCTCACCCAGAAACGGCAGGAGCCCAGACTTGCTGATTCACCAAGAAACGGCTTTGTGTACCGGAGGCGCTGTTGGTCGGGACGCTATCATGTATGCACACGGAGCTCTGCAAATGTGATGGCAGTGGCGATGTCATGGCCCACGGAGTGACAGCAGACCCTAACCCCACCAACAGGCAGCAATGCAGGGCCGCCACGAGGGGGACACACATGGAAGAACAGCAGCCACCGCCCCTGCCTGCACGGTCTGTGTGTGTGCGGGTGGCACACCTGGGTTCGGTACTGCCACCCTGCGACTCCAGGTCCAGCCTCAGAGTGAGGCTGGGGGCCTCTGCAGTGCCTGGTCCCACTCCCCACCCCTCAGGCTGCCAGGCACACCCATGATGCAAGAAGGCAAGATAGAACGCCAGGACCCCTGCCTTCCAGGAGCTCACAGGGAGGGGAAGACACCCAGGGGAGCCCCAGATAGCTCCTCATGGTGCCACGTGCCACCCTGAAGGTATGGGGCGGAGAAGATGAAGCTCCTCTGTCGCCTGCCTCATTTGGGAAAGCTTCCCAGAGGAGGAGAGGCCTTAAAAGGATGGGCGGGAAGGCACCAGGCGGTGGTGGACAGGCTCCGCCCAAGCAGATGGCCAGCATGCTCTGAGCCAGCGCAGGCCAGGGACCTCTGGGGCTGGGACTGCCCTGGGGCCAGGCAAAGAACCAGTGTTCCTCCACTGCCAGGGAGGACTGCGCAGGGACCTGACTCACGGCAGACACCGACCCCCACGCCAGCAAGTTCACTCTGGTGGCAACGCAGAGAACCTGAAGATGGCAGACAAGTTAGAGCAGCTGCACCAGTCTTACAGAGGCAGGGAGAGGCCCCGAACCAGAGAGCGGGTGCGGACCCTTGGCAAGTATGCCTTGGAAGTGTTGAGGGGAGAAGGCGTCAAGTCGTGGTCCCGCCAACAGAGAGGCCTGTCTAACTGACTCAGCAGCCCCTCTGCCTCCAGCTCCCTGTGTCTGGACCCCAGGCCACAGGACGGGGGCAGGAGTGGGACAGGCACCCGGGTTCTGCATGTATGGCCTGTGCCACCTTCAAAGCAGCCCTGACGGACCTCCCAACTAGGCCAGAGATTGCTCCATTGGTCATCAGTGCTGTTCCTGAAACGGCTTCACCAGTCATGGGGACCTAAGTCCCTCTAGCTGGAGATGAGACACCGATACACCGCAGACACCATCTGCTCTCCAGACACAGGCCACTTCCTGGACATTGCCTGCTGCCTGGACACTGCCCGCTGCCTGGACACTGCCTGCTGCCGGAACACTGCCTGCTGCCTGGACACTACCCGCTGTCTGCTGCCTGGACACTGCTCGCTGCCCAGACAAAGGCCGGCTGCAGAGGCCAGCAGAGCAGCAGAGCCAGGCGAGGCAAGACGGCAGAGGGAGGCCAGGGGGAATGACAACAGGCTCCAGGGTGAAGCCACCACCAAGTGATCAGGTCTGTGTATGAGTTCATTCTTCTTGCAACACTGTCTGTCACCGTGCCACAAAATCCCCCAACCCTGACCCCCTAACACACACCCCTCTAGCCCTTGGGGAACACCATTCGAGAGTCAGCTGTGGAGCCTCCCCTGCTCTGTGCAGCCCCTTTCCACTGCCGCGCCCTCCTGGGCCTGCATTTGCCCCTGCTGGTGGCACCTGGGACTCTGCACGGCACTAATATTTTGCAATTCTCTTAACCATTCTTGAAAGCAGGGACGGGGTCCTGCTCACCTTGGTGTACCCAGCACCTGGTATAGTGGGGTCCCGAGGTTAGCAGAAGGATCAGTAAAAGAAGAAAACATGTATTTGGAGGACAACCATGCTCCCAGAGCCGAGCCCGGTGAGCTCAGCTTCTGAAGCTCCCCAGAAATAGCAGATGCCCTCTTGTTCCCGGTCTGTCCAGTAAGGCCTTTCCAAAGGCACAAGGGTGAGAGGTGGGGAGAGGAGGAGCACCAAGCTCATTACCAGAAGGGAAGCTGGGGAAACGACAGGGAAGCCCAGAAGTGCAGACCCAGGTGGACAGGCCCTGGGCCACCACCCTGGGAGTACGGGCCGGTCAGCAGGAAGGAACATGTTTATGGTCTCTGCGCTGTTGGTGCCAGTCACGCCATGGTGGCCCATCGCTGATCATCACACGTTCTGTACTCCGGAGCAGGAACCAGGGTCTCAGGGCACTTCCACAAGCTCACCGGACATGTGCCCACTCTCACCGCACGCATCCCCGGAACCAGTGAGGCCAGTTCTAGCTGCCTAAAAGGGCCACACAGCCGCCCAGCCTGGTGTAGCCACAAGGACCCTGGCTTGATAATGTCTGCTTTGGAAAGACACTTCCAGAACGCCCAACAGCGCTTAGCAAACTCACACAGAAAACACCTGCGTTCCACAGCAACTCCACCCGGGCCGGGACCCAGGCCTGAAGCAGTTCCTACTACTCAGGTTCTCAGATCTGCCGGAAACAAATAACTGAGAATACTCTCCGCTCAGCAGGCCCCAGTCATACGCCCCAGTCACACACCCCAGCCACACACTCCAGCCACACACGCCAGCCACACACTCGGCTCCCCGTCTCTCCTGAGCAGGCCAGCCACACACCCCAGCCACACACCCCAGCCACACACCCTAGCAACACACTCCAGCCACACGCTCCAGCTACACACTCCAGCCGCACACTCGGCTCCCCGCTGGTGGAGGCCACCTGGAGGCTCAGGGTGTCTTGAGAAATGAACAGGTGCTCACCATTGGCTGGAAAGGGTTGAGTTTTCAAATTATCCCACCATTAGAGAAAAAAAGAAAAAAAAAAAAACAGACTGGTAACAAAGCATCAAGCCAAGTGGGGGTGACTTCACCCTGAGGACCCTCCAGTGGCAGTCTTCCAAGAAGAGGTGCCCACCAACCAGTATTTTCTACAAGGCCACAGAAAGCATTTGTTTAAAAAAAAAATTGACAATCTAATTGGTAAAGAAAAGGATAATTTTTAAAATGTAAAAACATATTTTGGGCCAGGACAAGGGCTCACGCCTATAATCTCAGCATTCTGGGAGGCTGAGGCAGGCAGATTGCTTGAGCCCAGGAGTTCGAGACCAGCTTGGCCAACATGGCAAGACACCATCTCTACTAAAAGACAAAAATTAGCCGGGCATGGTGATGAGCAGCTGTAGTCCCAGCTACTCAGAAGGCCGCAGCAGGATCGCCTGAGCCCAGGAGACAGAGGCTGCAGTGAGGCGAGATCATGCCACTGTACTCCAGCCTGGGTGACAGAGGGAGACTGTCTCAATAAAAACAAAAAACATGTTTTGTACCACATGTCAGTCAAAATAAGTGGCCGAAGGCTGTGGTTTGCTTTAATTCACCTTCTAAGGTGGCTCTGGACCTTCCTTCAGGAAACGGCTTTCCTGCCCATCAGTGTGGCTCTCTTCCTCTTTAAACATGAGGACCATTGGGGCCGGGGCCGGGAAGACCACACTCCTGAAGCCAGGTGCAGTAGTGTGGACATGTAGTCCCAGCTACTCAGGAGGGCGCCTGGAGCCCAAGAGCTCGAGGCCAGCCTGGGCAATAGTGTCAGACCCTATCTCTTCCAAACAAACAAATAAAAAGACTATGCTGCCGGCAGGACTGAAAAACCAGAAAGAAAGAAAAGTGGGGCTGGTGTGGGGCCACACCCTGCCCCAGGCGGGGAAAGTGGTTGGAGGTAATGGGGCAGCAGGGCCCACAGGCCGGAGGGCTCCCCTCCTGATTCCAGGGCATCAGCAAACTCAAATTTCATAATGGCTTTTGCTTGCAAAAGCAAAGTGCCTGATTTGCTGTTTCTCCCAGGAGACTCTGGGCTGCTAAGAAGGCAAAGCCTGAGGTCTGTGCCTGACCAGGAGATGCTCACGTCTCTGAGCTGAAAACAGTGACTGAACAAATGACTCATTAGAGGGATCAATGAACAAACTGGCACCAGGCACTAAATTCACACTTGATCCCCTCAGCCTTATAATAAACTCATGAGGCAGTTCTACTACATCCATCTTACAGACGAGAAAATCAAGGTTCAAAGAAACTAAGTAATGCTCCCAATATCTAGGCAGAAAAGCTGGGGTTCAGGCCCGTCTCTCTGCCTCTGAAGTCTGTCCTCTCTCCAACGTCCCAGCAGAAAACCTCTCCCTAGAGAGGACACTGTCGGGGTGAGGAGCAGAAGGGCAGGGGTGGGAGCAGCCCAGGGTGGAGTGAGCTGGGACAGCTCCAGCAGCAGCAGAAGCCAGAAATCTCACACAGCCCCCACAGTGCCTCCCACAAATGAAGGTCTCCTGAGAGCAGGGGACCTGGGGACAAGAACCAGCCACACCAGGCCAGGCCCGCAGGGGGCATGGGATGGGGGCGACTGAGTGAGGAGTGTCCCCTACCCTCACCACGAGAGTCCAGGTGGAAACCGCGCCCTCAGGATGAATGGCCAGCTCTCACCGGGCTTCTCCACGCCTTCCCCAGGACCCTTCCCTAATGTTTCCAAAGTGGCCACAAACCATGAGTGGCCTGTCTGACGTTTCCCTCCCCGAATTCTAGGATCAATAACTGTGGTCCACAGAAAGTGCGGATCCCACCTCTCGGGAGCATCTCATCCCTTCCACTCCTGCGGAAGAGGACAGCACCCCCCAACCCCAAAGTGCCTGTGTTTCCTAGCACCCTGGGATTCCAGCTCGTCAGCTAAGAACTGGCCATGCTGATGAAATCTCCTTATGCCACTTGAGACATGTGCTGGTTCTTGTGGCATCAACCCTGAAAAACATGTTGGTCAAAGAAAAAAAAAGGCATCTGGAAATTTCTACCTTATATTCTCTCGTTTTTAACAATGCCAGCAACCCAAGAGTGGGGGCAAAGCTGATGTGCGAGTGCCTCGTACTCCCGAGACGCTGTGTTAAAGAAGGAAAGAAGGCCACAAGCCCTGAAAGCACATTTTGCCCCAAACTCCACTTCACGTTACATGCACGAAGAACATTAGAGGAATACAGAGCTGTTTCTGGGAAGCCAGCTCCACTGTATGAAACATTGAGTCAGCATGACTCAGCCGTGCCGACTGGTCCCTCCGATGGGCGAGCCAGGGGCACAGAAGGCAGGCAGGTGACCCGGGCACTGCACGCCTCCCCACCTGGTCCCAAATGCTGAAGCCTCCAAGCAACTTAAAAAGGGTAAGGAAAACATTGTGGGAGCAGGTGCATTGTGGCCTCTGCCAGGAGGCTCGGGGGCCTCTCTCCCGCGTGAGGAAGACACCAGGCACAACAAAGATGCGACGCAACATCCTGGAACTGTCTGCTGTTAACAGGGGATGGCAAACTCCATCCAAGTCTTGTCCCCATGCACACACGTGTGTAAACCATGTACACCACTCCACAATGTACACACCACTCTACAATGAACACACCACTCTACACACAATGTACACACCACTCTACAATGTACACACCACTCTCCACACAATGTACACACCTCTACAATGTACACACCACTCTCCACACAATGTACACACCACTCTACAATGTACACACCACTCTCCACACAATGTACACACCACTCTACAATGTACACACCACTCTACAATGAACACACCACTCTACACACAATGTACACACCACTCTCAATGTACACACCACTCTCAATGTACATACCACTCTACAATGTACACACCACTCTTAATGTACACACGACTCTCAATGTACACACCACTCTACACACAATGTACACACCACTCTCAATGTACACACCACTCTACAATGAACACACCACTCTACACACAATGTACACACCACTCTCAATGTACACACCCCTCTACAATGAACACACCACTCTACACACAATGTACACACCACTCTCCACACAATGTACACACCACTCTACACACAATGAACACACCACTCTACAATGAACACACCACTCTACACACAATGTACACACCACTCTGCAAACAATGTACACACCACTCTACAATGAACACACCACTCTACACACCATGTACATGCCACTCTACAATTTACCCACCACTCTACACACAA
Source organism: Homo sapiens (assembly GCF_000001405.40). NCBI lineage: Eukaryota > Metazoa > Chordata > Mammalia > Primates > Hominidae > Homo > Homo sapiens. The sequence continues at coordinate 239,281,424 of NC_000002.12, forward strand.
TGTATACACCACTCTACAATGAACACACCACTCTACACACCACTCTACAATGTACACACCACTCTACAATGTACACACCATGCTACAATGAACACACCACTCTACACTGAACACACCACTCTACACACAATGTACACACCACTCTACAATGTACACACCACTCTCCACACAATGTACACACCACTCTACACACAATGTACACACCACTCTACAATGTACACACCACTCTGCAAACAATGTACACACCACTCTGCAATGTACACACTACTCTACACGCAGTGTACACCCCACTCTACAATGAACACACCACTCTACACACAATGTACACGCCACTCTACAATTTACCCACCACTCTACACACAATATATACACCACTCTACAATGTACACACCACTCTCAATGTACACACCACTCTACAATGAACACACCACTCTACACACAATGTACACACCACTCTCAATGTACATACCACTCTACAATGAACACACCACACTACACACAATGTACACACCACTCTGCAAACAATGTACACACCACTCTACAATGAACACACCACTCTACACGCAGTGTACACACCACTCTACAATGAACACACCACTCTACACACCATGTACATGCCACTCTACAATTTACCCACCACTCTACACACAATGTATACACCACTCTACAATGAACACCCCACTCTACACACCACTCTACAATGTACACACCATGCTACAATGAACACACCACTCTACACTGAACACACCACTCTACACACAATGTACACACCACTCTACAATGTACACACCTCTCTACACAATGTACACACCACTCTACAATGTACACACCACTCTACACACAATGTACACACCACTCTACAATGTACACACCACTCTACACACAATGTACACACCACTCTACAATGTACACACCACTCTCCACACAATGTACACACCACTCTACAATGCACACACCACTCTCCACACAATGTACACACCACTCTACAATGTACACACCACTCTACAATGTACACAGCACTCTCAATGTACATACCACTCTCAATGTACACACCACTCTACACACAATGAACATACCACTCTACAATGTACACACCACTCTCAATGTACACACCACTCTCAATGTACACACCACTCTACACACAATGAACACACCACTCTACAATGTACACACCACTCTGCAAACAATGTACACACCACTCGACAATGTACACACCACTCTACAAACAATGTACACCCCACTCTACAATGTACACACCACTCTACAATGTACACACCACTCTGCAAACAATGTACACACCACTCTACAATGAACACAGCACTCTACACACAATGTACACACCACTCTACAATGTACACACCCCTCTACACACAATGTACACACCACTCTACACACAATGTACACACCACTCTACAATGTACATACCACTCTACAATGTACACACCACTCTCCATGTACATACCACTCTACAATGAACACACCACTCTACACACAATGTACACACCACTCTGCAAACAATGTACACACCACTCTACAATGTACACACCACTCTCAATGTACGTACCACTCTACAATGTACATACCACTCTACACACAATGTACACACCACTCTACAAACAATGTACACACCACTCCACAAACAAAACATGTGATGTTCCAGGATTCGCTCGCCCACAGTCAGCCACGCATGCAGGAGCAATGCTGAGGCTGAGGGTGCAGAGGGAGCTTGACAGTCAGTGGAAGAATGCGCTCTACAAGAGGACACCACGGGCCTGGCCCGCAGAGGACTATGAGGGCAGGGGCTGGCGAGTCAAGCTGGCTGGAAAGGCCTCTCTGAGGAACTGAGGCTTAAGCTAAAAAAACTCTGCATGACGCTGGGTCTCTGAGATCCGGAGGAAGGGGCTCCCGGCAGCAGAAGTGCCCAGGGTGCGGGCCTGAGGTACAGGAGCTGCGGGGCTCCTCAAACAGCAGAAAGCCTGGTCTCATGGCTACCGCCCCCCATGAGCAGGATCAGTGCCGACGAGGCTGCAGCGAGTGTCGGGCTGGCCACCGCGAGGGGCCTGGGACGCCACTGCCGGCAGAGGCTAGAAGGGGCCTGACCACACCTGGGCGTTTCCACCATAAGAACACAAAAGCCCTGCGAGCAGAGAAGAGAGCACTGCAGTACAGAAATCAGGAAGGCAGAGTTGTAAGCACTGATTGCATTTGTTTTAATGTGACTTATTTAGTCGTAAGTTTAGCTAATTTCGTTTTCATAACGGCTGTGTTTGGCAACCCACTTCCGCGAGCGGTAACAGCAGTGCCGGCCACCACGGGCGGTCATGGAATTGGAGAGGATCAGGCGGCCTTGATGGCGTTTTGGTGGAAGCACTGTCACAAAGGGATGATGGGCAGGCTGTCGGGAGTTAGGAGAAGAAAAGCAAAATACATTTGCTAGCTTCTGGCTTGAATGCCTGGGCTGACTGGAGGGGCCATGTAGTGCCGGGGAGAAGTGGAGAGCAGTTCCAACATTGCTGGGGGACAGTAGTGCTGCCTCGGGATCTACAGCGGTGAGGCCCCGAAGGCGCCAAGGGCGTCGGCGCAGGGGCCCCCAGCCAGTCACAGTTCCCGCTTCTGCACCCCAGGGCCTCTGAAAACTGTGAAGTCCATGCTGCGGTCTCCACGCCCAGTGGCTTTCCACGTCTCTCCACATGACACTCACCTGCTGCCCATCACAGGCCGCAGACACACTGAGAGGAGCCCAAGTGGTGTCTGAAGCAGGACTCTCCACCAGGACAGTGCCGGTCCTGAGCCCAGCTACAGGGAGCCGACCACAGCGGAGCCGAGGACACCGATGGCAGGACTGGCTGCGCTTCTGATGAATGTGGTTTGGGATGCTGGGTGAGGGACAGAGGGAGCGGGCCAGGGAGTGGGCAGAGTGAGCCAACGCATGGGGGCAGCCCTGAGCCACTGTGCTGACCCAGTGATGGCCAACAGCATGCTCCATCACGGGGACCCTCCGCGGGGCCTCGGGGAGCATCGCAGAGCTGCCTCCCTGAGGAATGGGGGCAGGTGCATTGTGGCCCTCGTAGTCAGGGGTGACCCTGAGAGCAGCTTCCACACACGCCAGGTGACATGCATGAAAGCCCATCAGGTGCCCCTGGGCATCCGGTGCCAACAGAGGCAGAGGCAGGTGAAAGGCAAGATGCCCCTGCATGAAGATGGTCCCAGCACACACAGAGCAGGCCACCACAGTAGGGACTGGGTGGGAGGTGGGGCCTCCAGGATCTGCAGGGGGAAAGGCACCAGACGGTGAGCGCCCACGCCCCAGAGCCAGAGGCCCTTCCACTCTCCAGTGTCCTGGAGACCAGTGTCCCGGTTCAAAAGTAAATACACAAGCAGCCCTCCCACAGGAAGCTGAGGAGAGTCTGGGCTGCAGACTGGGGAGACCCAGGATCGGGAAACTTTTGTTTCATTGTGTTTTTTAATGTAAGTAATTAGGGTATATTTAGAGGCTCAGAAAGGAAGCCAGAGACAAGTGACAAAACTTACAAGGAAAATGAGAGGATATTCACAATGAAAGGAGAGATGGGATCAAAAGCATGAAGGAAGCCCAGAGACAAGTCGTCTAAATGCATCCATCAGTCTACCAAGCCATCAAATAAAATACATCCCACCCCACACCTAGACAATCTACAGTCTACCTTCATGGCAACCTGGAAGGCCAGGTTCAAAGTTCAAAGTTCAAAGACTGCAGATGGTACAGAGAAAGCGTTACACAGTGAGAAAACAGGCAGCTGGATGAGCACAGAGCCACGGTGGAGGGGGACAGAGCCACGCTAAGGAGGAACACAGCCATGCTGGGGGTGGGAGGGGCAGATCCCTGCTGGGAGTGGAGAACGCGCCGCGGCTGGGCCCCCAAGTTCGCGGCTGTGCAGCGTGGCCAGAATGCTGAGCCGGTGCTCTTCCCTGGCATCCTGCACTTCCTGGGTAAGGAAGGAGAAGCCTTACAGCAAGGGGTTCCACCGAGGCTGGGGCTTCGCTAGTGTGCGGGGAGGCAGAGGAGCAGTGCCGGCTGCCAGCAAGTGTCTCCGCCGCGGGACCTGTCATCCCAGCTGGTGGGGAGAAAACGAAGCTGGGTAAAAGGGGCTGAGAGAAAGCTGGCCAAAGGTTGGGCTTTTGAAGTACTAGAAACTTCCTCTTCTGGGGACGTGGCAGACAAGTCATCTTACAGGCTCTTGTGCTGTGGAAACCCCAGGTTCTGCATAAGACATACCTTCTGTCACACTGCTGGGCTCACCAGCAGTAAGGAAACCCTCCAACAAGCCAGAAATATATAATTAAGGGAAACAAAAGCAACTCGAGCTGACAGGAGAGTTGAGGGCAGCGGGTGGAGGACTGCATGGGGGTCAGGACCGAGGTGAGCCCAGAGCTGCAGCGTTCAGGATGCAGGGGCTGGAGTCCAGGGCAGCTCCCAGGAAATGCACGTGGCATGCCTATCAGAAGAACGGCCTCCTCACTCCCATCCCTCTATTTCCAAACAGTAAGACCAGCGAGACATACGCTCCCAAGCAAACACAAGCCAACACAGAAAGAAGTGAAAAAAGGCAGCAAACACATCAAAAGACAGTCAAGTTCTTCAGTTACTCATATCATGAGAAATGGTACGATTACTGTTTCTGAAACTTTCAAAGAATCTCTTAATGCTTTATTCACTATCATTTTCCCCATGTATGTTTTGATTAAATAAAAAGTTTATGAAAATACTTGAAAAATTTTAAGTAATGAATCAGAGGAAGCAACAGAATTGTCAAAATTAATCATTTTAGGAAAAGAACAAAGTAGACTTTCAAAAATAATAAGTGTAATTGATGCATTTTAAAAAAAAGAAAACCCTCAATGAATGATTTAAGCAATAAATGCCATGCAAAAATAAAAAGGAGATTCGGTGAGTGAGAAGATCCTGACGAAGAAATCAGCTGAGCAGAGGGAATCAAAATACAAAAATGAAGGAGAGCCCAAATCCTGTATTTTGTATTCTGAAAGTAAAAGTCCAAGGAGAGTTGAAAACCCATAAGAGCCACCTGAGGAGGTGTGACAGCTGACTCTGCAGGACTGGGAAGGAAGGGAAGGAAGGGAAGGAAGGAAGACTATGGAGCAATATTTAAAGGGGCACTAGCTGCGGATTTCCAGGACTGATAAAACACACAAACTCACAGACACAAAGGCAAACATATGCCAAGACAACAGGGTGCTCCACACCCAAACACACCCTGACAAAACTGGGAGCATCAAGGACAAAAGAAGATGTGACGAGCAGCCAGTGAGACACAGACAGACAAGGAAGGAGCGGCTGCTATGCTGAGGTAGGCCGGCCAAGGATGAGAAGAATACACCAAACGTGATGAAAGGAGAAAAAGAAAACTCACCTCCAAGTTTTGCCTAACAGTCACTCAGGCATGTTGGTGAAATAGAGACATTTTCAGATCAGACACACATACACACGCAAGGACTGTATCACCAACAGGTCTACTAAAGCTACTCCTAAGGGGTATGTGTTCATAAAGAAAAGAGAAAGTGACCCCAGCAGGAGAGTGTCTGATGCAAGCAGGAAGGACAAGTGCACAGGGAGTTGGACACTGGCCTGGGCAGGGAATGTCCTGGGGACCTCTCGGACAATACGAGGCATTTGATCACGTCTATACCAGGATGGGGCATGCGTCACACTTCGTGAGCCCACAGTGATCCATCAGCATGAACTGCAGCCGTGCCTGGATTTCCTGTTTTCCCTGTGGTCCTCCTGTTCTGAGACCCCACCCAGGACCCCACTGTCCTTCCTTTATCCTCCTGACTCCTGAGGCTCCTTCGGCTGCGACGGTTTCTCAGACTTGCCTTGTTTTTAATGACCTTGACAGTTTAAAGTACTTGATTGGGTGTTTGCTAGAATGTCCCTTAATCAGAATTTGTTTGATGTCATGACCAGATGGGGTTGTATGTTTTTGGGAGGAAGGTCACAGAGACCAAGTGGCACCTCCTTACATCATCTCAAAGGTGTACTGTTGACACGACCTTTTAAAAACTTGGGATGGAAATGAAAATGCTAAGTGTCAAAACTTGTTGTATGCACCCAATGCCTACTTCAAGGGAACTGTGTAGCTTATAACAGAAGGAAGGCTAAGAACTAATGGGAGCTGCACATCCAACCTCGGGAGAGAGAGAACACTGGGTGCAGCCAGCCACAGAAAGTACCAGGAAGATAAGAGCAGGCATTTAAAACACAGAAAGCTGACTTACAACTAAGGGAATCCACAAAGCCAGAGTGACTCAAAACGATTAATACAGATTAATCAAGAAGAAGACTAAGTCATGTTGTAAATGAAAACGGGTACACAGAGACAAATCCAGCAAAGATGTAAACACCAGAAGCAAATCTATGACAATAAAATTGAAAACGTAGATTAAGTAGGACTCCTAAAAACTTTCTTTTAAATCCATATGACAGGAATTAAAAGTTCAGGTTATCAGTAACCATTAAAGATGTTAAATCAGTAGTTAAAACATCAAACCACCAAGGAAATATGAACCCCAAATAGTCTGAGGTTAATTTTTACAAACTTTCAAGGAATAATTAATTCTAATCTTAAATAAACTATCCCTGTAAGTTAAAAAAAAAAAAGACCTTAAAAAAGGAAAATTACCGTCCACTCCAATTCAAGAACAGAGATGAAGAATCCTGAAGCGCTAGCAAAGTATGAAAATGACAAGATTTATCACAAACAAGCTGAATCCACTGGAAGAGATAAGGGAAGTTTAACAGAAAATTAGAACAGAAAACTATACGATCATCACAACAGACGGAGTAAAAGCATTTGGCTAATGGAACACAGCTATCCATGAACTTAACTTGAAAAAGGGAATCTAAAATAACCTATGTCAAACATCATACTTAAATTGGGAAAAATGTTAAAAATCTTCTCTTTAATGTCAAGGACGACAGAAGGAAGTCCAGTATTTCTGCTCTTACTCAAAACTGAACTGGAATTCCCAGCTAGCACAGTAAGACAAGGAAAATAAACACAGGAATTGGAGAGGAAGACACTAAACTAGCATCGTTACTTTAACAGTCTTTGTCTTAGAAACCCTGAAGAATTTACAGAAAAAAATTTTTAGAAATTATAAGATTTTAATAAGATGATTGGATATAAAAATAAAATATAAAAATCAACTGCAATTCCAAAAACTAGCAAGGGAAAACTTAATTAAAAAAAAAACGTATTGTCTGCAACAGAAAAACAAAACAACTACAATCTACCAAAGAATAAAGAATAAATCTAACTTGACACGTACAAGACCTTTATAGAGAAAATTATAAAAATCTATTGAAAAAAGACAGTAAAGAAGACCTGATGGAGGGAAAGAGAAGCCACACACACAAATATACTGTCAGGATGCCAACCCTGCCTTCAAATTCATCCATAGAGTCAATGCAATTCCAATCAAGTTTCAGGCTAGGCTTTTTAAAGGAACTTGTCTCTAGACAAGTCACAGCTTAGGAGGAGCTGGGACAATTGCAGGGAGGGGGCTGAGACAGGGGAGTGCGGCTGCAGCGCCTGTCAAGGAGACAGTGCCCTGCTGGCCCCAGGACAGGCTCTGGAGCAGCTGAGCACAGGGAGGGTCCAAAACAGATTGAACTTGGAGGATGAGCTGGCCGCACAGCTATCCCAGAGAAAGGGTGTAAAGTGTCAAACATTATGGTTCTCAAAATGAGAAAAGAAAATGAAACTGATCCCCACCCTGCACCCCACACAAAAACCAAAGGCTTAAGTATGAAAGACAAAACGTCAAAGGCCTTAAGAGAAAATATACAAGGTTATCTTTATGGCCTTGAGGTAGGGAAGGTTTTTTGGTGGTTGTTTTGTTTTTAAATGAAATACGAAAAAGCACTAACCACAAAAGAAAAGGTCTGTGTTTTGTCTTAGTCGAGGTGTCATTTAAGAACTGTTTTTGCATATAACTTTTCTTATGTTACAATATGTGTGTGTGTTTCCAGATCAAGGAAGTCGAGTAAAACACTTCTAAGTAACATTTTTTCCTTCTTCACTCACTAAACCTTTACTGAACTCCAACTAAGTGCCCAGCACCAGGCCAATAAAGAATAAAAAGACAGGAGGAGCAGAGGTCTTTTCTTCTGGAAATCCAGGCTGGGGAGAGAGCACACATCACAGGGCAGGAGCAGCAGCCCCTCAGCCACTGTGTTGGGCACGCAGGGCCCCTCCCAGCCACCTGGCTCATCTGATGTGGGAGCCCACGGAGAGCAGAGAGCACCCCCCAAAGTCCCCGCCTGATGGGGCACCAGAGCTCTGCCCGCTGCCTGATCCTGCCCAAACTCTGAGAATGCCCCTGGTTATAACCCTCCGTTTCCCTACTGTACACACTGGTGCACAAATCTGCATAAACCCTCACTTCATAATCATCCTTCAAATTACACCTAACCTTATCCTCTTGATGGTTCACCACTTCCTAAATTTTAAAACAGCATCGTGATCTTTACTCACCATTTTTGAGTTAAGGAAAACAAATGAGAGAATAAAATTAACAAAGTTCTATCAACTACAGAAAAGATCTTATTTTCTAATCCAATTACGGCAAATAAAAAAGGCATCAAGAGTTAATATAAATGTACACTCCATTGAAATGGCTTAATCAAAAGACACAACATTAACCAGGAAAAATTCACTCAAGTCTTGTCATTCAAACTTAAAATATATCAACATTTTTACTAAATTTATTTTTTTTCAAATGTGCACTAACATTTTCCATGTTATCAGACTTTACTCTTACCTAGTTCCCTGTCAGCTGAGCTAATTCCTTAACTATAAAGAAACAGAGCACCCTAAGGCCAGGCTGTGGGGACACCCAGAACCAACGGCACGTGACATGAAGCACCAGCGACATGGGGACACCAGCACCAATGGCGTGAGGATGTCCAGCACCAATGAGTGGCCCATTTTATGTGGCTGAAGGACACCTTCTGTGTGGACTAGGGAGAATATGGTAAAACTGGAGACCCTAGGAGTCTTCCATATCACCCCAAGAGAGTTTTGGAGAGAAAGGGGATTTAGAGTGTCAATCTTTAGAAAAATCAAACAGGCAGGGCAAGCTCCTGAAATGGGAGTAGGCACACACACACACACACACAGGCACGTGCGCACAAGCAGTCACGTACACACATGTACGCACACACAACCACACATGCGCGCACGCATGCATTCAGTTCGCACGCGCATGCACACACACGCACGCACACACTCACATACGCACTCACGTACGCACACACGCGCACGCACTCACACACACACCACACACGCTCCCGTGTTTAGTGTGTTTCTAGGGCACTATGGGGAGGGCCGGGGTTCTATACAGGGCCTGGCCCACCTGAAAGTCCATGTGAAAGGCAGCCTCCAGGGCTCCTATCAAGTGGGTGGCTTCGCTCATTCACTCAGGAATTTTTCGTGGCACAGTAAGGCAAGGGGTGGGGATTTTTCTTTAAAAGCTTTATCCAATCATGACTAATGGAATAAGTGAGCCAGGCCTCAAGAAAACCGAGGACAAAAGGAAAGAGCCGTTCAGAAGGCAGCGCCTGCCTCCACCTGCTGGTGCGTGCCCGGGACAGGGAGGACGGCAGGTTTTACCAAGCACTTTCAAACAGAAATCCAAGTTCCCAACAAAGAAAACCCCAAATACAATAGTCCCTGGGGTCCTTGTTCAGCCCCCTTTTGACTGGGACGCTGCCGTCGAGTGCCAGGGGGTGTTATGACAAAACTGAAAAGCATGGCGGGTAAGAACGTTCCAAGGCATGGCTCGCCTGCCAGGGCTGGCCCGGGCTGGCCAGGGCCAAGTGCACACGGGGATGGGCCTTGCCAGGCCAGCTGCGACACCACAGGCTTGCTGAAAATAGCCGGTGTTTGTTTACATGGCCTGGGCTGAGAGCCTGATCGCCCTCAAAGAGGGGTCCCCTGGGTGGCGGGGGGCCTGAGGGCACACAGGAAGAGCTGCAGTGGGATTTTCAAAGAAACGTCATCATCTAGAGACCCTGGAGCTCTGGAAAGCAGGAAGGCCGCTAGGTCGCCCCTCTGGAACTTTGGTTTTCATGGGTGTCAATGCGCAGCAACCCACGGTAGGGCCCGAAGCCAGCCTGCTGCTCAGGCCTGGAGAATGAAAACAGCTTTAAAAGACAACCTACAATTAACACAGGGACAATTATCTTCCTAATTTAGGTTAATTTCTACTTACAGCCCTAGCTGGCAGGTCGGGGGAAGGGCAATATCTATGTAAGAGCTTCTTATTTGGTTCTTCTAAGTCCACACAGATATCATAAAGAAGATTTCCAGTGTCCACCATCGCCTTCTAGAAAAGGGGCCTAAGCTCAAGAGTCCCAGCTAGCTGGGCCTTCTCCCCGGGAGCCGCCGATTACATTTGCATGAAAATAGAACCTTTGTTTGCAAGAGTTCCCGCTCCAGTGGATCCCTCCTTTGTCTGCAGCACAGCAACTGATGGGGCAGGATGCTGGTGTGTGCACACAGCCCAGCTCAGGACAGCCACGCCAGGGGCTGCGCGCACGGCCCAGCTCGGCCCAGCTCAGCCCAGCTCAGGGCGGCCACACCAGGGGCTGCGCGCACAGCCCAGCTCAGGACGGCCACGCCAGGGGCTGTGCTTGCCCATCGTGGCAAGGCAGGCAAGGGGACGGCCAGGATGGTAGGTGGGGCCCCAAGTGTTCCGGTGTTTTGTCAGTGTGGCTGGGGACTCCCAGCCGGGCAGGTGCTGCAATGCGCTGGCTCCCAGAGCACCTGCAGAAGCAGTCCCAGGGGACCCTGAGGTCACCTTCACCTGGTACGGCAGAAGACAAGATGCCCTCACTCACTGCTCTCTGCGTTCGAGGATAAACCCCTTTCTAGCACTGGCTGTTTGTTAGATGTGTGACAGAAAGACCCTGGAGAGCTTCTGCACTGAGATGGGCAGTGGAGGCTGAGCCCCGCTGTCCATCTGGAGCACAGAGCCAAACAAATCTGAAGGGCTGGCAGTGACCCCACCACTCCAGCGAGAAACCAGTACCCCTGTGGGCATACTTGGCAGGGCCCAGAAAATACAGACCCACCAACCCACATCTAAAATGCATCTCTTTACTTCCAGAAAAGCAAGTCAATATATCCTATCTGGGAACTCGAGCCAAGTAATGGGTCAGGTCAAATAAGGCATGATCCAGTGTCATGAACTAGCAGACTAAGGCGGGAGGCTGGGTCGAGAGGATACTGTTTCTTTTTTGTTTCTTTGTTTGGAAGGGGGGTGATGGAAGTTCATTACCAGAAGCCAAGGAGGCTCTCTTTCACCAGGTCTCTCACGTGGACCTAGACCGTCCTTTTAATACCCAAACAGAAATTACAAGAGACTAAAAGCTGGGTGGAAACAGGTATGCAACAGCACTAAGAGCAAAACCTTGCTCAGGCCTTTCAGTGGGAAAAAGAACATTTCCGATTTGAAGTTATCACTCAATAAATAGCAAGCTCCATTAGATACAGTTTTACTTAAAAAAATAACAGCTGAATGTCCCTATAGACATGAAATGAGACCACCCACCTGGCCTTCAGGTTCAGGTGTGAGGCCAGCGGCCAGCTCCCAGGTAGCCCAGAATCCCTTGGAAATGACTTTCCTTCCCAGGTACCTGCTCCAGCTGGGTCAGTCCTCACAAGGCGTTTCCCAAAGGGCATCCCGTGAGGAATTTGTGTCCATGGGATACAAATTCCCTGAAATAATAAACTGGACAAGTCTCTTCTCGACAGATCCCAGCTGGCTTCTCTACTCGGGAGCTTCCCAGAGCTTGAATGTAGCAGTTGCCTTCTGAATTTCTCTGAGCTTCCCCCAAAGGGGTTTGACCAGGGCCTGTCCCCTGCCCTCGGTTTTTATGGTGAATAACTGCAAACACCTTGCAAAACCGCAGGGTCCCAGAAAACCCTATTTGAGAAGGGCCCTACCCTCCACAATCAAAGGGGGATACAATCTACCCCAGCAGGGGCGGAACATTAACAAGGGCGGAGAGCAGCAAAGGAGCGTGGGAGAAAGGTCACATTCTTGCTACCATGAGGTAGTTAAGGGGTCAAGAGCCAGGCAGAAGCTGAGAGCAGGAGCCCGAGGCCCACCTGCTTATGGACACAGGGATCCCCAGACCAACGCACAGGGCACCTCCAGGCTTCCTGCAGTGGCTACGCACAGGGCATCTCTGGGCTCTCTCCAGCTGATGCGCTTCTAGCTGCTGTGCCTGGCCACGTGGTTTTCCTGTTTTGGGTCCACTGCACCCTATACTGGGAGGCTAACCTGTATCACCTGGACATACAGTTTACGTGCTCCCAAAATACCTGCACTCAGCGGATGGCATAAAAACCTGACGGCGAGAACGCCAGCCTCCTTCCTCCTTACAAAACCTTTCTAGTGGGAAAACATTTAACAAGTATTTGCTAAGCACCTGTTAGGGCCCTAGAACTCTAAAAGTAACAGGAGGACTTTAAATCATCCACTTGCAATTTACTAACTTGCCATTTGTTAATTTAACAGAGACATTTCTAGAGAGAACTGGGCCACACAAATACCCGCCCATCGTCTCCCAGCCCACCCTCTGCTGCCTATGGGAGGAAGAGCAGCTCATTCTCACAGGTTGGGCAGAAAGCTCATGGATGCTCCGTGCAGTGCAGGGTCGCTGAGGCGTCACATTTACGCTAAAACAGAAGTGCCCCATGATCCACCTCTATCAACTCCCAGTGACTCAGACAAGGACCGCAATCACCAGGCAGGGGCAGCCCCTTCTGAACCTGGGCACAGAACACTCAGGGAAGCTGTTCGCCGTGAGGACGTGGACACTGGGAGCTCCTGATGGGCCTTGGCAGAGGCCTGACTGATCAGATCTGCACTTTGGAAAGGTTCTGAAAGCTGTGGATAGGCTGATAGGGAGTCTGGAGCCTACCTGGCTCCCAGGGCAGAGATGAAAAAAAAGAGAAAGAGACTGCAAGGAGGTCGCGCCACTGTGTTTCAGAAACTAAGTCCCCGTTGAAGGTGGAAAGGAGGGAAGAGCTCTGTTAGACCTAGGCTTCTGAGTAGGTGGGGCTCTCTCTTTCTGGGAAGGGACAACAGTAGTGGGAACAGCTGGGGCACACACAGATGTATTTGTGGGCACCCCAGAATTCCTCATGGCTGAGGCTCAGGATAGCAAGCAGAGCTGGCTCCAGAACAGGGAGTTGGAAGGAAGGGGAGCAGGTGGGCCTGCCTCGGAGGCCTCGGAGGCAGCACAGCCCACCCAGGCCAGGAGCTCAGCGTCTCAGCTTCCTCATCTGTAAAATGGGGCGATGCCACTCCTCCCTCAGGGTCATGTGAGCACCATCCAGGTCAGGACTGTGCGCTCTCAGGACAGGACAGAGGGCCACAGAAGCTAGGCCTCTGCTCTGACTAAGGGGGTGGGTGTGTGGGAGGCCCGGGAGAGACTGTCCAACGGCTTCGGGACAACGCCCGTCTGATAAGACTTTTAGTGCTAGGGAACAGCTGCTAAGGGTTTTTTAATAATGTGAAAAGATGATTATAGGCCGGGCGCGGTGGCTCACGCCTGTAATCCCAGCACTTTGGGAGGCCGAGGCGGGCGGATCACGAGGTCAGGAGATCGAGACCATCCCGGCTATAACGGTGAAACCCCGTCTCTACTAAAAATACAAAAAATTAGCCAGGCGTAGTGGCGGGCGCCTGTAGTCCCAGCTACTTGGGAGGCTGAGGCAGGAGAATGGCGTGAACCCGGGAGGCGGAGCTTGCAGTGAGCCGAGATCGCGCCCCTGCACTCCAGCCTGGGTGACAGAGCAAGACTCCGTCTCAAAAAAAAAAAAAAAAAAAAAAAAAAAGATGATTATAGTAAACTGGCAAGGGTGAAAAGCAAAAGAGCAGATTTTTATTCATCCAAAAGCTGGTTACATAAAAACCAACGAGAATGAGACAAGATGGGAGCCGGAAGGAAACACATGAAAATGTTCACAGCTGAACCCAGGGTGACAGGACTAGGAGTCAGAGACTCTCTCCTTCATACGCCTTTGTCCTTTCTAAAACTTCCCAGAGCAAACAGGTCCTCCCTTATCATTAGAAAGGAGAACAATGCACCCTGGTTTGTTAAAGGAGAAAGCTCTTGGCATTCTCACTTTGTAATTTGCTGTTTCCTTTCAAGCTCAGCCTCTGGGAGGCTTTTCATTCTGTTTTGTGTCTCGTTTACCATTCCCGTTCAGTTTCATTTTATTTCTTAAATGGACATCCTCACCAAAACCACCACCACCAACAAAATCACTACCAATGACTTTTGCACAAACAGACCAAAGAAGTGGGCCACCTGTGTGAGTTCTAGGGCAGCTGTCTCTCCAAACCACATCACAAGTGCCCCCAGAGCCCTTCATTGTCTTTCTCAGCCTCTTCACTGCTCTGTCACCAACTCACACTTCATTTGCAACAGCTTCTTACAGGGTGCTGAAGGAAGAGCCAGTAATTAGAGCTACCAGGCAATGGGCGCATCTACAGAGGGACTCTTCATCTTCACAGAAGCAGCAGAGAGCTGAGGATGCTATCACGCCCATTTTACATGAGGACACTGAGGCACAAAGAGGCTCAGGGATGGTCCAAAGTTAATCCAGCAAGAAAAGGGGAGCACCAAACTGGAGCCTGCACAGGCTGACCTGGAGCCGTGTCCTTGAGCACTCTGCTTGTTCAATCAGAAAGCCACCACTCTCAAAGCACACACACACACGCACATATGCAGGTATGCACACATGCACGCACACAGAGGATGTGCTTAGCTGTATGTGTGCCCTGGGCGTGGACACCAGCACTCTGCCCAGAAGGAGGCCAATACCCGCCTGGACCAGGGTCTCTGCAGACAGTGGCACAGGGCGGTCATGGCCAGTCCTGCAGCGCCCTGGCCCAGCTGGTTTTCTGGTTTTTCCCCATTTCACTGGCTACAATGGCTCCTTTTTCAGATGCAGGCAGCCAGCTGAGTGCTGACACTCTAATTCTAAAGGTCACCCCGTGACATTTCCTGCAGCCTCAACTACCTTCCAAGGCCTCAGCAGATCAGGGTCACAATGCTGGCCGGCATTTAAGAGAAACTGCGCTGTTTTCTTTTTTAGGACTTCGCATTTATCTAATCATTTCTGGATCTTTTTCCTTGAAAATAAGTCACTAAATAACAAACCGAGGCAGCACTGCTTAAATGTGTCCCCAGACAGGGATGAAATGGGGTGCCTGTCCACTGTCGGGCCCCGGAGCTGTGCTTCAGTCAGGTCAAGGGAGCATGGGAACCAGGACTTTCACCTCCGCCCGGGAGATTCTTCGGGGCAGATATATTTAGAAAGCGTGGATTAATGATTAATGATTAAACTCACTCACCAGGTCTGTCAAAAGTGGACAGTCCTGGAGCCATTTGCCCTAATTTCCCTCAACATTCAATATTTGATTGTCCCCGCCAAAGAAGTGATCAGCTCTCCAGATGGCTCCAAAAGATGTTCGTGGGGCTGCAGGGAACAAATAAAACTCCCATTTCTGTTTGTTTTCATGTAAAAAAAAAAAAAAAAAAAAAGGAATTAAGTCTTATGCTGCTTCCTACAAGGGCTGGCCTATGCATCCTTGGGTCAGGGGCACGGGTGGCTCCCCAGAAGCCTCTGGACCCCATGTGCTGCTCTTTGTAAGCTCTGACAGAAGTGGAGACTGAAGACAAGGCAATCACAAAGGTGCCTGAGCCCCCAACCTTCCCACGAGCAGCCAGCGCTCACCCAAACCTTGGCCGCAGGATGAGGCAGGCCCACAGCTCTGTCAGACAGCAACCCAGGGTCTCTGAAGTGGACTTCGCTCCAGAAAGGGTCCCATGCTGTCCCAGAGAGCAGCGATCCGTGCCACCAACCTGTGGGCAAGCCACAAAGGTCCCCGCTAGAAGATGGGACCCAGAGCTTTGCATTGCCATTTAACTCAGACACTGGTGTGACAGCATAGGGTTGAGACGGGGTTGCAGAGGTCAAGTCCAGACTCTGCGGCTCCCTGGCTGCCCGGCTATGAGCTACTGTGGAGCGGTGCTGTGCTGCGGTTTCCTTAACGGAGGGAATCCAAAGCAGGACATGAGAACGCCTGTGCATCACCTGTGGTCACTGCTGGCTAATGAGGCCTGGGGATGCCAGGCCCCAATGGTAGCGCCCATCACAGTGCCAAGGACTTGCCTCGGGATTGCACCACGCTGTCACCATGAGCCCCATCCCCTCAGCACCCTCTGGGCTCAGCCCCACCTGACACAGGGCTGTGCCACAACGAAGGCCACAAATGCAAAAAGAAAATCTTAGAAAGACTATGTTTATCACTTTAGAACTTTTGAGAAAATTGAGACCTTGAAAGTGAAAGTGAACTTTCAAAACAGAAAGGTAAATAGTGTTCTTAGAATTCAAGCGGCAACATGTGCCTCTTCCACAGGGCCCCCAAGTCAAATCATTATTCCCGGTGCCGCGGCTGCTAAGTGCCTCTGTCCCTACATGGCCACCACTACTGATGCTGAGATGAGAAGACACCAAAAAAAGGCAGGAATTAGCACAATATTGAAGAGATACCTGTGTGTCATGGGTCTTTAGGGTTGCTAAAATATTTCACAGGATAAAAAAAATTAATGGACTAAAACATAAACAAGAAATTCCAAACCAAATAATTCTCCTCACCAAACATTTGCTGACAGCAAGCTCAGGGAACAGCAGAGGCCCGTCTCGGTATTCCGGAAGCAGCCAGACCTAAGATCAAATCCAGGCTTGACGACAGACTGGGCTGGTGCCCTGGACAAGCGGTGGCTTCCAGAAGCTGGGGGAGCCCCTGGGCATCACGTGGAGATGAGAGAAGATGCTTCCAGAACCTGACACACAGTAGGGATCCGGAATCGCCAGAGCTCTTGCACCTCAGAGGGAAACAGGGTATCCTGAAGTTCAAGTGCATGCACACCGTGGATACTCTAGGGTCCCAGCAACCCCAGCTATTACAATCACACTGTCACTGGGTGAACGCTGTGCACTCTACAGGGGCCTCCTCATTTAGTCATCATAGCCACTGGGGATGCAGGTGCCCCTGCAGCCTCATTCCACCCACATCCGGTGCACAGCACACACAGGATCAGCAGTGATAGGAACAGCCTGCCACTCTTTACAGAGCCGTGAGACTGTGGCTAAATCATTTATCCAGCACCCAACAACGTGGAAATCATGACACTCCACCTACAGGGGCTAGGCTAGAAAGGCATTTAATCAAACATTTTAGAATGATTTTCATTTAATTATCTCTCGGAGACTTAACTGTGTCATATGATGAACAACATTATTTCCTCCTAAATGTACTGAATCCGGAAGCAACCCTTCATGGCCATAGCCTATTTTTTTTTTTTTTTTTTTTTTTTTGAGATGCAGTCACTCTGTCGCCCAGGCTGGAGTGCGGTGGCGCCATCTCGGCTCACTGCAAGCTCCGCCTCCCGGGTTCATGCCATTCTCCTGCCTCAGCCTCCCGAGTAGCTGGGACTACAGGTGCCCGCCACCACGCCCAGCTAATTTTTTGTATTTTTAGTAGAGACGGGGTTTCATGTTAGCCAGGATGGTCTCGATCTCCTGACCTCGTGATCCGCCTGCCTTGGCCTCCCAAAGTGCTGGGATTACAGGCATAAGCTATTGCACCCGGCCTGTCATAGCCTACCTTATTCCAAATATCCAAAACCTGGAACTGGGGGCAGCCTGCCACCATGAATATCCTCTCAATGTCAACACATCCACTGCCAACATCAGAGTGAAAATGCCTCATGATTGGTCCATCCTGTACAATAGGTTTATTTGTTTTGTTTCAAATGCCAAGTAGAGATATTTAAGTACAGGGACAGAGCGTGGTGCAATGATCAGGACGGAGGTGCCTAACAATCCCAATAAAATGCTGACATGGGCTAATCTCAAGCAGATATTCTGATCCCCTCGCACAACCACGGCACTGGGGTGCCGAAACCAGAAGAGACATGCACACGAGGCAGGGCGAGTGGTGTTTATTACAGCTGTACAACTGTACAACGGGAGGGCAGCGACACGTGCTTATTTGTATTAATGTTTAACAGACTAAGGGCCAACATTTGCTTACTGGCTAAGTGATTTTCAATAGGATGCACTGAAACAAAAGCCAATTCCTTGAGTGAGAAGCGTCATGGGTAGAATCACGGAGCAAGGTCCTGCCCACCTGCACTGGTGGCCTCCCAGCAGCTCTCATAGACCCTGGACCCAGCACAGTCCAGCTGGGGCCCAGGGACTGGCACAGCTGTTCCGCTCTGCTCCCGGCATGTCACAGGGGAGGCACACACCAGACGAACCAAACCAGCAACAGAGCGGAGAGCCTGCAGGGACGCAGCTGGGGACTAAGCAGATGGGAGACCGGCAGTCCTGGGGCTCGGGAGACAGGGGAGACAGAGAAGGAAGAGGGGTCCCATCAGAGGACTCCCTGCAGTGCTCCATGAATTTCTCCCGAATTCCATCCGTAAGTGCCTTTCAATCCATGCCACTGAGGGCATTTCTGCTCCTTGTGACTAAGTGAACTCCTCTAGGGCGTCCCTCTCTCTAACACAGAACTTCTCTTCCAGTCTCCTCAACAACCTTGGGAAGGAGCATAAATTCAGCAACACACTGATGCTGGCCCAGGCTGTGCGCTGTGAACCTACTCCCATTCCAGTACAAGCATCCCCTCTTTTTACCCCAACTGGGAAATTCAAACAGATGAAGCCTCATCCATTCAAATCACTGATAAAGGATGATCCTCAAACTCTCAGTCTAGAGCCTTCCTGAGAGTGCGCTGTAGGTAGCTACTGGCCACATGTGGTTACTTAAATTGAAATTTAATTTAATTTAATTTGAAATCCAGTTCCTCGGCCACACCATCCATGTGTTGATGTGGCTGCTGACAAGCTCAACAGTCAGGCATGACCAGTGGCTGCCCCGATGGGCATTGCTGCTATGGACCATTTCCGCCATCGCAGAAAGTCCTGGAGTGGAGGACCAAGGAGGCCTCTTCTTTATAAAGCCCTCTTTGTATCCCAGTGTCTTTTCCTCTTTTTCCAAATGAGCAGGAAAAAAAAAAAATTCCCAACTGAACTTGACTCTGCTCCACCCATGTGGATGAAGCCAGGCTGAGCTTCCCTGCAGAACAGGAATGAAGACACAGAAGTGGAAATAGCACACCTTTGTTTCCCGGAGAACCCCAGGAGCTGTAAAAACACCCGAACTCCCCTCTCCGGTTCTTACAGAATTTTTCCGACTGCTCTTTCCTTCTTTATCCTCTTCCATAATTGCACGCTGCGTGATGGGAGGGAGAAGTGAAAGAGAAGGGAAAGAAGCTCGTTTTCCTCATTCCGTACATCGTGTCCACGCAGTGCCAGGAAGGGCTGCAGAGAGGAACGTCTTCGGGGTCCATGTGGGACCCCTCCCTAGGGCAAGGGCCCTTAGCTCTGGGCTTCTCTTTTCCTGGGGCTGCCCGTCCAGAAGGACAAGCCCTGCCCCCTCCTCCGGGCTCCAAGAGCACTGCTCATTCCTCCTGCTGCTGCTGCTCAGCCGGGTCCCTCAGCCCCGGCGGGGAGCAAGGCCTTCCTGCAGCAACCCCTCAGGCCAAGCATAGCCAGCACCCCTCATGCCCCTCATGGAGCCAGCCGGGCACCACCCCCTTACTCAGCGGCAGAAGGCCCCTTCTGGAAGGGGGTATCTCCCTCTTCCCAGCCTCTGGTTCTAAAGTCGGTCTCCCATCCCAGCCACGACGAGGGGCGATGGTGGGGCGTATGCAGCGTGGGAACTGACCCTGCCGTGAACATTCCTCCTGCCTGCTGAGTCCTCGATCTGCTCTCAAAGTAACAGCTCCAGGGCGAGAGCAGCAGCCCACAGCCAGTGATGCCAGGCGAGGCCAGTGATGCCAGGCGAGGCTCCCACACTGGCCCACATTTCTAAATTCTGCTGGTGCTTTCTTTCTTTTTTTTTTTTTTTATTTTTCTCTCTTGAAACAGGGTCTCCCCTCTGTCACCCAGGCTGGAGTGCAGCGGTATGACATGGCTCACTGCAGCCTCGACCTCCTAGCTCGAAGGATCCTCCCACCTCAGCTTCCTGAACAGCTGGGACTACAGACGCATACCACCATGCCCAGCTAATGTTTTTAATCTTTTCTGTAGAGAGGAGGTGTTCCTATGTTGTCCAGATTGGTCTCAAACTTCTGGCCTCAAGCAATCCTCCTGCCTCAGCCTCCCAAAGTGCTGGGATTACAAGTGAGAGCCACTGTAGGCCTATTTCTTTCTTTATGAAAAAAAGTAAGAGTAAATTGTGATCAAATACTACAATGCTACTGCGGTGTGATTCCTGAATGGTAAAAACCTTACCATGCTTTGTTTCTCCATCAGATGCCTTGCTCCTCACTACTGCCAAGGAGATTACGCCTAAGACTGATGGTACAAGTCTTTTCTTTAAAACAAACAAACAAAAAAACACAACAACAACAAAAAAAACAGGCAGGGGGTGGGGGATTCAGAGTCCTTTAC
The DNA here is from genome assembly GCF_000001405.40 of Homo sapiens. Classification (NCBI taxonomy): domain Eukaryota; kingdom Metazoa; phylum Chordata; class Mammalia; order Primates; family Hominidae; genus Homo; species Homo sapiens. Next base: position 239,302,032 of record NC_000002.12, read on the forward strand.
TGTGAGGTCAAGAATAATTCCTAGCCATGGAAAATAATCTCTAATGATGCTATAAACAGACAGCTCACCAAATCAATCAGAAAACATTCTCAGTATCATTCTCAGTCTGTCAAGAACAGAAAACCTAACTCCTGCAGGCTTTACTGTGAAATGCTTAGAACTCTGTCCTGATTGGAGAACATGGCCCCTTGTGATGGACAGGCAGGCGGCGGCCAAAGCCCAGAACCCAGCATTAGCCAAAGGAGGCATCAAGCTGAAGTCTCGGGTGAGTTCATTTCAAAGTCAAGGGCAAGGCCACCCTGGCAGCAAATTCTTCTGGCTACTCAAATTCGAATATTGCAGAACTAGCACTAGAGTTGCCAAGCTATAAAACACGAGCAGAGAGAGGAGGCCCTTCCACAGGAATCCAGATTAGCAAAACCCCTTGCTCTCTTCATCAAAACTCAGATAAGTTAGCTGAAAACCTGGGGACGGAACAGCTTCCCCCAGGAAGGAGAATCCACGTGGGGCCATGACCAAGCACTCCAAACACTGCAGCGGGCGCTGCCCCTCTTCCAGCGACACAGTGGGAGCAGCCCAGCCATCCAGTGACTTTTTGTGGACATGGCCCAGCCCCTCAACCCTCGAGCCAGGACCCAGTCCAAGAGCACAGCACCCTCCACTCTCCCTGGGCCTGAGCATGGCACCAATGTGCTTCACGCAGAGCGTTTCGTGGGCGCACCCCTGCAGGAAGAACCATCGCTGCTCAAGGCAGTCATCTAAGAACTGCTCACTCTTGAGAAGGGCAGGTCATCTTACTCCTCCCCAAAAGAGTCTCTCAAGTTAGGCTCTCACCCATAGGAGGGACTTGCTGGGCGTGCGGGGAATGGCATTGTGGTGACAGCCCCAAGCAGGGGGCCACACAGGCTCAGGCCCGGAGCACCTTGGCAGGGAGAGGAAAGGTGTGGGCACTGCCTGGGCACTCTGCATGCTGGGCTGGGCGTCACCCCTGCCACCTCGGGAGTCCTCAAACCCCCCCCGGGTGGGAGAGGTCATCACCTCCGCGTACTGAACAGAAGCCCAGCTCAGGGTTCAGGGTGGGCCCCTGGATTCAAAGTGGCAACAGAGCCTGACTCCAGCCTCAGGGCGTGAGGCACCTGGCCCTGGCCTGTTCCCATCCCACACCCGGCTGCTCAGGCCTGGGGACAGGAGGGCACAGGGACAGGCCTGGAGGACAAGGTCCCTGGAATCCCCGACAGCTTGACAATGTGAAATAAGTTTCGCTTCCTTTTTATCTACGCTCCCGGATTGACTTGTCCTCCTCTGATGCCTGGTTCCTCTGCCATCAAGACCCGCCGTCTGGTGTGAAGGGAAACGTCCCTCACCCTTCTGCAGTCGCCACCGAGCACTCGTGGTGTGGCCCACAGGGCATCCTGCGAGAGCGTCACAAGCACCCCACGAACAAGACACGGCAGCGTGCTTCCTCGATCTCCCCGCTCCTTTCTCGGGACAGCCTGTGGCTTGTTCTCCCTTAAGAATCCTCTCATCAATGTTACGTTGTCAGCTTTCTCTGTTTTCTTTCTTTCTTTTTTTTTTTTAATTCACAATTGAGGAAACCAACAGGTTGAGCTGCTGCCTCAAGTAAAAAATTCAAGTCAGCCCTGATGCTGTCCATGTTTTTTGTAAAACTTGCTCACTTGTAAACAACGTCGGGCAGCAACTGCAGGCCTCACCCCTCACTCTTCAAAAGCGACTGCGACAGCTGCATCCCCCGTGCTCAACTGCAGGGCGCGGCACTCGCCTATGCTCTCATGAAGCCCCGTGCCAAGGGCTTCTCCGGGACCCCAGATACCCACCAGACCCTACAGGCCTGCCCCGTGGCCCTGGGAATGCTTGGCACCAAGGTCCCACTTCCCACCTCAGTCAAGCACCTGCCTCCCAGGCCTCACCAGTCTTCATCTCAGCCCGCCAGGTCCTCTCGAGCCCCTGGAGTGCCCTGTGAGCCACAGCTTATAAAGCAGATAGGACCAGCTCTGCATCAGACCCCTGTGTGCAGGCCCAGCTCCCCGACCCGTAAGCAGTTGACCTCAGACCAGCTGCTTAACCTCTCTGAGTCAGCTTTCTTACCTATAAATGAGGATAAAAGCAGGATATTCACAAAGCCCAGAGCTAGAATGCCTCAAGCAGTGTGAGCTCGGGGAAGAAGTCCACACAGGACACAAAGCCCAGAGCTGGGAAGGCCTCAAGCAGTGTGAGCTCGGGGGAAGGAGTCCACACAGGAGCAGTACCTGTTGCAATATTTTTATTACATGCTGGGAAGATTAAATGAGATAAGCCGTGTAAACACCAGGCACATAGAAAGCATGAAATGATACCAGGTGGTGGCATGGTGTTACTTTCATTATTAATAATTTGAAAAAGCAGATTAACAGCTCAGGCCCTGCTGAACTCAGAGCCCCCATGAGGATAGAGGCTATAACGTAACAGACATGAAACGTCCTGAAAGCTCCACGTGCAAAGTGAGTTGCTTATGCCTGCGTAAACTTCTTGTTCTTCAAAAGATATGCTGTTTTTAAAAGGGACTGACTGGTGAAAAAACCTCACACACAAGGCAGTGCCCCTTTGCCAGGTCCTGTAAACACTACCGTGTCCTGCCCTCGGCTCCTGGGGTCAGGAGCTCTCAACGAAGGTGTGACCCTTGTGCCCAGCGTGCAGACTCCAGGGGTAACTGCTTGCTTCTGAATCTCCTTAATGGAGCTTAGGAATGACACGCTATGGACGCTGACTGTCCAAGCAGAAACAAGGCCCCCTTGGGGGCTTTCTAAAGTTAGTAAATACATGTATATATAATATATATACACACACATAGGAGAACGCGAATGACTGGGCACCCAGGGTCTCTGTGGGGAGCCACATGGCCCAGCAGAGAACACAGTTAGCATCACAGAGTCCAGCCGTCCCCTCCCCACGTCAATAGGACAGTCCCGCGCTTTCTTCCAGCCGGCCTGGGGCATGTCAGGAGGCAGGGCCTGTACTGCAGGCTCTGTGTTCTTAGACAGCCTTTGCAGGGGGCAGAGGTGCCCACTGCCACATGGGCACACACAGGAGGCTCACCACGTTTCTTCAAATGCAGATGACAAAGCAGCTTGAGTAACACAAATACGGCCACACTCATCTGAGGATTGCTGCTGTGTTTTCTAACTGCATGGCCATGACCAAGCAGTCGGTTTTCATCCAGGTTGGTAGTCAGGTTTCTGAAAGCGATGGCAGTCGCCTCAGGGCTGACACGGGGAGTCTGCTTGGCACACCTTCACCCTCGTTACATTTTCTGGACAATGGTAGGGAACATTCCTTACTCCGCTGGCCTGTCAGCTTGGCTAAGCCTGGTGCAAGTGGCTCGCTGTGGGTCCGCGGCTCCATTACGGGGGAGTCTGGGTCATCTGTGAGCCCAACAGCGCCCTGCAGGCACAGACAGCCCTGGCTTCTGCCTCTTTCTTTGTGGAAGCCACTCTGTCAGGCCTGGGATGGAGGGGCAAGAGGCTTTCAAATTTTTCCTTATTGTTGTATATTTTTTAAAAAACTATTTATTTTAATGGTGAAATAAGTTCTAAAAGTTTCTGGACTTGTAGGTAAATGAATAAGAACTGAGTGTGGTTTTTAATCATGTTCACATTATTGGTGACGGTGCGGCTTAGTTTCATTTAGTGACTAAATTCTAGCCATCCCTAGACTGATGGCCACGAAACGTGTATTTCGAGTTGAAATACATTTATTTAACACACATGCACACACAATTACACGTGCACACAGGAAGCTTTAGCAAGTACTTCTCTGACCCCATTCCCTAAACACGACTGGGAACGAGGCTGCCGCTGCCCACACGGGCCCTGAATCTGACAGCATTCAAGGAGACCACGGAGGAACCGTGACAAAGAGCTGGTAGCCACCGGCATTTCAGATGAATGCAGCACCCTGGGCAAGCACAGTGTCTGCGTCTCCCCCACGCTGAAATGATTCCTAGTGTCCTAGACTGCCTGGCTTCACATGAGAAACACTCTGCTTAAGTAACTACTTCATCACTCAAGGTCCCAAAGAATGCTGCCCACCTCGGTCAGCCTTGCTTCTAGAAACCGAGGATTCTGGGTTTGGAGGCACCCCAGCTCTTCCCTGGGAAGTCATTTTCCTGAATAGATCTGACTTCCACTTATTTTCCTATCATTTCCCATCTTTTCATACATTTAGAAGGCAAAAAAAGTTCATCTTTCTAGTGATTCCAGGAGCTCCCTGGCCCATCCACAGGTGGGTGAGCTCCCACCCAGGTCCAGCAAGTCAGTGACTACAACAGAGGACACAGCCTTCCAGTGGACACGAGGACCTCAGAGGCCACCTGGCCAGGCCCCATCCACGGATGTGTCCCTGCCCAGGTGCCAGCAAGGACTGACTAATACCTGACCCAGGGCCAAGCTATCCTGTGTCCCATACTCGGCCCGTAGAGCCATCAAATCATCTGGGCCCCGACACACTTGTTTCGTACCTTTCCCGGTCATGATACAAAACATAAGCTGGAAAGGGTGCTCTTCACCTAAACAAGGTCAAACACAGGCACTACATCAGGCACCCCATGTTCCCCCTATATGCCCCCCACACTGCCCAGGTGATGGCAGAACCCAGGTCCTCGGGCGCAGAGCATCCAGGGCCCAGGGCCCACAGGGTTTTACATGGTGAAAAGGGGTAGGGGGTGAATGCTAAGGGGCGAAGGCAGGACCCCACCCCAGCCAACAACCGGGAGACCCTGGCCTGGTTTCCCACACACCCCCGAGGAGCCAGACAGGATCGAGAGAACCTTCTGGAAGGAGCTGCAGGGATGCATGGGGGCGTTCAGGAATGTCCAAGGAGGGCCTGAGCCTCCCGTGTGCACCTCCCCAAGGGCGCCTGCACCCTGGGCCCAGGGTAACCCAGAAGCAGCAGGAGCCGCAGGACCATAGGGGCCACCGGCAGGGTGGGTGATGCCATCCTTCCCACTCTCGCCCTCCGGCCTTCATTCAGCACTCTGGTGAGCCCAGAGGCCCGAGTCGTCCGGATGGCCCATCTCAGGCCACACCCTCCAGCTCTGTGCCTGCCGTCCATCCTGGGTGCCCACGAGGGGTCTGGAAACCCTGACAGGGAGGGAGAAGAGAGCCCTGGGCACAAAGCCCAGGGCCTGGGGCAGGCTCCGTGCCCCAATGGTCATCCTCAGATGAGTGGGGGCTGTGCTCAGGACCCTCAGGGGACCATGGGCTACTTTCAGAAACAAGAGGGTGTTCTGTTTAGAAGCAGAGAGCCGAGGAGCCGGAGGCCCCAACACAAGAGCGGCTCTCCGTGATGCCCAGAGGCGGCCACTGGGCCCCAGGAGAGAGGGGCTTGAAGGATGGGTACCCCAAGCTGTCAAAAGACCAAGTGGCTACAAAAGGGAACCCCCCTCCCACCACTAATCAGGGACCTGCCAGAGATACGAGGGCCCAGTGGTCACTAAGGCCCATCTCTGCAGCTCCGTCCTCTCACCTAGATAAAGTGAGTGTCTGCTTCCTGGACCTCGCAGACTCACCAGGGACCCTAAACTTGGTTTTCCAAATAGCCAAACGACAACTCCTGCTCAAGAAAACGCATGCAAGAGAAGCCCTCCTCACTCAGATGACGTTCTCATGACCGCACTTGGTCTAAGCAAATGCTGCTGGGATGATTTTCTTCAAGTTCTCTTTTAGAACAAGCAAAATGGAATGAGGATGTCGGAGTGTTTCGTGCTTTCTTTCCAGAGGGTTTCCCAGCCTGAAACGCCACCCCACAGCCACTGTGGATTTGGGGACTGTCACACACGTCTCCACGCACCCCGAGCCACATCACGTTTTGCCACTATCTCAGAATTCCTGATCTCCACCTGAAAACGGAACACAAGGCCCGGCAGCAACAGCCAGCAAAGTGTCCCCATCCCCCCCAAAGTGAGCGGCCACACAGCAATGAGTGGCCACACAGCAACGAGCTGCGAGGAGCCAAGGATGGCCCATCCCACCCCCAACGGTGAGAGCCGGGCCCATCACAAGCCCTCTCTGGGCCTTGTCACTCACCCTTCCTACACCCCATCACTCACCCTCCCTGGGCCCCAGCTTCCTCATCTGTGAGATGGGGGTGGTCAGCGTGCAGGAAGCCCTCCTTGACGATGAGCTATCAGCTTAGGGACAAGAGAGCTAGAGACCCGGGGGGGAGTCCACTGCCTTGGGGACACGAGGGAGCCAGGGTCACTTTCTTCCTCATCAAGCTGGCCCCCTGGTGACACGGGACAAGAGGATAACCTGCTTGGTACTCAGCAACAGGCTTTCCTAATAAGAATTCCACACTTCCATGAGGCTGTAATCAACTTGGGAGTGAGGAGTTCCTTAGCTTCCTGTTTTCAGAGAGTCTTCTTAGCAAAGTGAGGAATCTGCAGATCTCTCTGAAAGATCAGCTACCAAAGGAAAATAACAATAATGAAGATATCGTTGGTGGAATACATAACCTCCATCCACAGCCAGATACTGCTTCCGGAACCACACTTCGTATCCAGGTGAGCTCGTTTTTTGTATTTCAAAAGCACAAAGATCTATGTTCATGGTGTAGTCCAGGCAGAGTGTGGTTAACAGGCCTCCGGGTGTCCCCCCCTTCCAGCCCAGTGCAGGGGTTCAGCCGCTGCAGAAACTCCGAATCTGCTAACGTGAAGTGCCAAGACTGCTGTCCGCCAGCGCCCTCACTCCCCCAGGGCCTGTACCTGTAGCAGGAGGCTCACGTTCCGAGTCCTCATTGCTCCCAGACCCAAGGGCAAGGCTGTCACAGGCGAAAGACGGGTTCCCCTTCCTCTACACCCAAGCCCTCGGAAGCACGCTGCAGGCCCCTGGAGGTGCCACAGTGCTCCCAGCTCCCCCAGAGGCTGAGTTCAAACATTCTAAACGGATTCTTGATAACAAGCCGCCGGCTCGCTGGAAGACACTGAGCAGTTACATAACAGCACAGAAAATCCCTTACAAGTTTCTTAAAAAAGAGTTAATCGTACTGACTTGGTGCTTTACCTTCAGCCCAGACTTTCGCTTAATCCCGGAAACTGCTCCAAAGGCGTTTTTCTCAGGGCGTTCGGCGCCGTAACTCAGGAGAAACCCAAGTCCTGCTCTCCCGGCGGCCTCGCTGGGGAAGAATTCAGCCGCTCCACCCTGACATCTGGTTTCTATTTCATATCCATGTTGTCACATTACATAACAAGCAGATGATACGAGAGATCACCACAGTGTTTCGGCTCGAGAGTCACAAAGAACGCCCAGAACACTGTTTATATTGGGGGCCATGAACGTTCACCAAACCAGACTTAGTGCAGAGGCTGCACCCTTCCAGGCTGAAACCCAGCACCTACAGCAAATGCCCAAGGAAGCAAGAAGCGGGACCCCGCCTTCTCAGCCACCTCTCACTAACACTCAGCTCCACTCCTGCTTCCTTCCTCTCACTCCACATCCGAGTTAGAGGGAAATACGATTTATCTCTGGCCTGCATTTACTTCTCCTGCACCTGGCGGGAGGCTCTGGCCTTGCAGGCGTGCAGGAGCCCCTGCCAGTGAGGGCCAGCGAGGGGCCCAGGGAGAAGATGGAGGTCAAGTCATAGGGCCTCCACCGCAGGCAGAGCTCCGCCAGCAAGTATCCTGGGAGCTGGGGGGCCTCAAGGGAGGCAATCCCCCCACACACCATCCCCTTCCCCTTCGCTCATCTGGGGAAGCTGTGAGGACTGGTGTTGATAAAACATTCCAACCACACACTCAGACCATGGATGTGGCCGTGCCAGCAGGGAGGCCAGCAGCCCCTAGCAGAAGGGTGTTCTGGAAGCTGCCCCCTCCCATGCTGCTGCCTGGTCCCATGGGGCATGAAGGGAGGGTGGCCAGGGTGGCCCGAGCCAGCATCAGGCACAAGGCCCAAGGAGTTTCTCCAGAGCAGCCTGTCCTCTTCGGTCCAGAAAAAGTCAGATTCCACAGCAGGGTTAGCCGTCCAGTTAGGGAACCCACTAAGGGGCTCTGTGCGTAGAGGTGCTCAGAATCAAACCACTAAACCCCAGGACCCCCTGCTGGGGGAATGGTCCGTGGCAGTCATTCAGCCTTGGAGTGAACCGTTCTGCCCAAGTGCAAGTGAGAACACAATACTTCTTATTATATACAGAATTGCCAAAGCCAACGTGATTAGTAGAAAAACCGACATGTCAGTGACTTGGGGGTCTGGTTTGCCCCAGATGTGGGTGGAAACCCCAGGCGTCCCTCAAGCCTGGTCCAGAGCTCCACAGACAGCAGATACACAAACTCTGAGTGACAGCATTGGTGTTTAGCAGATTCTGGATTTTGCTCCCCCCCGAACCAAGTATAGAGAATGTTTCACAGAGTAGCTTCAACAGAAAATGGCCACAGTGTGTCTGTGAGAGAGTGTGATGTTCCCGGGGGGATGGCTGGGGCCAAGGGAAGGCCCCTCCCATGAGCCCTGCCTCCATGAGACTGCGTAGGGCAGGACTGCCAGGCAGAAAGAACACAGCACAGGCACAAGGGCAGACCCAGGCTGGCAGGGCTAAATGGCTTCAGGAGCTCCCCCCTCTGCCCCCCAGGGAGTAAAGGCAATGATGCAAATATGATAAGCAAACAGAGGTCCCAAAACACAGAAAGGGCCAGGACCCTGATGCCAACCAAGCAGACCCAAAACTGGGTCTGGGAGCACAGGGCAGGGTCGCTGAGTGCAGAGGGGCCTCACTCAATGTCCAACACTTCCCTCCAAAACAGACATGCTGGTGAGAGGCTTCAACCCTTCCACTGGCCTGACACCTGGATCTCTGCTGCCCTGTGCCAGGTTAGCCACGTCCAACACCACCACGGCCACCGGCCATTTAAGAAAACGAACCCTGACGTTAACCTGCTTGAGCCCTAATACTAAGCAAGAGCAGCGCCACAATTCCAAAACTGCAGAGAGCGCCTTTTAAACATTCTGCTGAGATCTGCGCGGTCGCGGTCTGACAGGCAGGCCTTCTTGGCTACCTGTGGTTTCATTCCAGCATTAACAGGCACCTAAAAGGCCTGTGAGCTTTTGTGGGGTCAAGCAGCATCAGCTCCACTTTACAACCCCGCAGAGTGAGGTGTTAGCTCTGCAGCTCCAGGGCAGAGCCTTGCAGCCTTAGGGCCAGGGGGACGGCCTGGCCCCTTCCGAGCTCTCAGCAGCCTGAACTCCACGTGTCCCCTGCTGTGTCACTGGCATGCTGGTCTTGCATGGCACTGAGATGTGTGGCACAAGCAGGCACCAAGCCCGGAGACACCCGACGCTCACCGTTAGACTGGGTAGCATTTGTCAAGCGCCGAGCAAACAGTGGATGAAGTGTCCTCAGCCGGCGTCAGCTGTTCTGATCCGCAGAACACATAACTCCTGGCACTCCTTTCCAAGCATCCGGGAAATGTAGAATCCAAGTGTTACACCATCCAGTTGAAGATGACAGATTTACGATATAAAACGGCACCCGCGACTGAGGACTTTGTAGGAATGGAGGCCGCTGTCATTATTTCATGGGTGAGGGGGAGAGGGACACTGTGACCCATGACAGGAAAGGACAGCTCAGCCCCTCCAAAACCACACACAGGGGACTCCGTTTCTCACAAAACTTCAAGTTTCTGTTCTACGCAAACATTACAACACATTTTAAACTACATTCTGACACGAAGCTCCCGTGCTTTTTAATGGCAGGTGTTACAATGATCATGGAACAGTGATGGGGCGGTGCTTCCTCACGGTGACATGGCAGGGAGAAGTCTGGACCGGAGCCAGCAGGGTCCTTGACCTAAGAGGCCTTGGGCAGCCCACGGGGCAGCTCTGAGCAATCTCCTGTGAAAGGAAGAGCTCAGAACGGGTTCCTCTAAAGGTTCCTTCCAGAGCAGGGGTTCTGTGGTTCCCTGGGGCCCTAGACTAACATGAGGAAGGGGAAACAGAGAAGAATGCCCACTAAAAGCCTTACCCAAAAATTGAAAGCCAAGAAAAATCACACCAGATCATCTCAGTTTAGACTTGAGGAACCTCGGCGCTGACATCACTGTCACCATCACAAAACACTGGCCACCAAGGTGCCACCTACCACACTGCAACCTGGAAGGAGGGGCGGGCAGGGGCACCCCTGGGCAGGGCAGGACACCAGGCCAGCCAGCCACCCACGCTACAGAGGAAATGCAGCCCCTCCCAACTAAGAGAACCCTGGTACCATCACCACAGCCTTGGTGCCAGGGCTCCTAGCACCTGACAGGGAAGATGAGAAGGACATTGGCTGCCGCCAAGAGGCCTGCTGCCCACCCCCAACTGCACGGTGGTGGTGCTGCCAGCACCACCATCCATGCTGGCCCAGGAGCCCACACGCAGGGCACGCACGCACGTAGTTCCACATTAGGCCCTTTCTTCCTCAATTGTTGGAAAGAAGGCCAAAGCCAGATGATGGTGAAATTCACGAGGAAAATGTCCCCGACTGTCCTCCATTCTAAAGCAAACGCTAAGAATGGGCTGCTGGGCTTCAGCAGAAGCCAAGTCACCTTTCCTCTATGCGTCCAATGAAACGAAAACATCCACACTTGTCTTTATAAAAACGGAAAACTGCATCTGGAACAAGGTCTGTGGCGTTTCTTCCAGCGTGTCCCATGGACATGAAGTTGGTCTTCCTATGGGTCCTCCAAGGCACACCCCTCGACTGCACCACAGCACTGAGGGCAGAATGTGGTGGTGGCCCAGCTGCCGTGGCGCCGGCAGACTAGCCTGGTACACGGAGAGGGGAGCCTGCTGACTGTGGGTAGGCCACGTTCCCCCAGTGTCTTCATCTGCAGAGGGAGACCGGGAGCCTCTGAAGACCGCTCCAGCTCTGCACTGTGGGGGCGGCCGGCCAGCAGGCAGGCAATGCTCTCAGGCCCCACGCTCCTCTCACTGGCTGCCGACGGGAGGCAGACGAGGTGCCGGGGGCAGCCTGCAGAGCAAGGAGTCAAGGTGGCCAGCCTGGGGCAGGGTGTTCCCCCAGCCAGGGAGCTTCACTCAGGCTTGGGCTCTGTCCCGTGCCTCCCCGGGGGCGTTCCGAGGTGGCGGAGGAGGAAGCTGCAGCCCGTTATCCACCGCCCAGTCTCTCCCTCTCACCAGCACACAGATGTTCTCAGCGGCAGAGCCTGGCTTCTGCCTGAATTCATTTCATATTTTTAAATATGCTCTTAATGGAAAGCAACAAAAGTACTTAACAAAATGCGCTGATGTAAATGTCCCTGCAGCAGCCAGGGACTAATTTTAGAAGGGGCTTTGAGGAGAAACCCAAGGGACACTCACTTGCTGGAAACGGCCTCCTCCCCAAAGAGTGTGAGGATCTGGATTAGAACCAAGTATCCCCAGGCTGCCCAGGAGCCCGCTCCTCCAATTGGGGGCTGGCCATCCCACCGAGCACTGATACCGCAGGCTGGACTCTTCCTAACCTCACGAGAGGTGATGACCGGAATCATCCCAGTTTTCCATGGCACTTCGCAAACACAGCTGGTCAGGCCCTTAGCACCTCCTGACCCCCCGATCTCCCAGACTCTCTGCTGGAAGTTAAGGACACAGAGAAAGTTTCTTATGAAAATAAGCGCCTCAAAAGAAAGCCAACGTACAGCACTGGTGACAGAAAGGAAGATTCAGAAAAGCCTTCACGCCTGGCAATATGGCACACGCACTTTTAGAGACGTCTAATTATACTCAGGGCTGAGTTGGCTGAAGAGTGAGGAATATACTCCAAAGACAGGAATTCAAGGCAGGGCAAATAGAACATGAAAGCCAGCCTGGAGCCCAGGGCCTGTCCTGGGGCAGCCACCTGCACTGCCTCTTACCACTGCACCGTCCCTGTGAGTGTGCGTGGGGAGGGGCTGTAGTTCCCTTGGCAGGGGAAGCCAGAAGACAGGCCTGCAAGGGACACATCCGGGCCTGGGCTTGGTGCTGGCTAGAAGGGGTCAAATCGAGAGAGGACTCCCCTCAGAACTCATAATCCCAGACCCCTCGCAATGGTTTGGGGAGAATTCAGACAACCCATGAGGCCTGATGAGCATCCCTAGCACCTGCAAACACAGGCATGTCCCAGGTGGCACCTCCCAGCACCAGGCAGAAACCTTCTCTAGAGGAACACGCTATGAACCTCAAAAAAACATCCAAGAAGGACGGACATAAAGTCACAATCAAGAACCATGGGTAGCGGGAGTAAGTCCCGGAAAGACCTCAGTTGTAGGAAAATCAGGCACTGACCCAAAACACATACGAAGGACACTCGACAAAACAAGAGAGGTCATCCAGGGTCAGGCTGGAGCTAGAGGCCTCCAGATCCTGTCACTTAGTGACTGTACAAACCTGGTGGCTTCCTCAACCTCCCTGTGCCTTAGCTTCCCATTTGCCAAAAAGGGGGATTAGAAGAGCCCACACTCTCCCTGGAGCAAGGCTAAGGAAGAAAGGAGACAGATGTCTCAGCTGTTATTATTAATAACTATCAGAAGTGTCACATGGATCTGAATGATCCAAATGGAACTTGTAGAAACAAAACTGTCATCATTAAAATTTAAAACTAAATGAGTGAGTTAACTAATCAAGTATTAATAGACAGAGCTGAAGAGAGAATTAGTGAACAGTAAAATAGCACGGAAGAAATAAACCAGGATGCAACACATAAAGGTAAAGAGATAGAAAGCTGGAGACGTTAGAGGACTGGAAGGACAGAGGAAGATATGCTAACACACATCTGTAAACCAAAAATAAAATTCTAAGCTCCCAACCATCTGAATGGACCCCTCCTCTCAAGCCAAGGGCATTCCAACATTAACCTGAAAAGCTAGTTCAGGTCGTGATGGGGACGGGCATTCAGATGTGCCTCATGATACCCTCCTCCCTTTTGGAATTGCTGATAGAACAGACTCTTTAAGTCTGATGAGAAACATTTCAGTCTATTCTCTCTGAAGCCTGCTACCCGGAGGCTTCGTCGGCATGGTAAATCCTTGGTCTCCACAAACCCTTATCATAATCCAGACATTCCTTTGTGTTGATAATAACTCTTTCAACCAACTGCCAATCAGAACATTTTAAAATCTACCTATAATCTGAAAGCCTCACACTTCGAGTTGTCCCGCGTTTCTGGACTGGACCAATGTTCATCTTCCACATACTGACAGACGCCTCATGTCTCCCTAAAAATGTATGAAACCAAGCTGTTCCCCGACCACCTTGGGCACATGTTGTCAGCACCTCTTGAGGCTGTGTCACAGGCACGTCCTTAAGCTTGGCTAAACAAACTTTTTAAATTGAGTGAGACCTGTCTCAGATACTTTTGGTTTACACACCTGTAATCAGAATCCCAGAAAGAAAGAAGAGAGATGATGGGAGAGCAACGGGCAATGCCGATGCACGAGCGCTAGAGAAACATTCAAAATGAAACCCAGCATGCCCAACCACATGCTAAAACACGCCTCAAAGCCCCTACGCTTCAGAGAGCACGACAGACACCATCAACCCGGCAGACCAGGTGACAGTGAGAAAGTCCAGAAACAGAAGTACAGACGGAACTCCAGGGCAGGATAAAGGTGCCCATCTCAACCACTGGGACAAACAGGGATGTTTTAATAAACAGTACTGGAGACAATTGGGTTGCTGTCTGGGAAAAGATAACATTAAATCCAAACCTAACACCATACACAAGGGTAAACTCCAAACGAATTGGGGATGCAAATGTAAAAAACGAAACCGTACAAGCACTCAAAGAAAACATCTTCTGGAAGTCAAGGAAGGCTTTCTAACCAGGACTGAAAATCCAGATGCAATTTAAAAAAAACAGTAAGTTTGATACATGGAGGAAAAACCTTTTACAGGGTGAAAGCAGCATGAGAAAGAATGTCAAAATACAGTGGACAAACTGTGAGCAGTTACTTGCAATACACATGAAAGACAAAGGCCAAAATCTCTTCCATCAGTAGAACTCTTACAAACTGTGTGAACAGAGACCAAAAGCCTAACAGAAAAGCCAAAAGCAAAGACAGAAAAACGGCCCTTACAAACTGAAATATCCTTCATCTACCAAATCAGCAAGTAAGTAATACACTCCACTCCAAAGCCCCGTGGGAATAGGCTCGCTCAGACACTACTGGCGGAAATGCAAACTGATATAAGTTTCCTATAGGAAATCTTGAGAAAAATCTAATAAAATGATATAATCTACTTATCTTTTGATAGAAATCACTCCATAAACCAACTCTGAAGATAAAACTCAGATGGCAGGCCCGGTGACTCTCACCTGTAAATCCCAGCACTCTGGGGGGCCAAGGTGGGAAGATCACTTGAGCCCAGGAGTTTGAGACCAGCCTGAGCAACACAGCAAGACCCCATCTCTACAAAAAAATTAAAGATAAAAAAATTACCTAGGCATGGTAGCACGGGCCTGTAGTCCCAGCTACTTGGGAGGCTGAGGCAGGAGAACTGCTTGAGCCCACGAGGTGGAGGCTGTAGTGAGCTGTGATTCTACCACTACCCTGTACAGTATACCAATGGGCCCTAGGTAAGAGAGCGGCTGGATGAATTGCAGAGTGTATGGCTGTCCACAGGAATGAGCAGGAGCCTGTGGACAGACGTGGCGTGGTTTCCAGGACATACTGCTAGGGAAGAGGAGTTCCCTGTAGGACATTCTTTCCGTGCAAGAAAGTGGGCAAATGAAAGCACACAAGGCCACCCAGGAAAGAAAGGGTAGCTCATGGGGACAGGGTGGAAAGGACAGGGGACAGCAGGGGTAGGGGACCCGCTTCTCTGAGTCTGGCTGCTACACAGTTCTGGCTTTTGAAGCTGCAATTGGGTTTCACATCATCAAAAAGTGAAAATTAATACAATCAAAAAGTACACAGGGGGAAAAATTCTAAACTGAAATACAAACAGAAACAAATAACCAAACCCCATTTCAGATGAGTAACAACCACGCTGGGGCAGGGTGGGGTGTGCGTAAGAGCTTGCCAAAGTGGCTTTTAGACCCGGTATCTGGACCATACGCCTTCAGCGACTGCTGGACTCTAGTTGGGGGTTTCTTTTTCACAGAGGCATAGGTTAATAATCTCTGAGTATTCTGGGATTGAGACTGAACAAATAAGTAAGTACATGATGGATTCTGAGAGCTCCACGTCTCCTTGTCAGCAGAGGGAGTAACAAATGTGAAAGGAGAAGGCCAGCCGGTGGCCTTTGTGAGGCTGGGCTGGAAGTGAACTGCCATGTGTGTGGGTGGGGCCGGCGTGTGTGGGTGCAGGGGCCGATCTACACACATCTATTCACAGCTCTGGCGGCCGAGAGCTGGTTTCTAAATAGCATTCCCCGAGAAAGGAACCAGGCCGCCTTGAGAAAAAGCTGATTCCAGGCCAGGACAGGGTAAGTACAGGCGAGATTAGGACATTTTGTGTATCCAAGAGAGTAAAGAAGGGTCCCAAAACGGGAGGGACCTGCCAGAAACGCCAGCATGAAGGGGCTCTCATTGGCCAAACTGGAACAATTTGGGCAGCAGAATAGATATTGATAATAAAAGGTTATAACCCAGTTAATAAATTAGGAATCTATGAGTTCAAACTAATATAAGTAAACAATAAGGAAACACATAAATAAGGAGGAAAGGAAAGCTCTTTACAGGAGAAAGTTAACTACAGGAGTCCACATTTCACGTTGTCCACAGGTTCTTGGAAACCGCAACTTTAAGCCAACGACAGAGGGTCCTCAAGCAATGCCAGTCGTTTG
Source organism: Homo sapiens (assembly GCF_000001405.40). Lineage (NCBI taxonomy): Eukaryota > Metazoa > Chordata > Mammalia > Primates > Hominidae > Homo > Homo sapiens. Next base: position 239,317,811 of record NC_000002.12, read on the forward strand.
ACTATAACACTGGTGCACTGGTGAGAAAAATAACCTTGGTTTTATTCTGTATTATTTCACTTAAAAGTCAGTTTCCAAGAACCTCCTGAGGTTAATGAGGGCTTCCCGTCCTGAATGTAGCAAGAACGGTGACACTAGATGACCATTTCACTTAAAAGTCAGTTTCCAAGAACCTCCTGAGGTTAATGAGGGCTTCCCGTCCTGAATGTAGCAAGAACGGTGACACTAGATGACCAGTAGCCACCACCACGACAACAACAGACTCCGACAAAGAACCATCAATGATGCTGAGACTTGTGGGTCAGTGCTCGGGGAGTAGCAGGCTGTCTGCACAGTCCCAGATTATCTCCCTACCAGATACCTGCTAATTATGCAGGAAACAATGTAACTTCACAGTGGAAACACCCGCCAGCATCACCTTCACTGAGAGCTTCCGGGCAGCATCAGCAGCAACGAAATACTGCGGTGGCCGCCAAGCCCAGCGGCATCACTGGAATCCAATCACGAGGAAACATGCCGAAATCCCAAGCTGAAAAACATTTTACAAAATAGCTGCCCCTACGCTTCCAAAATGTGAATGTCACGAAACATAAAAATGACGAGGAGACTGTCCCGGAGCAAAGGGGACTGGGGAGGACGTGAGAATTGAAGGCCCTGCAGGGCCTGTCATCTGCTGTTGATAACGAGACATCACTAGACTATCAGCGAAACATAAACAAGGCCTACAGATGAGAGAACAATGCCTGCTCGCTGTTATTTTCCAACTCTACTCACTGACCGTAGTTGAAGAGTGACCACGCTTATCTGAGGCAACATGGCCTGGATTATTAGTTGGGGGAAGGCATCACATCTAACACTAACTTTCAAACGATTCTGAAAAAAAAAAAAAGGATGCATATCAATAAACAGTAATTCTTTGGACTATTTTTTGCTGATTTTCTGTAAGTTTGAAATTACAGCAAAATTAAAAGTTAAAAAGAAAAAAGTTAAGGAATAAAATTCCCCATTATTATTGGAAGACACTAATCTTCAGATTCAGGAAGTCCAAAAAAATATCAACAGGGGTAAGTGAAAACGCTTACAAAAATGTAGAACACTAAGACTACAAAACACCTAGAGAGACACAACGGATTCCTGCCAAGGAACGGAACAGCCCCAGTGGAACTGAGTGAACCAATCACATCCTCAGAGCCCTGGGGAAGAGCAGCTGCCTCCCCAGCACTGTCTTCTGTGAGGGATCATTCAACAATGAAGGAAAAGGAGGCAACTCTCAGACGAACAAAAAACGGAACTTCTGCAGGAATTTCTAAAGGATATTACTTCCAAAGGATATTACTTCCAGAAGAAAAGTAAGAGCAAAAAACCAGAATATCTGATATTCAACAAGAAACAGCAAGCAAGTAATATCCACATATAGGAAACTTTAAGGAGCAGTGGCCATAGGAAGCTGTGACAATGAAGGCAGCACACGGCCGCAGCCTCCCGTTAGCTGCTGGAAGGAAGCCACACACACCCAGATATTTCAATTCTGCAAATGATTAAGAAAACGAAACCAACAACAAACATAAAAATGGGTGACCCATGTCAGAAGACACTGACAGCCACAGCAGGCTGGCGGTCAGGCACAGGCCAGGCGAGGGCCACCTCCCGGGACCGAGCAAGGCGCCCTGGTCAGCCTGAAGACACTGGCACTAGGTCTAAGACGGTGTGGCCGTGCTGGAGGTCACGCAGAGTTAAAAGTAGCTTACCCGTGACCCGGCACTCCCATTCCCAGGCAGGAACCTGGCAAAGACCCAAGTTTGCGTGTGTCAGAAAACACACAAAAGAATGTCCACAACATCATGTTTGAGAGCAGCCACATCTGAACATGAATCAAAGTTGTGAAAATTCACAAAATTGAATGCAAGACACTAATGAACACCAGTCACCGACAGCTACAGGCAGAAACCTGGTTCTCAAAAACAGTCCTGCCTGAAAAAGAACCCACGAAATAGAAAACGTATAGTATAATTCTATTTACATGAAGTTCAAAAACATAAAACTAAAATCATATTGTTTAGGAACATGTGCATGTATGATAAAACTTTTTTTTGGAAACAGCAGAATGAAAAGCAAACATGTAAATGTCCTTGTAGTGGTCTCTGTCTCACAGAGCACACGGTCACTGCTATTGTATTGCTTTAAATGATGCAGATAATGTCTATGAATTGTTTAATTCTTTAATTAGAGATTTATAATTAAAATTTAAAATAAATGCGTGTGGAGGGGATAAAAACAGAATGACTAAGCGGGCTGAGAAAGTGATAAATCACCTGTAATCCCAGCACTTTGGGAGGCCGAAGCAGGCGGATCACCTGAGGTCAGAAGTTCAAGACCAGCCTGGCCAACATGGTGAAACCCCGTCTCTACTTAAAATACAAAAGTTAGCTGGCGTGGTGGGAGGCGCCTGTAATCCCAGCTACTCGGGAGGGTGAGGCAGGAGAATTGCTTGAACCTGGGAGGCGGAGGGTGCAGTGAGTCGAGATCGCACCATTGCACTCCAGCCTGGGGAACAAGAGTGAGACTTCATCTCAAAAAAAAAAAAAAAAAAAAAGTGATAAATCAAACAAACAAAAAAATTTAGAAGGAATTATAGAGAATGGAATGCTGATCTCCACCAGTGACAAATGACATAGGTAAATCTAAATTTGCCAAATATGGAAATAAGGAAATTGGTAGGACTCTTCTGTTATGTAAAAATATGTATTTTAATCAAAACTATTTTGCTGTTGAACTTTTCTAGCTATTAATTATTGGCAAATACAAAATCCATGATTCTAGTGGGTTTCTGATAATCTATAAAATTTTCTGAATCTTTTTGAGTCTTTTTATGTGAATTTATTTTGGTTCTTCCCATCTTAATGAAACTGCTGACATCTCAAGCCATACTGAACACATGTGCTACCGTAAGGTCAACCTCAGAACACAGCTCTTGTTAAGACAAGGCCTCTAGAGTTTTCCAACCATGAAAAAGATTCATTTTTGCTTTCAAATGATCCCCAACTTGTAAGAACTACATATTCTCTCCAACTTGGGTATTTTAAAATCAATTATGAAAACTGAAATAATTATTTTATCTAATCTTTTTTATTTTTCAAAACATTCTCTCATATTTACATGATTTATACCGCTTTCCTTGTATAACAACTGTCCTGTAATAAAACCTTTGATAACGAATAACTACATAATGTACTGTTATTTTCTTTTCCCCAATATTCTATTCAGGGTTTTAAACCTATGTTTACAAACAAAATGTGCTTATAACGTTTGCTTTATTATTGTCTCTTGCAGGTTCTAAAATCAAGATACTCTAAGCTTCATAAGATTAGCTTGCAGCCAGGCGCAGTGGCTCACGCCTGTAATCCCGGCACTTTGGAAGGTGAAGGTGGGCGGATCACGAGGTCAGGAGATCGAGACCATCCTGGCTCACACGGTGAAACCCCGTCTCTACTAAAAATACAAAAAATTAGCCGGGCGTGGTGGCGGGCGCCTGTAGTCCCAGCTACTCAGGAGGCTGAGGCAGGACAATGGTGTGAACCCGGGAGACGGAGCTTGCAGCGAGCCGAGATAGCGCCACTGCACTCCAGCCTGGGTGAAAGAGCAAGACTCCGTCTCAAAAAAAAAAAAAAAAAAAAAAAAAAAGGTTAGCTTACATTTTTCTGTGTTTTGAGCCAATCTTAAATAAGGTGAACGTGTGTAAATGTTGGAAAAATATTACATTATCCCTGAAGGAGTAGCAGCTTTCAACAATTACCTAACTGGGTCCTTTGTGGGGTTCTCAGAAGTTCTTCCTTTTAGTGACAACCAACTCATGCTGCTTCCTGTCAGAGTACAGGATGCTTTTCTTCTAAGGTCTGACATTTTATAGTTACTTGCTCTGGCCCAGTCAAAGCCCTCCAAAGCCCTGCCATAGAGCACAGAACATCACAGCTCCCGCCCACACCAGGACTTCCCCTAGACACTGGCTTCATCATTCTCAGGGCAGCATCTATCCCTGATGGCACATCCGGTTGTTAAGGGGGAGGGTCTTCACTGCGAGTCGTCCAGGTTCTTGACATGTTGAACAAAGAATTGGACAAAACACACAAACAAAGCAATGAAAGAATGAAGCAACGAAAGCACAGATTTGTTTAAGCGGAAGTACACTCCACAGAGCAGGAGCAAGCTCCAGAGCAAGCTGCTCAAGACTCCCACTTGCAAAATCTTCTGGGGGTTAAGTACCCTTTAGAGGTTTCCTACTGGTTACACCCTATGTAAATGAAGACTTGGCTCATGACCAATCAGAGGCCAAAGTGAAGTTACACCCTATGCGAATGAAGACTTGGCCTGCAACCAATCAGGGGCTGAAGTGAAAGCTCAGCCTGCAACCAATCGGATGCTGAAGTGAAGGCCCCCTGTCTCCAGATCCTATTCTACTGCCTTGCAATGACAAGTTTAGGGGAGTAAAGCCTTACACTTCAGAGCGCAAGCTCACTGGTTAAGAGTCAGTTGCTTGGCACAGCCCCTTGGGCCAGTGACTTCCTTTCTCAATGCCTCTGTTTTCTCATCTGTAAAATACAGATGATGTAAGGTTAGTAGGACCCATCCGTAGGCTGTTGTGGGGATCACAGCTGTAAATATGTAGAAAACACTTAGCAAAGTGCCTGTGCAGGGCAGACTCCATCACTGCCAGCCATATTTACCATTATGTAGTTGTTTATTTACCCATCTACTGTTTGACTTTCCCACTGGCACTGGGTGTGGCAATGGGTGGGGGCTTTTCCTGTGTGGTTCACCAGTAGACCCCAGTGCTTACAGCAGCCTGGCATGTAGCAGATGCTCACAAGAGGTGTCTTGACTGGCTGAGTGCTGGTGTGTGGACGGGAACCAGCCTAAGGAAAGCACTCTTGAGACTCTTCATCCTGCCCGGGTGTGGGTAGCCTGGGTCTGTCACTCGGCCCCACACCCGGGGCCCCACTCCTGGCTTCGATAAGCGACGTCACCAATGTCTGCCCCAGCACCTGGACAGACTCTTGTGGCCCTTCCTTCTCGGGAAGCCCAGAAAGAACTGCAGTGACTGAGACAAACCCAGCGCTGCTGCGGGGTGTGTGGAGGCATCTTGCCATAGTGGGTGGGGTGCACGTGCCACAAACGGCTCACTCTTGATGATGAGGGTGACTCACGCATCCCCTTGTCCCCACAGTTCTGTTTCTTGGACTTTATCCTAACAAAACAATCATGATAAGAACAACCAGCCCCAAACATAAAGACACATGTGCAACAATGCTCGCTGAGGTGTTATTTACTATACAAAAAATTTAAGTCCCATTAACAGAGGATTTTTAAATACTGAAATATTACGGAGCTACAAAAAAATCCCATTGCTGTTCTATCGTGTATGTAATAGGTACAGGTATGGACATGGGGAGACAAAGAGGGAAAGAGAGAAAAAGAGAGAGAGCTCCTGCTTGAGAATCTACAAAATGTCACCTGTGACTTTCTCTGAACTGTGTGCCTCCCAGCTAAATGTGGTCTGGCAGGGTAAAGAGAGCATTTTCCTTTCTTTCATCTTTCAGCATTGTTGGATGTTAAGTAAAGAAAAGACTACATCTTAACTTTTGAAACTGGGGAAGGGGAGTATTTTCCCATTTATTTAATAAACTGCTTTCATCCAACAAAATCAAAGCAATAAATGGGGCAGATCCTCGGAGAGCCTGTGTGTGGAAGGCACTGTGCAGTGCTAGGTGAGAGAGGAGGCGTCTGGGAGCTCAGGCCACGCCCTCCAAGAACCCGCGGCCAACGACTTAGGTGTGTGCGCCTGGAAAGTGCTTCTTCACGTGTGGACATGGGAGAGGTAATGCTGAATTCATGTCTCCGCCCAATCTGGATTTAAGGAGGAAGATGCCGGTGAGAGCTCAAAAAGCATCCCCTGTCACGGGGCCCCGGGGCAGCCAATCACACACACCTGGGGGCCTGCACAGGGAAAAAACGCTGCCACTCAAGCAGGCAGAAGCGCCACAAAAACATTCATTTTTATTTTTTCTAAAAAAAGACAAGAACATCCATTGCTGTTGAAATATTTAACTTAAAAAAGAAACAGTGCAAATTTCAGAATGAAATATATCCTCTATTGCTTCCCCTAGAATCCAGGCCACAGAAAGTGCATCTGAACGGGACCACATGCGCTACGGTATGCACTGATGAAACACTGACAAAGGCTGGTGTAACTTTTAAAATGCGAAGGATTAGCACAATTGAAGGTGTGAAACTAGAAGGCAGCTGAAAAAATTAAAAAGTAACTAACGCACATAAATAAGAAATCTGGGGTCTCTGGAAAATATTTTCAAACATAGAGTACTTGGACAATCCTGAATTTGAAACCCAAATTGGACACGCAAAGGCAAAAATGTAGCCACAATTAGCTGAAAGAAACACAGCCCTGAGCCATCCTACAAGAAAACCAATCCTGCCACAACTCACCAGTGCGAACTTAACATGGAGAAAGAGGTCCTCACCGCACAGTATCCTGAACAGAAAGGCTGGTGAGAGTGAAAATTAAAAGCCAAGAGAACAATAGCAATTTTTAAACTCCTTCAGATAAAGTAAATAAATCCTACTCCCTGTAAAGCCTATTGCCATTATGTGTTTGCTCTCCAGGGGCCAAGCAAAGCCAAAGTGCCTGCGTGGCATGCTGTGGCTTCCTGCTCAGCAGCCCACCCGCTTCAGTGCAGCAGCCAGCACACTCAGGACCCCCAGGCAGATAGCACGCAGGACTCTGACGCAAGTGGTGACAGGATGGTCGGAAGAGCCCCACTCACGAGGCACCACAGCTCACAGCACAACTGGGAACCCACGCTGCAGAAAGCCTGTTCTCTGTCTCCTGTGGAAACCCTGGTCAGTTGTTGTTAAACTCGCCATCCCTTGGAGAGGCCATAACAGAAGGGGGCGTGGGCGAGGTGCTGCTGTAGGGACGCAGCGACAGGGACGGGAGCCAAAGAACAAGAGACTGAATATGGCTGCAGCGCCCTGGCTTAGGAAGAGCAGAGTCTACACCGACCTGGGAAGGAAGAACAACTGCAGCTCAGACACTTCCAAAGCACAACTTCAGAAATGAGCAAGATCTTTCCTCTAAGACACATGCTCTCTTACAGCAGCTAAAGGCAAGCAACATCCTCTTCAACAAATGGTGCTGGACCATCAAATTGCCACAGGCAAAGGAATGAAGTTGAACCCCTACCTCATACCATATGCAAAACTTAAGGCAGAATACACCAATGATCTAAATATAAGAACTAAAACCATAAAACTCATAGAAGAAAACACAGGGGGTTAGTCTTCATGACCTTGGATTTGGCAGTGGCTTCTTAGATATGACATCAAAGGCCAAGCAACAAAAAACAGATTAACTGCACTTCATCAAAATGAAAAACTTCTGTGCACCACAGGACACCATCCAGAGAGTGAAATGACAACCTACAGAATAGAAGGAGATATTTGCAGATTATATATCTATAACATATGAAGTACCCCTACAACACAACAACAAAAAAACAAACAACCCAATTCAAATATGGGCAAAAGACGTGAAGAGACATTTATCCAAAGAAAATATGCCAACGGCCAATAGGTACATGAAAAGATGTTCAACATCACTAATTATTAGGCAAATACAAATCACAACCACAATAAGATACCATTCACACTCACTAGGATGACTATTATTTCAAAATTGGAAAATAAAAAATATTGGTGCGGATGTGAAGAAATTGGAACCCTCATACGTGGTGGGCAGGAACATAAAATGGTGCAGTGTTGTGGAAAACACTTTGGTGGTTTCTAAAAACTTAAACACAGGGCTGGGCGTGGTGGCTCACGCCTGTAATCCCAGCACTTTGGGAGGCCGAGACGGGTGGATCACCTGTGGTCAGGAGTTCGAGACCAGCCTGGTCAACATGGCAAAACCCCATCTCTACTAAAAATACAAAAATTAACCGGGCGTGGTGGCGGGTGTCTGTAGTCCCAGCTACTCGGGAGGCTGAAGCACGAGAGTCACTTGAACCCCGGGGGACAGAGGCTGCAGGAAGCCGAGATTGTACCACTGTACTCCAGGCTGGGCAACAGAGTGGGATGAAAAAAAAATAATAATAAATTAAGCACAAAATTATCATAGGATTCAACAATTCTGCTCCAAGGTATATACCCAAAAGATGTGAAAGCAGGGACTCAGAGACGTGTGTACACATATGTTCACAGCAGCATTAGTCACAATGGCCAAAAAGTTAAGACGGCCCAAAGGTCCACCAAGAGATGGAATAAATAAGATGTGATGTATGCACACAATGGACTGCTCATCCTTAAAAGTTTTAGGAACCAAATTCTGACCATGCCACAATACGAGTGAACCCTGACACATTATGCCAAGTGAAAGAAGCCACGCACAAAAGGACAAATACAAGTCCATTCACAGAAGGGCCCTAGAGGAGTCAGATTCGCTGAGAAAGCAGAATGGTGAATGGTGGGTGCCGCAGCCAGAGGGAGGGAAACAGGATTGTTTACTAGGTATGGAGTTTCTGTTCGGGAAGATGAAAACGTTCTGGGAATGGATGGTGGTGATGGTTGCCCAACAATGGGAAAATATTTACTGCCACTGAACTGTGCGCTTCAAAATGCTTAGAATTATAAATTTATGTTATGTATATTTTACCACAATAAAAAAGCATGATGAACAAAGAAATTAATATACATGTTGGTAGACAGAAACAACACCCAAGTGTTATTTCAAGAATTAAAAAGAAATATGTTATTTATTAAAAGAATCAGGGATTGCTTTATTAACTGATATGAAATAATCTTCAAGACAGAATAAATGGCAAAGCAAGGAGTTGGAAGAAAACAACAGATGGCAGTATGTTTTAAACTCTCTATGATTTGCTAGATACTTCTGGGGCCATGGGCATCCCAGCGAGCCAGCAGCTGGCTGCTTCTCTGGTCCGAGACCCCCACATCCACCGCACCTGAGGCCTCTCTGAATGCTGATGGGAGCCTGTGGGGCAGTTCACATGCCACCCCCAAGCACACAGAGGTCACCCCTGTCATACTGCTAAAGAGAAGTGCACAACAGGCCCAGGGGTACGACCTTCCCAGGCCATGAGTGCAGGCATGAGAGGCACAGTCTGAACGAGACCACATCACTCACTGGCGGTGCACCTGTTTCTGGAAAAAAACCCTGACTAGGATGATTCACCAACTGCCTTCGCTGAACAAATGTTTCAGAATCTGAGAAGCAGAGCCCCAAGGAAGCCACAAGAGCCTGGGGTCAGAAGGCGGCAGCCTCGCCTGGCTCTGCTGGCAGCTGGGTTTCCTGGGGCACCTGGCTTTGCCCTGGGAGCCTAGCCGTACCCACCTGGGAGGGAGGGTGTGCCTTTCCCACGGGGTGGCCCAGGGCTCGGCTGAGCCAATGGCATGAATAAGGCAAGCCGGGGCCCGATGAACGTTCCTCCCCTTCCCCAGGGGTTGGGAGGCACCCCCATGCAGCTCAGAAACTGGGGCCCAGGTCCCCTGCCCTCAGAACCTGCTCTGCAGAGCCCAGGTGTCCAGCGAGTGAAACTCAGCTGTTCTGCCCCTCAGCTACAATACGGAAGTCTTTTCTCAATTTTACACACAAAGTTAATTATCGTAGACAGCCTGGACTTTTTTTCATTCATGAAACTCCCTTAAATTTGGTTCATACCACAGTTTATGTGCATAGGCAGAAAACAAGTCGAAACTGCAATCTTGAAATCAGACGCTAGCCCCCAGCCAGCCAGCCCAGACTTGGCCCGGGACTGCCCTTCTGCCTACAGGGCTTTCCCAGAGAGACTGCCTGGCTCACAGGATGGGACTCAGAACCAGGGCCTGACAGCCTCCCCAAAGCGTGCCTGTGCCCTGCAGGCCCTCGGAAACCCAGAGCAAGCCTAGAGACACCCTGGCCAAATTCATGGGCATGGCCAAGCCCTGCCTGGTTCCTGGCCCACACTGCTCCCTGCAAGCTAACATCCAGCAGAGGCCCCTGGACAGTCTCTGGACAGTCTTCCTTCCCATGCTCTCCCCGCATACACACCATCCAGGGGCCTGGGGTGGCTGCCATTTCTTCTGAATGTCTGTACAGGCCCATGCCTGGCCCTGTCCACAAGGCCCCTCACTGCACATCCCTCCACATCTGCCAGTGACTGGTCCCCGCCCTGAGCAATGTAAGCTGGATGACACGCTGAAAGCCACACATTCCCACCATCCACCTATAGCAGGGGCTCAATCAATACTTGCCAAATGCCTGAATCAGCCCTGAAATGACTGGAGGCCCAAGTTCTTTCTTCTAGCCACCCTGGAGGAGCCCTGGCGCTGGCCCAAGTGTGCTCCCCGGTAACCCAGGACTGTGGGGAACCCAGCTCCCAGGCTTCTGGCCTCTTCACGGGTACCCCAGATGAAAAATGTTCTACAAAAACAAGGGCAGGATGAATGTAGTCCGGGACCTCCTGACGATCTCAAACGCTGCTGAAAAGGCCTTAAGATGAGGTTTGCTGTGAGCAACAGGAAGCATTCTGTAAGGCATTCTGTCCTTGAGATCTGGACAGTGAGGTACTTGCTGTCCAGCCCCTGAGTTTCCCAGACCTGAATGTAACACTGTGCAAGCCTCACACACAGGGATCTTTCTTAACCCCTACAGAATGCCCACTGGAAGGAGGCAAATACTCCCAACGAGGAAAACATCCTATCCATGAGAGTGGGGAGCTGGTGGGGGAGGAAAAAGAAACACCAAACATTTCAGGAAATAAATCACATCTGTGCCCGGCATCCTCCCCCAGCGAGCACAGCACACATCCGAACTGCCAGGCTCGGCACCTCTGAGAAAAGGACTTTGTCGGGTGCAGCCATACGCCTGACCTCTCGGGCGCCCGCTGGCCCTCTTTATCTCCAGCAGCCCAGCCCGGAGCTCAGAGGGCAGGCCAGCCCTGGCCAAGAGTCAGGAGCGGTGGAGCTGGGCTTGGTGTTTATGTCTGATCCAGACAACTGGGGGTTTATGACGATTTACTGACGCAAGAGCTCCCCGAAGCAGCATGCCAGAAATTAATCAAGGGAGGAGGAATTCTTTTTAAGAAACCACTTGGCTGCTGCGAACCTGCCTGAAAGGCTGGGAGTGTAAGCTGAGCTCCTTCCTCCAGGCCCAGGCCACCAGGCAGCAGCAGCACACCCAGGACCCACAGGCAGAGCCCAGGGCCAACTCCTGGCCCCAGATGGAGGCAGGCGGCATGGAAGGTCCTGCAATGCCAACCCCCCACATCCCCCCCAGTGCAGCTACCTCCCCACCAGCCGATCCTGGGCTAGCCCACTCCCAGAAGGACTCAGAAGGGGTCCACGGGGACCCCACCAGCTGTGCAGACCCCAAAGGCGGGTCCTCCTATTGGAATGACAGGAACCCTCCATTATCTGCTAGTAAAATTCCTTTCTCAGGAGTTGAGTTTTATGGTTTACCATCACTCATCACCAAAAGAGAAAAAAAGGTAAAACATACAAGTTTGATTCTGCCCCGTCATCTCAGTGAGACAGGCACAGCCTCTGCAGCAGCAGCTTGGGCTGGGAGGGCAGGGGCCACGTCGGGCCAGCAGCTCCTCTCCAGCTTTCTGCACACCCCTCCTCCCACCGGGACACCCCTCCTCCTTGCTCCCCCATTCCTGCTCCGGCTGGGGGAGGGAAGCTGGCATCACACAGACACCCGTGCTCCATTTGTTTTGTGATCTGATGTCCAAGTTATTCTGAAATTTCAAACACTGAAGGACACAGGTTATTTATATTTATCAAAAAGGGCATGAGTCTGACAAGGCTGACTAAACTAAACCTTGCCAGACACTCAGGGCCTGGGCTGGGCTACAAAGGGTTCTGGATCCCAACAGGAGGACAGCAGCTGACATCCCTGGGCAGGAACAGGCGCTGGGCTCCGTGCCTGCCTCACTGGATCTTCACGACAACCCTATAAGGTGAAGTCTCTTAGGAGCCCCATGTCTCAGAGAAGGGAGCAGAAGCCTAGTGGGAGGCGGCCACGGGTGTCTGTGTGATGCCAGCTTCCCTCCCCCAGCCGGAGCAGGAATGGGGGAGCAAGGAGGAGGGGTGTCCTGGTGGGAGGAGGGGTGTGCAGAAAGCTGGAGAGGAGCTGCTGGCCCGACGTGGCCCCTGCCCTCCAAGCCCAAGCTGCTGCTGCAGAGGCTGTGCCTGTCTCACTGAGATGACGGGGCAGAATCAAACTTGTAGGGGCCTGGATCAGCGGCCACAGAGCCGATGGCCGGAGGCCGTATGCAGGCCAGGTACAGCTGCCTGGAGAGCCATGGGAGAGCCACAGGAGAGCCAGAGGGACACTGGGAGTGGTGCCAAGTGGCCCAACTGCCAGCTTTCCATAGGAGCATCGGGAAGGGGAGGTCCAACCAGGCCCCAGGGGGACCCTGTGCCAAAGGAAGAGATGCCTCACAGGAGACCCCGCGAGGGAGTGGCAGCTGCTAACCCTGCCTGGTTCCAAAGGCCTGAGCAAGGGCCACTGGGGCCTGCAGCCAGCAACCTGGCAATCAGGACTGCAAGAGGGCGACAGGAAGGAGTGTGGCTCACCAAGGACACCTGAACTCTGGCCCCACCGAACACTGGCCTGGACTTCCGCTCCAAGAAGCTCTTCTCCACCAACACTGAACAGGCTGCCAGTGACCGCGCACAGTGGTTGAAGGCAGCCACGTGGCAGAAGTGGCACAGGTCAGCCAACCTTCACACTCTGTTTTCTTATCTCAGAGGAGGATGCTGATTCTGACAAACAAAATGGCTGCTTCCCCATAATGCTAACATCCCCTGGTCATGAGGCCTGGCCTTCTACAGGGAGAAAAATCGCTGGCTTCCTTACTAGACTATCTGTAATTCAATGTGTCAATACAAGTATATTTATCTTTAAATGTTTTAAGTGAGCAATTATACTGAATAAAATATACTTTTAAACGTAGTATACTAAACGTGGTATTTGTAACCCAACCACTTTGGTTTAATGTGGCAAAAGAGATCTCACCCTCAGCCTTCTCCATCCCAAAAAGGCCACTGAAGAGGACAGGCTGTGCTGCCACCCCAGCCCCACATGCCACGCTGCTGACACAGACCTGCTGCCCTGTGCGTGCGCATTCCCAACCTGCCTGACCTTGGCTGCCCGAAATTCGGAGTGGGGAGGAAGGCAGATATGCCTGAATACAGCCCAGAGGACATACTGAGAGAGCGGCCAAGTGAAGCTCTCAGCCTGCCCAGGAGGAAGCGGGGCTGATGGGCCATCGGAGCAAAGCGCGGCCAGCACTGTCGTGACATTGATGGCACGAAACTCAACGTCCTGCACATGATTCCTAAAGCTAAATCTGGAATGAATTCTTCCTTCATATTCGAGGGGAAAACGGTAAAAGCCACGAGAAGGAGGCAGGATGGGGGAGGGAAGACAAGCAGGAAGGGGTGGGGTGGCCCTGCCCACTGCATTTCTGGTCAGGGAGATTTTAGAGCATTTATAAGGTGCGACATAAATCACCTCATAAAATATCTGAATAAAAGTGCTATAAGAGCTGCTCAAGGCTGCAGATATATTTCAGTCCACTTTAAAATATGCCCAACAGTTATTTTACTGCAACATAAAGATGAATGCAAGCCTGGAAAGCAAGCTGGGACTCGTGAACTAAGCCGCCCAGATAGTGAGTTCTACGGGGGAAGCCTTCAGGAAGCACACACGGGCCAGGTGAGCGAACTGCAATGACACGTCGCCAGGGCTGCACTGGACCCACCGTGCGGGGACTGCCAGGTAAACCTCAGCTTCCACTCTGGGCTACAGCGGGCCATACTAACCCTCCAGCCAGGAACACAGAGGACAGGATGCAATCTAAAACACGGCGATGCACGAGGAGCCCAGGCCTGGGAGAGAAGGGAGGTGGAAAGAGGGCACACTCGGCCCGCGTGTCCTCCAGAGGCTGAGGAGCGGAGCAGCACCGGACGGCTCGGACCCTGGGAAACGAACGCCAGACTGAGCGTGGGGGTGAGGAGAGCCCCGTGCCAGGAGTGAGGGCAACACGGACCTGACCAGTCCTCACAGAATCCGCAGCTTGAGCGTAAGAAGGGATACAAGAGGGAAAGGTGGACATTTCACAGTAACAAAAAGGCAGTTATTCCAATTTTATGGAATAATTTTATGCATAAAATTCTAAATCTGCCTAGGCTTAAAATAGCTTCAAAATAAACAAAGGCTAAACCTGACAGAGCTAAAAAGAGAAACAATGCCAATCCACAGTTACATCAGGGGGATTTTAATATTCCATTCCCACTATCTGACAGAAAAGCAGACAATAAAATAGTAAAGATAACAGGAGATCTGAGCACAATGATTAATTTGATTAAATGGACATGTAGAACTGGCAAATCTCCACGGCTGACTTCTTCTCTTCAAGTATACATAAAATGTTGACAAAACTGACCATATAATCAATAAAGCAAAATTCAAAGAATTTCTAAAAACTGAAATTACATAAAATGAGTGACCACAGTGAAATTAAACTAGAAATCAATAACAAAATGAAAGCAAAATACTAGCAAATTCATAAAGCACTGAAATTTAGAAATATATTTCTAATTAACACAAGTCAAAAAAAGAAACTAGATAATATTCTAAACCAAATTATAATTAAAATGACATTAAAAAGCTCACATAATCTAGCGAAAGCCATACATAGGTGGAAATTTATAGTTTTAAGCACGTGGATTACAGAAGAAAGTCTGAAAAAAAAAAATCAGTGATCTAAATATTTACCTTAATCAGTAAAAACAACAACCCCAGCAAATTAAATCCCAAAAACAAAAATAATAGCAATAAGAACAGAAATTTATTTTTTTAAATTCAATTTTAAAAAATCAAGAAAACCAAACACAGTTCTTAAAAAATATTAATATAATAAATAAGCTCCTAGCAAAGTCCAATGAAGGAAAAATGAGAGAACAAACAATATCAGGAATTTAAAAGGGGATGACACTACAAATCCTACAGTCATTACAAAGATAATGAGAAGGTATTTAAACAACTTTATTTCAATACATTTGAAGATGCAGATGGAATGTAAAAAATTCCAAGAAAAACTAAACACACAAAAACTGACACAAGAAAATCTTAAAAATCTAAACAGTCCTATATCAGTTGAGGGTGTAATTTACAAATCTTCCCACAAAGAAAACTCCAAGATAAGTTCATAAGCAAATCCATCCCAACTTAAGAAAGAAATAGCATCTTTCCTACATAAACTCTTCAAGAAAATCAAACAGGTGTCAGCAAACTATGGCCCATGGGCCAAGTACAATCTGTGGCTTGATTTTATATAACCTGAAAAATAAGATGGGATTTTACATTAAGTGGTTGGTAAAAAAAAGAAGAAAGAAAAGAAAAAAGGGAAAAAAACGTGCAATAGAGACCATATGTGGTCCACAAAGCATGAAGTCTTTACTGACTCTCTACAGAAAAATTTTGGCAATCCTAGGAATAGAAGAAGAAAGCAACTTCATATTTTAAGAGATTAGTATAACTTTAATATTAAAATGTGACAAAGCATTTCAAGAAAAAATAACACGTCAATCTCATATCTTTAGATGATAAAAATTAAACTGACTATAAGCAATGTAAATTCAACAGTATATAAAAAGAATAACACATTATAATAATTATTACAGAAGTGTAAGGTTGACTTAACATTCAAGTCAATCAGAAAATTCAACACAATAAAATAAAGAAAAAAAGCATAAGACTATTAACAGATGCAGAAAAAGTCTAATACATTAAGTTGAACCAAATGAAAATACCATTTTTTGTAGATGGAAAAAGATCAAATATCTGCAATTTCACATGACTCCATCTAATATTTTAACAGCTGCTTATCAGAAAAACTCAGCAAACTAAGAACAAAAGTAAACTGCATTCATCTCATGGACTACACAGAACTTATAGCAAATTTTATCTATAATGATGAAATACTAAAAATTTTTCTCTTGATATTAGAATAAGACATAGATGCCTACTACTACCAATGACTGATATAGATGCCTACTATTACCATTTGACTGAAGGTCCTAGGCAGTGCAGCAAAGCAAGAAAGACATAAAAGTTTTAAAAATTAGCAAAGAAGAAATGAAACATTCACCGTCCATAGACAATATGCATTAAAAACCCAAAAGAATATATAGATAATGAGTATAATAATAAACACTGTGCGAGGTATCTGGAGACACGACAAATATACAAAAATGAATTGTGCTTCTAAACATTACAAAAATAAAATTCCCCCAACAAAACAGCATAACCTAGAAGTAAATCTAACAAAAGAAATAAAAGACCTCTAGGCCAGGCACGGTGGCTCATGCTTGTAATCCCAGCACTTTGGGAGGCCGAGGAGGACGGATTGCTTGAGGTCAGGAGTTCGAGACCAGCCTGATCAACATGGTGACGCCCCGTCTCTACAAAAAATAGAAAAAATTAGCCAGGCATGGTGGCATGTGCCTGTAATCCCAGGTACTCAGGAGGCTAAGGCACGAGAACTGCTTGAGCCTGGGAGGCGGAGGTTGCAGTGAGTTGAGATTGTGCCACTGCGCTCCAGCCTGGGCAGCAGAGCAAGACTCCATCTCAAAACAAACAAATAAAAAAAAACTAAGACCTCTATACTGAAAATTACAAAATATGATCGAAAGAAATTACAGATGCTCGAAAAAAATAGAGAGACGTAGCATATTCGTAGATTAGAAGACTCCTAATAAACTGATTTCATATGCAAATCAGTGGATCCCAATTGAGACCACAGCAGGTATTCTGTTGAAATTGAAAAGCTGATTTTAAAATTCATATGGAGGCCGGGCGTGGTGGCTCATGCCTGTAATCCCAGCACTTTGGGAGGCCGAGGCAGGTGGATCACAAGGTCAGGAGATCAAGACCATCCTGGCTAACACGGTGAAACACCCCCCTCTACTAAAAAATACAAAAAAATTAGCTGGGCATGGTGGCGTGCACCTGTAGTCCCAGCTGCTGGGGAGGCTAAGGCAGGAGAATGGCGTGAACCTGGGAGGCGGAGCTTGCAGTGAGCCAAGATCGTGCCACTGCACTCCAGCCTGGAAGACAGAGCAAGACTCCATCTCAAAAAAAAAAAAAAAAAAAATCCATATGGAAATGCAAAGGGCTAAAAAGAACCAAAACAAGCTTTGAAAAGTTTTAAAAAGTTGGAAGACCTACATTATTAGATACTATGGTTAACTGCAAATCTATTAGTTAAGACAGTGTTGCACTGGTACACAGATATGCAAACAGACCAATGAACTAGAATAAAGTGCAAAAACAGATCCATTTATATAATTTATTTCACTTATGACAAAGTTGCATTGGATAGCAGAGAAGAAAGGATGACTCTTTTAAATAAATACTGTTAGGCCAACTGAATTTCCAAACGGAAAAGTAACTCTCAATCCCTACCTCACACATAAAAAAAAAAAAATTCCCAGTGGATCACAGATCTAAATGAGTGATAGAACAATGAAGTTTATCAAAAATAATATAGAATATCTTCAAATAGGCATAGATAAAACTATTAAATTGGACTATTAAAATTAAGAGCATCTGTTCAGCAAAAAAAAAAAAAAAAAAAAAACACCATTAAGAAAGGGAAAACGCAGCACACACATAGAAAATAGCAACAAACAACAAAAAGCTCATTCATAGCCAGTGTACAGAAATAGCTCCTACAACTCAGTAAGAAAAATAAAGACAAACCAATTTCTTAAATGAATAGAAACTTCTCCACCAAAGATGACATCTAGTTGGTCAATAAACGTATGAAAAGGTATTCAACATTTTTAGTAATCTGGGAAATACAAATGAAACTACAATAGTTAAAATGAAAAAGAATTACAGTACCATGTATTGGCAAGGACAGAGCAACATTCTATAGGTCAGAGTGTAAATTGGTACAATCAATTTGAAGAACTGTTTGGCACACATACACCTTATCAAAAGAATTGCATACTTATATGAACCAATTGAAATATACAAGAATGTTACAGTAGCATTATACATAATTCCAAACTGGAAACCACCAAAATGTCATCAGCAATTGAACCAATAAATAATTTGTGATATGTTCATACAATGAAATATTATATACCCATTAAATGAAGAAACTACTACTATAAGCCACAATATCAATAAATCTAACATATTGTCAAGTGAAATAATCCAGACAATAAGAATAAGTATTACGTGATTTATATGACGTTCAAAACCAGGAGAAACTCATGTTAGAAGCTAGAGAAGTGGTATCTAGAGGGTGTGAGAGTGAGGGTACAGTAACTGAGAGAGGACATATACGGGGCTTCTGGGTGTTGGGATGTCCCATTTCACAATCTGGGTAGCAGTTACAGGCATCTTCCTTTTGGGAGAGTTCATCAAGCTAAGCAGTCATGATTCTTGCACTTTCCTGGATGCCTGTGATACTTCAGTTAAAAAGTTCACTTAGACATTGGCGGTCTTCAAGGCTACATGTTTATAATAACAACAATGGAAAGGCTGAAAACAAACTCCCTGTCCACCAACAATGACTTGTTAAGTTACTCTACCACATCCATGCACAACCATAAAAAAAAGAGTCCCCAAAGGAAAAACTGTAAAAGCTAGGTGCTAAAGTAACTACAGTATACAGCCATTCATGAACAAACATTAAGCAAAAGAGAGTATCTATAAATGTACTTCATTTTGTGAACTCAAAATTCTTGACATATTTTATTAAAACTTGAGTAGACAGTAGAGAGAGCTGCCATATACCCTACCAATACCACCTGCACATTCCCCGCGATTATTAGCATCCTACCTTACTACGGTATGTTAGTCACAATTGGGAACCAATACTGACATTACTGTCATTAACTAAAATTCTAGAGTTTAGGATTTCCTGAAGTTTCCCACTAATGTCTTTTACTGTATTCCAAGATCCATCCAGGATCCCATCCAGGAATTCCACATCACACTTAGGTGTCGCATGTCCTGAGATCCCTCCTGGTGGTGACAGTTTCTCAAAGGATGCTTGTTTCTGATGACCTTGGCATATCGAGTGGGCCTGGCAAGAGTAGACTGTAGGAAGGGTGTCTACTGGAATTTGTCTGATGTTTTTCCCATGGTTGGACTGGGGCTATGGGTTACTGAGAGGAAGACCACGGGGGAAAGTGCCATTCTCATCATATGAATTGATTTTTAAACACATGGACTAGAATTAACACACACCCACTCCACTAAACTGGTTTTACTGAACAGCAGGTTGTCACACAAACGGCTCCAAGGGAGGGAGTGGAGGAAATGGCAAGGCTCGGAGACACTGCTGTCAGATGCACGTGAGACTCAGCTGTACTCACCGGCGAAATAAACGTTTTGGCTCCGGGAAGGCAGAAAACGTCCACTTTGAGAGAAACTCACACCCTGCATAAGCCACTAACCGGTGGGGACTCCCACGCCACACATCGCACCAATACAAGCTCCATTCACAGAAAACCCCACTGCAAGTCGGTTATCGCTGCAAACTTCCTCTCTCTAACAGGAAGAAATCAGGACTCACGGGAGTAAGCAAAATGAGGCCTAAATCCGGCAAGCGAGGAAATCAAACACTTCCATCTTAATCACATATTATAGCGATGAGCAACCGAGTCAGATGGCCGCTGCTGGGTTTGACATTTTGTGGCTCTTCCTTTCCTCTGAGCTCCCAACTTGCTTCCAAGAATGAGGATAAATTAACATCCACATATCTGACCAGAGCCAACTTCTGCTCCCAAACATACGGCGACGGGGGAGACAGGATGCACCCAAAGTGGCCCCTGGCTGTGCGTGACAAAGCTTTCCAGGAACAGAGCGAGCCAGGCAGGACAACCGGCTTCGGCTGAGATCTGCAGACTGGGCCCTGGCAGAATAAATGAGCGGACTGGACCCAGTCCAGGCTCGGGACAATTACAAATAGCAAGAGAACAAGAAATGCTGGCTTGTTTTTGTACACTGCTATCTCTTCGGGGGCAGAAAGACAAAGAAAAAGGGGAGAAAGAGGTGGATCTGGTCTGGAAATCCCAGGAAAGCCAGGCCATGCAGAAGGCATCCCCCAGCACACCGAAAGCCAGGGAATCTGCAGCCTTGAAGGTGAGGCTCAGCCCCGCCCACCAGCCAGGTGCAGAGGCTGCTCAGAGAGCACAGGCAGGTACTCCAGACAAGCACAGAGAGACAACTCCGCTCCCAGCTGGCTTGGTCTGTGCCACCAGCTGGACGTGTTTTATCTCAGTCCCAAAATGCACGGTTTCTAGACCTCCCGTGGCACCTCTCTCGCGACTCAAAGCCAGTGCAGTGAGTTCCTGGAGGCCCATGCAGCTTCCTATCCACCACGTCCCTCACCACCCTCTAATACAACTGGGGCAGCGGCAGCCTCTACTCGTTACCCTCTCCTCCCGCTTCCCTTCATTCCATCAGTGCCCCAAAATCCCTATTACAGGAGGCCTTGTCTGACCCCTGCAGCAGCCCAGTTATCCCTGAGATTCTCACACCGACCTTCGTCCAACCCCCTAGTGCAAACATCAAATGACACCTATTAAAATTGACACACTAAAAGAACGGCTGCATCTGAGCTCAAAGTTTATTCACACTGAGCTTTTAAAATCCAAAACTACCATTTGATGTTCAAAATTTAAATAGCCACTACATAAAATAGGAAAAAATAAATTCCTTTTATTTTTCTAAGGGAGTTCTCCAAATCCTCAGCAGCTGCTATGAGATTCCCGTGGATTTTTAGGTACAAAGTTCAGACTGAGAGGACCACAGTATTCAATGAGATTCTGAGCTCAGTCCATCCAGAAGATTCCATAAGCATCCAAGGCAGAAGTGAGATTCAGCCACCAACCACATTTCAAAAGCCACTGGTGGAGGATTCCAGAGCAGGTGTCATCCAGGGCTCAGGGCCTCCAGGCTCCCCCCAAGGCTGAGATTCTACCAAAAGCGTAGGTTCGGTTCCCCAGTGGCTGAGTTTTGTTTCCGGAGAGCATGTGTGTTAAACTGACTTGAAAGGTATCCAAAGAAACTGTGAAGGCAGAGGTCATCTGTATTTAAGAAAACTATGTATTTAGTTTACATAAAATCAGAAAATACAGAATCTGGCTTTGAAGAAAACAATGGTAAAGATGTTATATTGACAAGTAATTTTAACCAATGTCTCTGAATGAATATACCAACTCAGATACATCAGCCACCTGCTGTTCCTATCCAGGTGAAGGCCGGCTGCCCTGCCCTCCCCTTCTGTCATAAGAGGGTCTGGGGTTGCCTGTAAACACAGGGCTGCCCCACTGCTCACTGTCCCAGTGAAGTCCTTTGCTCTGCCAGTTTCCATCAGCTGCAGGGCCAGGTGCCGACAGAAGGCAAAAGTCAAAGCCCAGTATCTTTCTAAAGAAACAGGGCCCGATGAAAGGAAGCAACCTCAGCCCCAGGAGGCAATGGGCCCAGTCCAGGTCACCCCGGACACAGAGCCACCCCTGGGCAGTGATCTCCCAGCTCCTGCCCCTGTCCATTCCCCAGGTGAAGCCTAAATGCTCTGATCTGGACATGGGTGAGGAGCACCAAAGCCATGCTCTCTCGGGTGATGTGAGCAACTCAACGGAGACCTACGTTGTTCTTTTGTTCATGAAGATAGTACTGAAGTTTGAAATAACATCCCTCAGCAGAGCTCCAGAGCAGAATCTTCCCAGAGAACCACACATGTGGCCCGCGGCCCCCTGCAATCTCCTGGCTAAGGCATTAAAAACACCATCTCCTTAGAAAATGCAGTCCTTGAGGCCACACCCATGCAAATCAGTCCACCAAATCCACTCATAACAGCATCCAGGTAACTTCCAAAGAAATGGAAACACTGATAAACACAAGAAACACCCTCCCCACATGTGATTCTCATGCATCAGGTCCTGCAGACCACAGAGAGTTCAAGGAAACCGCAGCCAAGAACCAAGAAAGCCACATCCATGCTCAGGCCAGGGCCACCGGCCTTTGTGACTGCTTCCCTCAGCAGAAGTGCTAGCAGCTGAGTAGGGAGACATCAAGACATCATGACAGAAAGAGGCTGGGGGCCTGAACACAAAGCAAGAAGAGTGGGATGTGTCCCCACCCCAGATACCCTCCTAGTTTCTAACACATTCAGGCCAGGATGGTCCCTGCAGCAGTTGGGGCATGGGGTCCTGCTGGTGCTGCTGCTCCCTCACCCCAGGACACCCCAGCTCTTCCCTGAGCCTCAGCTACACCAAGCCAGTCACAGGGCAGTGAGCTCAGCTGTTCACAGTAGGCTGTGCAAGCATGGACACAGCCCCACCCGTCTTCCTGAACCATCGAGAAATTACGTCTTACCAAATCCTACTGAGGACTGGCGAAGAACAAAAGGGAACCAAATCACAGATAGATGTGAAGGCAGATAGACAATTCAACTGTTCTCAGAAGCTACAGAGGGGCCCCAGTGGGGGCAGCCCCACTGAGCTCCAGTCTGCCACCCAAATGCCTGTTGGTGCATCTCCTAAAGGCTGGGCTGCATGGGACAGAGGAGGACCATGGTGGGGTGTCAGCACTTCCAGGCTGGGTACTCCATCGGTGCTGCTGCTTAGAGATGCCTCTGTACCCTTCCAGCTGTCAGATGGCCTCTGCACCTTATCATTCTGTTACAACAGCCTGGACATGGAGACACACACCATCTCTCAAAAACAGCCTTTGGGGATGCTCACGTGTATGTTTGTGTTCAGAAAAGAACCACCTGCCTTGAATGAAGCATCTGCTTCAAAGCCACAGGGCTCCCCGTGCTGAGGGCCACACTGAGAGGACATCTGTGCCCTGCAGTCCTCGGCCCAAGTCCACCCCTCCAGGCCAGGCACCCTGGCCCCATCCTGATGCTGCAAGACCAAGGATGAGAAGCCCACCAGAGATAAAGGGCACTGAAGATCTGGCCCCCTCTTCAGCAGTCACACCCTAGTCCCTGTCACTCAGAAAACTGGGCTCACTGCAGCACCCACTAAACATCTCTAAGGGGATCCTAACCTCCCATCTCCACCATCATCAGAGCCACCATTACCATCAAGGACTCGGCTTTCAACACGTACAATGCATCGGGCACTACAAAAACTAAAACTCCTCATCTCTCTGGTTTACCAACGAAAACCTCTGCTTTCCATGTCTCCAGTTTCCCCTAGGGCCTCCTCAAATGTTCTAGAACTCTTTTTATCCACTAGTACATCAGAAAGAAAAAATTAACCTTGCCTTCCTCCCTCCCCGATCCTTTCACAAAAACAAGGCAGTGCTATGGAAGCACATGAGAGAGACGTGGGGCGAAGGCCGCCTTTGCTCCCGCACAGCCACATTGAGACTGCAGGTGTTCAGGCAAAGACAGGGCCAGGCAGCACCTCGGTGAGCCTGCAGCAGGAAGGTTTGTGTTGTGCAGTGTCAGACCGGGATGAGGAGACAGGGCTGGAAGAATCAGCCCCACCTGATTTGGATTCAGTCCATGTGAAAACAAAGAGTGTCAAGAATTCTGCATCACACTACCTAACAGGGAGGGAGGAACTTCCCCTCAATACGGCCTTACCCTAGATGTGAAGAGGTGAGAAAGGCTTTCAGGACAACACATGGAAACCCTGAGTGTGCTCAGAACAGACTCCACATCCTTGCCTGAAACTCCAACAGCATTTCACAAACCCTACTGAATCAACAAGTCACTGAGAAACACAGTGTTAATAAGCATCCAATTTCTACATATTTCCTAGGAAAACTCATAGGTATTTAAAAAGGAATACCTTTGGCTATGAATGCAAACTAATTGAAAGAAAACCATTAGCTCTTATAATGAAAGGTATTCTCTTGGCTTTAGCAGCTGCTGTGGTCTGAATGTTGGCGTCCCCCCCAAAATTCACGTGTTAAAATCTAATACCCAATGTGACAGTATTAAGAAGTGGGGCCTCTGGAGAGTGATTAAGTTATGGACTCTCAGGAACAGGATTAGTGCCCTTATTATAGAGGTTCAAGTGAGACCCCTCACCCCTTCCAACAGGTGAGGACACAGCAAGAAGGCACCATCTGTGAAGCAGAGAGCAGCCCTCACCAGACACCAAGTCCGCTGGCACCTTGATCTTGGACTTCCCAGCCCCCAGAACTGTGAGCAAGAAATTTCTATTATTTACATATCATCCACCCTAAGGTATTTTATGATAGCAGGCTGAACGAACAAAGGCATCACCTAAACAACCACATTATGGAAGCAATCTTCTAAGAAAATGGTCTAAGCATTTTAAAATTTAAAATTAAAAAAAAAAAACTGGCTCCAATCACAAAACTTCTTTTAGGGAAAGGCTCTGAAGACAGTGGCTTCATAATAACAAATTCTGACATCTCAAGTGAATACAAACTCAAAGAGCTAATTTGAACCTTTGAGAATGTAGTTGTATACAGAAAAGAAAAAACTCCCCCAGTTAATGACCATCACTAAATAATGAACACTAAGACACACAGACCAACTTGTCCTAATTCTTTATAAATGCTATTTCAAATGGAACAAAAATAAGTACATTTAGGTCATTTCTGTATTTTGAAAAAAACAAATACGTTACAATAAGTTTTACTACTCCTTTTGAAAGTACAGAGTCTTGGTGAAAGCTAGGAAATGACAGTCATCCTGAACACTGTGTTTCAAGGTAATATCCCAACAGCTCTACAGCTGCCCGTCAGCATGGAACCACACTGGGTCCTGAGTCCGTGTTGTAGCACTGAAGGAAAGGCAGCAAGGGGACACTGGGCAGAGATGGAGGAGAGTACAGTGAGGGCTGAGGGAGATGAGGGAGCCTGGGGTCCAGTGAGAACAAAGCCACCATAAGCCAGCCGGGCTCAGGATCCTCACAGACAACCAAGAGCCCGCAGGCCCAGCGTCGTCTTGGAGGGAAACAGCCGCCTACACTGTCAAGGGGGCTCCCAAAGGCCTGGCTATGGGCTTCGGTCTCCAAATCAGCTGTGCCTAGCTCCCTGAGAGGCAGAATTTATCTTTTCTATTTGTATTTGTTTTCCTAAAAAGGGGGAAGGAGAGAGAAGCAAACATGAAAATAACGCCCCAAGGCCTCCATCCCCACCAATGCGTATCACTCCTGAAGGGCCAGCACTCCCAGTGTCTTACTGATTAGGTGGCTGAAAGCAAACCAGTTTAAAAGCTCAGGGCCAGATATAATTCAAAAAAGTTTAGGTATATGCCTCAGTTGATTTTTGTCTTAATTTTAATTTCTTAAAATTAACTGTAATTTTCATTATAATTTTCCCCAAAGTGCCCATTTTTTGCCATGTTCTCATGAAATAAACAAAGAGAAGGATGCTAAGTGGCCACAACGTGAAAGTTTCAGCCCAAATCTCAGAGTTCGCTTGGTTATGCCAATCACCCAGTCACTCCTTCAGTCCCAACATTCTAAGGACCGGCAAAGAGAGCTCAGAGAAAGTTCACAAAAAGACAGAGGAAGGACAGATGAAGTTCCCTGATGGCAAAACCCATGCTCGTTGAAACCAACTGGGACACAAAAAAGCCTACGTTGCAGGACAGGGCCCCAGCCGGCGGGGCAGGACCTGCGGGAGGCCCACCAACCCTCCTCACAAGGCTGTTTCAGCCTCAGGTCCTTTCTAGGGGACAGCCTCCCTTGGCCTCCACATCCCTCAGGGGGCTTCCATGCCCAGCCCATCCCTCTCGTGGCATGAACCACACTGGACCAGAGTGCCTGCTGCCCTGCCTGCCCTGCCTGCCCTGGCCAGGGAGCTCACACAAGCAGACAGGCTCAATGCCTCTCAGGTCCCAGGTGCCCAGTGTTCTGCCGCAGAGAGGCGCACACTCCTTGAGGGAAGGTGACCGATTCTAGCGGTGCCAGATTGGCCTCTGATGCGCTGCCCAGCCTCAGCCTACCTAAGCACTCGATAGCAGTAACACTGGTTTCCTCATCTACAAAACAGAAATAACGTGTCCAGCTCACGTCACAGGCTATATGCAAGCACAAATGGAGTAGCAGCAAGCAAAACTCAGAACAAACCTGCTGTTCATTTCGTTCTCTTAAACGCGCAGTGGGGTTGACTGAGCAAGCAAGTCATCAAGGCTGATGTATTATTATGATGAGTTTTGAACACCTATGGTCAAGTAGAGCCAGACCTTTGATGGCAGTAGCTCCCGCCTCACACAGCCTGGCACCCGGAGGCAGCCACGCACCTGCACACCTGTCCACGTGCGACCTGCCCCCACTGCCGGGTGCCTCAATCACAGCCTTTCTGTTCCCCGCCAAGCTGTGCTCAATGGTTTCTAATGATTCTCACACCGCGTTTTCTATGTCAAATACATACCGGGAGTTCATTCTTAAATTTCAATATCATTAATCATCCAACATTCAGCATCTCAGAACTCAGAAATTTGCATTTCTACAATAGTGGCTTTGAAAAAGGGACACAAATGCAAATGTTCCACAAACTGTGTAAGAATTTTCAGAGAATTGCCAAAACAAACCATCAATGCTCCATTGACAGCGAATTTTCTGAGCTCTTCATAATGACTGAGTACTCGTGATTTTTAAAAGACAAAACACAATTTGAGGATCAAAAAAAAAAGTAGGTTGAAAAATAAGTCCTTATGTCTACATGATTTCCAGAACAAACCTTGACTGATTAAGATCCCAGATAATGATGGCATGGAGAATCCAGGCTAGTGACAATCTGAGAGCTGCAGACGCCCCGTGCCGGGTGGCTGGGAGGATGCACATTCAGACAGGCGGTGCTGTGCGTCAGAAAACGTACACAAGTATTTTTGAAACCTTGCCTTTAGAAAGCGGAAGCAAGCAGTACATGGGGATCAAAAGCATCTCCCACCCCAACATCAGCCGGAACTATCCAGGCATTTCTGTTGTCCTTCTCTAAAACCTCCAGTTGATGTAGGGCTGGTCTACTCTCCCACGTTCTCGGGGTTCAATCTCACTCCCTCCTATCCAGAACCCCCAGGGCTGCCCACCGCAGGGGCCATGAACAAGCTCTTCTCCAGCTGGCACCAAGCATGCTCTCAGGCCCTGCCACCTTGTCCAAGCTCCCCTGGACTCCTGCCAGCTGGCTGCACCTGCTGCCTACACACCCCCTCCTCCTGGGAGCCCTCTTGGGCCTCCTGCAAAGCCACTCTCAGCTCCCAGGCTTTCTCATTACCTCCCGCCACCTTGTTTCTGAGCAAGGGCCATGCTCAGAATCTGCAACCCACCTGTCACCAGAAGCTCAGAATCAAGGTCTTGGGTTAATTGCAGGTCTTCAAAATTCCTTTTCTGCCCCTTAAAACTTTGTAGTACTCCTGGCCGGATACAATGGCTCATACCTGTAATCCAGGACTTTGGGAGGCCGAGGGGGCAGGATTGCTTGAGTCCAGGAGTTGGAGACCAGCCTGGACAACATGGTGAGATTCGGTCTCCACAAAAAATTTTAAAAATTAGCTGGGCGTGGTGGCATGCAGAGGTGCATGCCAGAGGTGGTCCCAGCTACTCGGGAGCCTGAGGTGGGAGGATCGCTGAAGCCCAGGAAGCTGAGGCTGAGGTGCATACCACCACACTCCAGCCTGGGCGACAGCAAGACCCTGTCTAACACACACACACACACCCAACACACACACACGGACACCCTAACACACACATACACACACCCTAACACACACCCTGTGTAAAACAACACTCTCAACCCTGTCTAAAAAACACACACTCCCTAAAACACACACACCCATCTCACACACATGCACTCACCCTAACACACACACCCTAACACACATACACACCGTCTAAAACACACACACCCCCGTCTCACACACATGCACTCAAACACACATACACACCCTAACACACATACACATCGTCTAAAATACACACCCCCGTCTCACACACATGCACTCAAACACACACACCCTAACACACATACACACCGTCTAAAACACACACACACCCCCATCTCACACACGTGCACTCACTCTAACAAACACACACATCCTAACACACATACACACCGTCTGAAACACATATACCACCGTCTCACACACTTGCACTCACTCTCACACACACATCCTAACACACATACACACCGTCTGAAACACACACACCCCCATCTCACACATGCACTCACCCAACACACACACACCCTAACACACATACACACCGTCTGAAACACACACACCCCCATCTCACACATGCACTCACCCAACACACACTGTCTAAAACACACACACCCTGTCTAAAACACACATACATACCTTAACACACACATATCCTGTCTAAAACACACACCCATACTTTAATACACAGACACCCACACCCTAACACACATACCACACCCTAAAACACAAACACACCCTAACACACACGCATACAGACCATACACACCCGTCTAAAACACACATACACACATCTTAACACACATCCTGTCTAGAACACACACCCATACTTTTAACACATAGTCTAGGACACACACACCCTGTTTAAAACACACATACATACCTTAACACACATCCTGTCCAAAACACACACCCATACTTTAACACACAGTCTAAGACACACACACCCTAACACATACCACACCCTAAAACACACAAACACACCTTCACACACACACACACACACACAGACCATAACACACACACCTGTCTAAAACACACATACACACCTTAACACACACACACTCTGTCTAAAACACACACCCATATCTTAATACAGTCTAAAACACACACACTGTCTAAAACACACACCCTAACACACACATACCCTAACACACACGCTCTAAAACACACCCTGACACACACACCCTGTCTAAACACACACCCTAACACATACACCGTCTCACACACACACACCCTGTCTAAAACACACACACACCACCTAACACACACACCCTGTCTCACACACACCCTATCTAAAACACACACACCCTAACACACACACCCTGTCTCTCACACACACACCCTGTCTAAAACACACACACACCCTAACACATACACATTGTGTCTAAAACACACACACGCACCCTAACACACACACCCTGTCTAAAACACACACCCCATCACACGCACACACCCTAACACACATACACCCTGATTCACACACATACAACCTGTCTAAAACACACACCCTAACACACACTCTAACACACACATACACACAGACACTTTGTGGTATTCCTGAGACATTCAACCACTGCAGAGCATTATTTAAATGCCATAAAAATGCATCTTTATGGATCATTTCTATATTAAAATATAATAATCTTGGCGGCCACAATAGTTAAAATAAACAGATTCAAGATCAAATAAAGTTAGAGCAGAACATGAGGACTGGAAGCAATCCCAGAGGAGAGCCTTCTCCCTGGACTCACAGGGTTAACACTCAACAGTGGTCTGAAGCAACTGTATTACCATGAACTCACTCATCACCAAGTCATTGTGGACAGAGACTTTTTAGCTGCTTTTATGTGGATGGGGGTAGCTCAGACTGAACAGAATATTAAGAAATCATAGAATGGCCCAAATGAACACACTGATCTTAAGTTACACACGTTTCCCACAAAATCCTTTTTTTTTGTTTTGAGACAACAGTCTTGCTCTGTCGGCCAGGCTACAGTGCAGTGGCACCATCTCGGCTCACTGCAACCTCACCTCCCGGATTCAAGCGATTCTCCTGCCTCAGCCTCCCGAGTAGCTGGGACTACAGGCGCGTGCCACCACGCCTGGCTAATTTTTGTGTTTTTAGTAGAGACGGGGTTTGACCATGCTGACCAGGCTGATCGCGAACTCCTGACCTCAAATGATCTGCCCACCTCGGCCTCTCAAAGCACGAGGATTACAGGTTTGAGCCACCGCACCCGGCCACTTATTTTGTTTTGAACTAAACATTATCCGTACCTCGCACCAAGATTCCAGGAGCGAGAGGATGCTCAAGTTACCGACCACTGCCTGCTCAACCAGCTTCCTATCGAGAGCATCATCCCGGTGACCATAGACACGTCCCAGCAAATCCACGTCCCAGCAAATGCACTGCTTCCTATCGAGAGCATCATCCCGGTGACCACAGACACGTCCCAGCAAATCCACTGCTTCCTATCGAGAGCATCATCCCGGTGACCACAGACACGTCCCAGCAAATCCACTGCTTCCTATCGAGAGCATCATCCCGGTGACCACAGACACGTCCCAGCAAATCCACGTCCCAGCAAATGCACTGCTTCCTATCGAGAGCACCATCCCGCTGACCACAGACACGTCCCAGCAAATCCACGTCCCAGCAAATGCACTGCTTCCTATCGAGAGCACCATCCCGCTGACCACAGACACGTCCCAGCAAATCCACGTCCCAGCAAATCCACTGCGGGGCTCCTTGACACTGAGAACTTTTCTGGGCAAGACTTTCTCTAGGCACGAACATTCCGGAAGGGAAAGTAAATGACACTGGAGGGACGGGGTAGTGTTAAGTGGGTGGCCAAGTAACAACGTCTGCCTTTCCTGCTGGCCAGTCAAGTCACCAGTATCCTAAGCCCTTAACCACAAGGAAAGACAAGGACAGTTACTTGGAGAACTGTCCTTGGAGGAAAACAAGGGAATGGGAGAAAAAAAAGGAGGCGTAGCTTGTCCTGCCAGCAGGCCCCCGTGGGCTTTCCGTCCACACTCCCGGTTTCATGCCAGGGACTCTGGCTTCAAGGCAGAGGCTCTGTGTCCTGACAAACGCATCCTGCCCTGCCACAGCGCATCCCCTCAGGGAGGGTGTGGAGGGCTGGCCGGGCAAGGGGCGTAAGGCTCCAGGGCCTCCTTTCAAAGGAGAGCCCTTCCAGGCTAAGTCAATCCAGGTTCTTCCCTCAGGCCGCTCACATCATTAGAAATCGTTCTTTAGAGCAATAAAATCCCAACAGTTAAGCAGCTTTGACGTCAGAGAACCAGGGCCTGGCTCTGGCAAAGTTCAGCGGGAACAGCAATAAAACCGTAACACAAAACTCACCCAGCAGCAGAGGACTTTCACAGAACACAGGAGAGGAAAGCCACACACACTGCACTAGAAGGGCACTTCATCAGCAGGGCAAAGCCAAGTCACATGACAAATGTGAGAGGGGGCCCATGGGCGGCTGGACTCCCCCAGCCCGGCCTGCCCAGGGAGTGAGGGCGGCACGGGCACCCACACCAGGCCACACAGGAGCAGGGCCCCCATGCCAGATGGGCAGGCAAGGGTGAGCCAGGCAGGCAAGAGTGAGCCGGGTGGGCAGGGCGAAGGACAGGGCCAGCTAGCAGAGGACGGCACGAGAGACACACGGAGGGAGGGGAGGTGCAGCCAGGTAGGCCCCGAACACCACGTTGCCAGGACTCGGCTCCTCGGCTCAAGGAAAAGGGACAGCGGTTCCGTGGCTGTGCTCTGACACACCTAGAAATTTCCCGCTCAAGAGAGCAAACTGAATCCTTTAGTATTAATGATTTCTCTTCCTCCCAAAACCCACTAAAATGATGAAAAGCAGGATTGGAAAGCACTTCCAGCAATGCCTGGGAGCGGACGGACAGGTGCATCAGCTGACAAGAAACACAGAGGAACTTCCCGAAACTAGAGATCTCTGGGGATGGAGCTGCTTGGGAAGGCACACAAGCGAGTGGGCCTCGCCCAGGAGGGAGGGCACGGTTCTGGGCAAGCCCCATCCCCCGCCTGAGACGTGGGCAGAGGCCGCTGGGCCACCAGCCAGTGTGTGCAGGTGGTGGTATGCACGTGTTGGGCACAAGGGGTCCTGCCTCCCAAGGGACCTCCGGGCGGAAGGGCAGACACGGCAGGGAAAGATGACAGCGGACAGGGCAGAGGAGGCAGCCAGCAGACTTCAGGCCCCAGGCAAACCACCTCAGCTGTACCCCCTGCACAGATGGAGAGCAGAGAATGGGCTGGGCCAAGGGGCAGCCCTGCCCTCACCAGTGCGGCCTGTCTTCAGCCTCCAACCCACTGAGAGAGAGAATGGAGAGGTCGTGGGTGGCAATAAGGCGCACACAACCCAACTCACATGGGCAGGACAGGCCCGGGCAGGCCGGTGATCAAACTGAACCGCAGCGGCTGAAATTCCCACAGAAAAGGCCAAACAAACCCAGCACCCCGCGGTTTCCAGAGCTGAGCCTCAAAGAACCCGGCCTGAAAAGGTTAGAGACAAGCGGATGGAGAAATATTTGTTAGCCAAAAGAAACCAAGGGTAGAAATACCTCATGAAACACTATAAGCTCTCGGTCAAAGAAACATTAAACAAAGAGAAATATATTATATTTTGATAAGAGACCTGATCTACCAAAAGAACAGTCATTAATTTTTAAGCTTTAAAAAAAAACACTGAACTATATAAAGCAAAAAATGGTTATTAATGTAAAAAGAATATTATAAGACTATAATCACAGTAGAAAAATACACTTTTCCAAGAAATCGAGCAGACAGAAAAAAATAAGTAAAGCTATACTGATTTAAATAACTCAACTGAGTTAATATATAATTAAAACAACATATAAAGAAAGGATACATATCCTCCTATATATAAATAAAATATATATAAATGAGAGAACTTTTTTTTTTGAGACGGAGTCTTGCTCTGTCGCCAGGCTGAAGTACAGTGGCGCAATCTCAGCTCACTGCAACCTCTGCCTCCCAGGTTCAAGCGATTATCCTGCCTGAGCCTCCTGGGTAGCTGGGACTACAGGCACACGCCACCACGCCCAGCTAATTTTTGTATTTTTAGTAGAGATGGGGTTTCACTATGTTGGTCAGAATGGTCTCAATCTCTTGACCTTGTGATCTGCCCACCCTGACCTTCCGAAGTGCTGGGATTACAGCTGTGGGCCTCTGCGCCCGGCCGAGAACTTTAAATACAATATTGATACATACATACAGACGTCTTTAGACTGAAACAAAATCCTAAGAGCATACTTTCTCTTCAAATGCCTGCAGAGCATGTACAAATTATGATTATGTGTACACCAAGTCATACAAAAATATGCACCCCCATTAAAATAATCAAGTGTACTCAAACAATAATTTTCCCATAGCACACTGACAAAAATGAGAGAGACTGAACCTACCCAGTGCTGGTACAGCACAAATGAAAAATATGCATCCTCTTACACTGGAATTAGGAAGATCAGTTGGAACGAGGCTTCTGGAGCAATTTGACAGTCAACCTAATGATGTTTTAAGTGCACGGGCTCACTGACCCAGCTTCCACTTCCTGGAATTTGTCTAGTAGTGATACTTAGAAGTTTACAAAATATATGTATAATAATTGTTTGATGCCAATTTGGAATTGGTATAAACACTGCTACAACCACATAAATATCCATTCGCAAGGTATCAAAAGAGCAAGTTATATTTGCACACATACTGATACCAAAAGATGCTTATAACACATTAAAATGGACAGAATGTAAAACACAGGGCCCTGCCTATAGAATTATACTCTATGAAAATGCTCACACACATCACACTATGTTTAGACACAGAAAAAAGATACACTCTCACCCAACAGCAGCCCAGTGTAGGAGGGAGAGAGCCAGCTCCATTCAATGTCTATTTAGACACTTTGAGCCATAGCGCTTAATTTTGTCTTGGAATGATCATAAACCATTTCTTTACATCAGTCAATACATAAACAATTTAACTCAATAAAACTTTCATATCTAAAAAAACCTGGAATCTTGCCCTCTGGAATTTTCAGACAAAGACGATTCCACCCAGGGAAAGATGTGTGTAAGCGTTCCGGCAATCTCAAAGAGAGTGACCCAGACAGACCCTGAGCCTCTCTGCCTCTGCTCTAAGGAGCAGGACCCAGAGCCAAGGCTAACAGAGCCTCAGGTGCCTGTCCAAGCGTCTGTCCAGTGGCCACCGTCTTCTCTCTCATGTGGACGCAAGACAGAAGTCGATGGCTAAGTGCCCTTGAAGGCCACGGTGCGCTGGAAGTGGCAGGAAGCTGGGCAGCACAGGACTGGCTCTGCAGGAGCCCCACACTCAGGCAGGTCGGCGGCAGGCCTCGAGGTTTCATTATGGTGCACGCTCTCGGTGACTTTCCAAGGACAGAAAGTGTGAAGTCGTAAATGGATGGGCCCATGACATGCTTCTGAAGCTCAGAGCAGGACAAGCTTGCTTCCCAATCATGTGGGTCCCCCACCTACCAGCTCTGTGACCTCAGGCAAATTACTTCTTCCCTCCAGGCCTGAGATGATCTGGGGCTGTACTAAATGCTTGTAAAATGCTTAGTGCAGCCCCTCACAGAGGCCCTCAAACACCAGGAGCAACTGTGGCCACGACCTCAGTGGGAACATGAGCTTCTTCCCAGACAGCCCAGACGCCCAGTTGGAGGAGCACTCCCACCCCTCACACAACCCCTCATGAAACAACAAAGACACTGGGCAAGAAACCAGCTCTCCACATCACAACCTGACCTTTCAACATCACCCTTGTCAAAAAGCATCGAGGAAACCTGTGTGCCTCTCAAGTCAGCCTGCAAACCGGGGTCGCAGACTTGACTCCACATCCTCCCAGGTTTTATCATTCTTCTTTCACCAAGAGGAAGAATAAACCATCCATTTTGCACTTTGTGCTGTCAAAAACCAACAGTGACCACTATCAAGAAAAACAAAAGTCTCAAATCCAGAAAGCAAGCTGCAGTCACAAGAACTTCTACTTTGGGCAAAGAAAGCCCCGCTGTGTGCCCAGAGAAGAAATGACCCGGCCTTACCTGGATGGCTTTGGGAGCTCATTGCTAGCAATGTCCACTCCTTTAAGTGATTCGAAATGGCTCAAAATTTCCACGGAAACGATAGCTCCAACGAGCTCCAAACTCCCACCAACACATACAAGTA
This sequence comes from Homo sapiens, assembly GCF_000001405.40. Taxonomy (NCBI): domain Eukaryota; kingdom Metazoa; phylum Chordata; class Mammalia; order Primates; family Hominidae; genus Homo; species Homo sapiens. The sequence goes on from NC_000002.12 coordinate 239,352,802, forward strand.
CCGGGACGGTGAGGGCTGGGTCACAGACGTTCAAGCGCCGAGCCTCGCCGGCAAGGTCTCATGAGCCAGGTAACCCACAAGTTGAACAGAGGCGTCCGCTGGCTTCTGCAGATGAACCTGCAAGGTCAGAAGGAGAAAAGAGACTGGAGTTACAACATGGAAGTTCCGATCTGGAAAACAACATCCAACTAGGGAAATGATGACTTCCTCTTTTTTTTTGGAGACAGAATCTTGCTCTATCGCCCAGGCTGGAGTGTGGTGGCACGATCTGGGCTCACTGCAACCTCCACCACCCCTGCAACCCTGGGTTCGAGCAATTCTCCTGCCTCAGCCTCCCGAGTAGCTGGGAACACAGGTGCATGCCACCAGGCACAGCTAATTTTTGTATTTTTAGTAGAAACGGGGTTTTGCCATGTTGGCCCAGGCTGGTCTCAAACTCCTGACCTCAAGTGATCCACCCACCTCAGCCTCCCAAAGTGCTGGGATTACAGGCTTGAGCCACCACGCCCCACCAACTTCCTTCTTTATCCTTGTTCTGACCAAGGACTGATAGAACAGTTCGACGGAATCATTTCTACAAATACGAGCAGTGGGATTTTTGTTAGTAAATCACAGACATGTAAAAATGTCTCCAGAGAGCAGGGTTTCTCAGCCTCAGTACCACTGGGATTTTGGTTTGCGTATTTAGGTGTTGGGGTGTAGGGCTGCCATACACATTATAAGATATTTAGCAGGATCCTGGGCCTCCACACACCAGATGCCAGCAGCATCTTCCAGGTCATGACAACCAAGAATGTCTCCAGGGAGTGCCAAAGGTCCTCTGGGGGATAATATCATCCCCTGGTTCAAAATATCTGATCTAGAGACACCTTCCTTACCCCTTCCAGAAGTTTCTCCAACATTAGGCTTTTGAAAGGAAGCAGAGTATCTTCCAACTAATATAAATTTATTCTGTCATATTAGCTTATGAAATAAATATGAAATAAAATGTTTTAAAAGAAAAATCACTTTCAGCACATTCCCACCACAAAATGTCATTACTGCACGCTTGCATCAGCCTGGATCCATAGACATTCGTAGTCACAATGTCTGTGTAATCACAGAATTTAATTCTAAAGTCCGCATTCCTCACGTAACATGATAACCTAAAATAGTTCCCTCATGTTTCTGTCTTCATAATGACCATTTTCTCAGGTTTTCATTTTCTGCTTATAAAAGCAATACATGCGCATCACAGGTTAAGTATTTAAAAAGTCATCCATGATGCCATCACACACAGACAAGCCCTTGGTAACATTCTGACATGCTTCCTTGCCGTTGTTTTTCTTTGCCTTTTGCCCATACGAACCTCTAGTGATACAGCTGTCTATCACGTTCTCTGTGCTGATATTACAGCCAGGCATTTTCCAATGGCATTAACAATACCTGGTAAGCTTCGTTTTGAAGGGCTGTTTCCTATTCCATGTGTGGATAGACAGCTGCCCCGCCCCACTTCAGGAGCTTCGGATGAGCCTGCTGCTCCCAGGGAAGTGTCGGGCCAAAGAGTGGCATGTGGCACCAGCTGAGCTCATCAAGTTCTCTTTCCAAGGCCTGCCTCTTCAATAGATCAGTCACTAGATGAACCCAAAAGAGACAAGTCTCAGCACTCCTACCACTGAGAGTCCCTGGCTGATCCCAGCTCAAGTGCTTTCAGAGGCTTCTGTGTTCATCTTTCTTTAAAAGTGTGACCAATTCCTTTTCTTGATTTAATTAGTCTAGAAATTTTTTTTTTTTTTTTTTTTTTTTTTTTGCCAATTGCTTATAACCAAAGAACTCTAACCAGTTCATCATGTAAAGAATCACCCCCGCCCCCAAGGCTGGCTATCTAGATGCTTTCCAACTTTATGTTCATTGTATCTACAACTCTGATTAATATCTTCATGACTGTTGTTCTGTATCTGGTTATCTCCTTAGGAATGACAATGACTTATTTGTCTTCAGGGTCAGAATGTTTATTCATCTCTTGGTCAGAAAGAGACATTTTCTTGAAGGGAATGTAGATGGCATATTTTTCAAACCCTCACAAATCTCAGATGACAGTATCCTTCACACAAAAAAACACATCTCAGCTGGGTATAAAAATCTTAGATCACAAATATGCCCCCCTCAAAATTTTTGGATGTCATTCCCCCCTCAACATTGTAGGGAAGTTTAAGTCCAGCTCAATTACAGCTTCTTTCCAGGTAAAACTTTGGGGGCCGAGTCTTGATGTTGTGGTTGTTACCATTTTCTTCTGCCTGGAATCTACTGGCATTTTTTTCTTGAATCTTAAAATTCAAAAACGTTGTCAGAAGATACATAAGTAAGAGTCTTTTATTTTGTTCAAAACATGACTCTTTCAACAAATATAGGTCTTCTTTCTGCTCAGGAAAATGTTCTTCAATTATGTCACTGATTATTATTTTTGTTAAACTTGTTCTGGCTTCTTCAGAGTTCCTATGCTATTTGGCTGAAGTCTCCCCATCAGATCTGGCCTCTTTCACCGGTGACACATCTGTTGTTTATTCTGCATTCCCAGGCAGCCTCTCAAGTATGTTCTTCACTTCACTGCTGCTATTTTCCACAATATCCATTTTATTCCTTATGGCTTCAAATACAGATTTTAACTAAGCCATGAACTCTTTGTTCTCAACCACTTCCCTTTAAACTCATCTCATCATCTTCTCACTCGGCCTAGTCCCTCCTCATACATCACCTTCTGCTTCTCTTTGTTGAGCCAGGTATTCTTCTAGCCAAAGCCTTTTGAAAATATTTTTTCCTGATTTAATTTCATTTTCAGAGGCATATTCTTCTGCACTTCAGGGTATTTCCCTCTTCCATACATTCTGGGATACCCTTTTTTTGACAGGTCCAAAGGTGAGGTTTGTTTCTGTTTATTTATCTTCAAATAGGAATAAGCTCTAGTCCAGACCTGAGGACTGCCAAGAGGCTATGTGTGCTCACTCCTACCCTGTTCTGTGTTCACTTTAATACTGGTCAATTATGCTTCTCAAAGCTATAATTCTGGCAAGCTGACATGCACGGTTCCTAGCCAAATGTCCAGTGTCTAGCAAGGTTTCACCTAACATAGTGCTGACAGCTAGAAACGGATTCTTCTCCCAACTGCAGATTCAATAGAGCACAGGCATTTTCACTATAATAGAAATGTTCTGGAAGAACCTCACGCTCTTGCAAAACTGTATACTAAAAACACAAGGGCTTATCTTAGAAAAAAGAAAAGTTGCAGTAGACTATTCAAAACTATGCTATTTCATCACCAAGGCATTACAAAAACATTACACAGAGAACATTACATTAAGAAAAACATCACATAGTTTTAAAAATATATATATAATAGTCCTGATCAATGAAAAGTCCAGTAAACATAGAAATTTACCTTTTAAAAAGGTGAAAACAGTTTGACGGAACAGTAAAAGGAAGAATTAAAGCATCTAAGTTGCAGAACTGGAGACAGCCAAGCCCAACTATATCAGTGAGCATATCAAACTGTCTCAACACCCCATTTAAAGGGCAGGGGTTGTCAGACTGGATAAAAAAGCGAGACCCTACTTTCCCAGAGTATAAAGAGGAATCGTGTGAGGAGGGACTAAAAAGCTTTTGGAGAGAGGAGGCTCTGTGTTTTATAACGTACAGTCAATCTTCCCCAAGCACTATACACCCAGCTATGTGCTGCCTACAAGAAATCTATCTTGTTATATTTAAAATATAGAAATAGATTAAAAGATGGACAAATGTATATCACATAACTAATCAAAAGAAAGCTGTAATGGTTATATGTATATCAAAGTAAAATTTAAAGAAAGAATACTACCAGCAATACAGAAGACCACTTCATAATGATAAAGGGGTTGGTTCATCAAGTGGGCACACAGTCCTAAACATTTATGCACCTGTTGGCAGGGCTTCATACTTGATGCAAGCAGTGTGCATAGGTATTCACTCACACCACGATATTTCCATATGAGTTTACATTTCAACAATCATGAGTCTATACCGAGACCTCAGATCCCAACATCACAAGGTATAAAATAAAATAATAATATAAAATAATAAAAGCATAAGAAGAAATGGACAAATCTACAATTATAACTGGGAATTTTCACACCCTGCTCTTAGTAGCTGTTAGAACAAGTAGACAGAAAATAAGAACAGAGAAGACCTGACCACTACCACCCAACTTGACCAAAATGACATTCATGGAACACTCCATAAACAACGGCTGAATACACGTTATTCACGTTCTTTTTTAAAAACACACACAGAACATTTACCAAGATAGAACACCTTCTGGGCCATAAAACCAGTCTCGAATTCAAAAGGACAAGTCAAGTCATACAAAGTATGTTCACTGACAAAACTGAAATTAAATTAGAAGTCAATAACAAAGATATTTGAAAATCCTAAGTATTTGCAAACACATCATGAATCAAAGAAAAAATTTAAAAGAAGTTAGAAAACATTTTGAAACGAATGAAAATACAACATAAAAATCTGCAGTGCTTAGGAGGAAACATAAGTACCAAATGCCTGTATTAGAAAAGAAGGCCTCAATTCAATGACCTTAGGTTTCACCTTAAAAAATTAGAAAAAGAACAAATTAAACTCAAAATAAGAAAAAAAAAACAGTAACAGAAGACAACAGAACAGAGAAAAATCAATGAAACTAAAAGCTGATTCTTTGAGACTATAAAATTGATAAACTTCTAGCAGAGCTGATAAAGAGAAAAGACAAAGATTAACAATATCGAGAATGAGAGAGGGGGCCAGGTGTGGTGGCTCACACCTGTAATTGTAGCACTTTGGGAGGCCGAGGTGGGGGGATTGCTTGAGCTCAGGAGTTCGAGAGCAGCCTGGGCAACATTGTGAAACCCTGTCTCGACAAAAAATAATAAAAAAAAATAAGCTGGGCATGGTGGTGCATGCCTGTAGTCCCAGCTACTCGGGAGGCTGAGGTGGGAGGATCACTTGAACCCGGGAGGTCAAGGCTGCAGTGAGCCAAAATCACGCCACTGTACCCCAGCCTGGGTGACAGAGCAAGCCTCTGTTCCAAAAAAAAAAAAAAAAAAAAAAAAAAAAAGAGAGTGGGAATTAACTACAGATTGCACAAATATTAAAAGGACAATGGGGAATATTATGAAAAACTTTATGCCAATAAATTTGACAACTTAGATGAAATAAACAAGTGCCTTGAAAAGCCCAAGCTACCGAAGCTCACTGGAGAGAGACACATATCAACACACGTCTTCGTGGGCCTGAATCCATCAGAGCAGCCGGGCTGTGACACTCACTGTCATGATGTTTGCCTAGTGGTGACATCCAAATCACCTCCTTTTTGCTGCACTTATTACTTAGAATTCCAAGGCAAGGATGAGCTTTCACTGCTCCATCTTCCCAGTGACTCAGTAATCTGCTTCCGTTCGTGTGGACTCACAGATAGTTACGTTATCCGCTGTGTTATTAGTCCCATACTGCCACCATTGGTGTTGGTGCTAAAGCGCCGGCCGTCGGGAGCTCCTGCAAACCAGCTCCTAGGTTTTTCTGGCAAGCCTCCAATCCAGTCTTTTGTTTGTTTGTTTTTGAGCATTTGCTTACTTTCTGATTTTACAAGATGTCCCTGTCACAGTCCCGGAATCAATGGCTTCTCCAGGGAACCCTGGATCCATGTTTGGGAGAACTGTGTTCGGACCCAATCTAGTGCTAGGTGTGCTAACTGCTGCTGGGCGACAGAGCACGCAGGGCCCTCTCAGCAGGCAGCGCGCGTAGGGACTCACTCACACCTCAGTATCTCTGTATGAGTTTACACTTGAATAATCATGAGTCTATACTGAGACCTCAGATCCCAACATCACAAGGTGTATTTTAGTCTTCCTCTTTCCTTGTTTTTATTAAATATCTTTCTAACAGTGGGAAACCTGGTTCCTATTATCTACAGTATCTTTTCTCATTTGTTTAATTCCGGTACACACACAAAGTCATTTCAGAATCGCTAACCTCTACACATGAGAAACACATTCACAAGACCACCATTTATACACGATTCTCCTTGTTCTCAGCCTTACCGTATCCAGGTAAGACACTGGTTTCCAAAGTTATCAGGTGAGTGCATTTGTAAGAGAGTTAAATTCCTTGGTTAGCATATGTATTTCATGTTGAGTTCCCCACATACTGGTTGGTTTTAGTCATTTGTTTATTTTTTGGATATGTAAAAAGTACAAATATTTTAAGTAAAAAAAAAGTGTTTTCATATTGATATTTGCAATTTAAGATTTCACAGGTTTTAACATGAATTTCTCTTTAAAAACAAAGCTTTTATATTATGAAAACTTCAAACATATACAGAGTAAAGAGAACTGTGTGACAGCCCACGGCATCTAGCTTCAACGCCAGCCAACACCCTGGCATTCACGCTGCGTCGGTACCTCCTTCCACCTACACTGAAACGTCCGAAAGTTAACGGCACTATTTTGAAAATGCATATACCCATGTAACTCTATTACCATGTGAGTTCCTCCTCACTTTTACACGCACAGCCAAGCTAATGGGAAACATGTTTCACATGATGTGGCCAGAATCCGGCTGTGTCATGAACAAGAGGGCTTCTCAGAATCTTGTGTCCTCTGCGCTGAGGGAAGCAGAAGCCACTGAAGGCTTCTGAGCAGGACAGAGGACCTGGGGTCGGGTCTAGGATAGGCCGAGATGACAGAAGCAGCTTGGGTGGGGACCCCTTCCCAGAGCTGGGGGGTGGGGGCTCCAGCTACTGGGGAGTGCATGGAGAACATGCCCCTCCACTCGGTCACATACTCAGCCTTCGGGTCACCTTTTCAGCCAGAAATGGTCATTCCCTGGTGCCTCTGGTGAAGGCTCACTGAGAGCCAGGTCACCAGGAACCACCCACAGCCTCCTGGGAGGAAGCCAGTGGGAGCTGCGATTTAGAGAGGAAGCAGAAGACTCGGGAATCTGTAGACGAGTGGATCTGACATGAGGAGGCTAAGAAGCCAGCTCCAGAACCTGCTGGACAGAATATCAATGCCCACAGTCTATGAACCCTTCTTTCTGGAAACCGGCGAGAACACAGAGTACTTGAGCCAAAGGAAGTGAGAATTCAGGTTTTACAGAGCAGGCATGCTAGACCCAAGGTACACCTGTTAGGAGTTCATGGTTGCAAGCAATAGAAAATTGACTTTGGATAATCTAGGCAAACAGAGGAAGCTCCAGCGAGTGAACGGGGTAGCTGGCAAAGCAGGTGGAGGGACCCAGAGGCAGGAATTAACGGAGAGTCCCTCCAGAACACTGTCCAACCACACCTGATGGCCTGCGCTGAGCCACAGCCCTTGACCAGGGAAGCCAGGACACCCTGACAGGCAGCGCCGCCAATGTGGGACCAATGGGAATGAGGGTCATTCCTCGAAGGAAAACTGAAGAATCATTACCAGAGGGGGAAATAGGACAAGGCAGACAGACGCCACAGACAGCCGCAAGGGGACCCGGAGACCCCAGCCCCCGTGTCACAGCTGGGGAGACTGAGTCAGCAGCCATGATGCTCAGTTGGGCTAAAAAAGTAGCTCCAACAGCCACAGACAGGACCTTCAGGGTCTGCCCAGGCACCCTGCCTTCCTGCAGCAGGACCCCAAGCTGTTCTGGCTCTGGCTGGGTCTGTTGTGACTCATGTGCTCGCTTATCTGATGAGCACCTGCCCCGTGCCTGGCTGCAAGTTCCACTGAGAGCAAACGGGAACATGTATCTCTTCACACCCCCGGACTCTGGCTTGGAAAAAAGTACTAGATAGGAAGCGGGGGCACCCGAGCTCCACCTGGTCCCTTAGGAAAGAGTACTAGACAGGGAGCGGGGACGCCCGAGCTCTACCTGGTCCCTTGGGAAAGAGTACTAGACAGGGAGCGGGGACACCCGAGCTCCACCTGGCCCCAGCACTAGCCCAGTGTGTTCTCTCACCCTGGACCAGTTCCTTATCACCCCTGAGCCTGATTCTTTTCTCCCCATAGAAGTACTGGGTTGGAGTTCATCGGCATCCCTGGTGTGCTGTAGGAAAAAGGCTCTGGGGCCAACGCTGTCTGGGAAATGTAAGTTCTCCAGACGGCTTAGAGGCTGCAGGTAAGGACAGGAAAGGCACCTCTCTCTCCACCTCCACACCCACGTCCCACCTCCCAGAAACTGCTCCTGATCGCCCCACCCCAGACGCTCATTCCTGTCACCCTACTTTCTTGCCCTTCCAAGTTCTTTCCTTTTTCTGATATTTCATTCTATGTTGACATTAAGTAGTTGTTTGTTTTCTCATTATCTGTCGGCCCCTCTGCCTGCCCCTGGCTGGAATGTGACCTCCTGCTGCACCCCTGGCCCAAGGCACACAGTAGGCACACAACAAAACTGTGAACTGAATGAACGTTTTTAAGGTCTTCCTGGATTCCCCTCAGAAACTACCTCACAGGGGGCTGAAGTTGAAAGCAAATTGCAAAAGAAACCGTTTTCTGCCTTTTGGGGGCTAGAGTTAAGTTTTAAGGATCTGATATCAAAGATTCCAGAAATTCACAAGTTTGTGGTACTTTAAGCCTCAGGACTCCCAATGCCTCAGAGAGCCTGCAGAGGGCTGCCATGAGAAAGCCAGAGTCACATACAATGCAGGGAACTGCTGTTGGCCCTCAGAATATCTGGGTTAAAAGAAAAACTTCACATTCCCTCATGAAGATCACAGGCAGAGAAGAGAAAAATTATGGAGTTAAGAACAAACGATTCTACAGCTGAAAACTAAATGGAACCCCTCATAAAGAAAGCAGCGCTATCTGAAGCCCACGAGGAAAGCAGTCTTTTCTATTGGATATGGGATGAAAACCCATCAGTCAGCTGTCTGCCTGATACACCTCTCTTCTTTCTGCCCATTCCGTCACCTTCTCCTTAGGTGGTGTGTCTTTGAACAACCCAACGCAACACTCACAACATAAAAACCTACTAGAAATTAAATGGTTTAATAAGACTTAAGCATGATCTAGTTCTTTTTATCTTGATGTATGTGTCTAATGATACTTCACTAACCAGATTAGAGAACTACGATGATCACTTTTCTAAGAAAACACATGGAAAGCACATGCTACTAAGATCTCAAGGATCCATTTGTTTCTGAAGGACGTTTGAAATGTGTATCTGTACATCCCTAACTAAAATACATTCTAATAAATAATAGACGAATGTGGACATATTACAACTTTCAAACACAATGCCTTTTAGGATGTATTTTCCCCTAACTTACCAGATGCACTAGAAGTCCACACTGAGCCACAGAGCCTGTGATTTTAATTTACAAGCACCTTTAGCAAGACAGCCATGGTCACTCTGCCAAGTGGGCAGTTTCTGACACTGGGCATCTGTTTACATAAAGACATCTCTCTCTTTTCATTTCTGCTCCACACAGAATCAATGAAAGCAAATGCATCACTAACGCTTACGTGTGGGTGTATTTCCTTCACCAAACACTTGGAATCTAAGGTTACCTATGGTTCCTCCTCCCGCAGCTTGGAAATTTTGAAATTTTGGTTGACTTAATTTCATGGAATAAGCCATAAACCTTCCAAAGAGCAAAAGTCTTAGAAGCTATAAATCCATCAGAGAACATTCTTCTAAAACATCTTACCAAGCTACCACAAAGAAATGTGACAGTGTGGGGAGGGCCAGTTTTGTCCCTTACCACACACCCTCCCCACCCCATTTCACGGGCAGTGACTATAGCTCAAAGTGCCCACCATGGCCTCAGCCTGCCATGCTGGTGACGGAACGGCCAGTGCTAGTGAACCAAAAGGAGAACCCAGAGTCACACAAAGGAGAGCAGCCTGCAGAACCCAGTCCAGAACGCCAAATACACATCATCTCCTGGGCAACAGAGAGCCTTCACCAAACAGGGAGTGAGGCCAGGATGCCCACTCTCATCATTTCCATTCAACACCCTGGCAGAGATCCTAGCCAGGGCAGTAAGGCAAGAAAAGAAAAGAAAGCAAAAAGATTACAAAGGAAAATGTCACTATTCACAGATGATATAGTGTATACACAGAAAACTCAAAACAATCTACCAATAACTATTAAAATAACTAAGTGAATTTTACAGGATTGCTGAGTAAAAGGTCAATAATGTACCAAAATCAAAAGCTATTGTATTTCTATACAGTGGCAATAAACAAATACAAAATAAGCTTTGAAAACAAGATAACATTTATAATAGCATACAATATTAGCAAATATCCAGTACTAAATCTATCAAGAGACGTAGAAGAATTCTACATAGAAAACTATAAAACGTAAGTGAAATTAGAGATCTCAATACAAGGAGGAATATACCATGTGCATGGACCGGAAACCCCAATGAGATTCCGATGTCAATGTTTTGCAAAGTAATCGGCAGTCAATGCAATCGCAATCAAAATCCCAGCAGAATTTTTTTGAAAACTGACAATTTTACATTTTAAATGGAAGCACAAAGAACCTGAAATAGCAATCTGGAAGAGAAACAAGCTTGGGGGACTCACACTACCAAATATCAAGACTTCTTCTAAACTTGTGTAATTAAAGTAAACCAAGGAGAATATGCTAGAATGAGACCAACACAGAGTCATCTGATTATTGTGAGGATTCCACCCCAAATCCATAGGGAAAACAGGGTCTTTTCAATATGCAGTGCTTGCGTCAGCTGCTCTTTGATGCTAAATGAACCACAGCCCATACAGCCCGCCATGATGGAAATTAGTATGAGCTGGATCACAGACCTAAATGTTAAAGGTAAGCAATGAGGCCTGGTCTAAAAGACAACAACAAAAAATATCTTCAGGTGGGCAAAGATAGACAGATGTTAAAAAGGTACTGACCATGAAGGAAAGAAAATGATAAATTGTGCTGCACTCAATTAAGAACACTCATTTATCAAAAGATGCAGAAGAGGGAAAAGGCAAGCCACAAAATAGAAGAGACCCTGCCACACATACACCCAGCAAGGGACGGATATTCAAAATGTATAAATAATTCTTACAAATCACTAAGAAAAAGGCAGACAACCTGAATGAAAAATAAGCAAAACACATCAACAGGTACTTTACAAGACAGGATTCCAAGTGGTCAATCAACACACACAAGGTCCTGCGCATGTGTGACTGCAGGGAAACGCGATAAAGCCACAACGGAACACTCCATACCCACCAAAATGGCTAAAATCTATAAACGAAAGGATACCATGTGTTGGTAAGGATGTGGTTGGCCGGCACTCACACACGAGGTTACAAAACAGTCAACGGCACACACCCTGTGGGAAACCCCTCGGTGGCAGGTACTACAGCCACACAAGTGCCATGCCCCAGCAATGCCAGCCCGAGGCATCTACCCAACAGAAAGACATCTACGAAGACACGGCAGCATTATCTGTAACAGTCAAAAACCAGAAACCTCCCAAACGTGCCAAAAGCTGCACGAATAAATACCTTGTGATGTCATCATACCACAGAACACCATACAGCAGTAAAAATAAACAAACTACACCTATATGCAGTGACACAGATAAATCACAGAAACATCATGCTGAGAAAAAGCAGACACACACAGCAGCGCCTACTGTAGGGCTCCGTGTGCATAAAATGTGAAAACAGGCAACACTAATCCGAGGTGGGAGACATCCAGACAGGTTCCCCTGGGAGGGGTGGGGGACGGCCACTGAAGGAAGAACAAGGGAGCGGTGGCGGGGGGAACACCTGCTCCTTGATCTGTGGAAGAGAAGGCAGAGCCTTCACTTGCAGAAAGTCAGCACCCGCATATCCCTCCTGGCTTGTGTACTTTTCTCATGTATTTTATAATTCAATAAAAAACTGGTGCAGACCAATGACTCAAAGCCATCTTGCACCAAGAAAGATCCAAATAATACTGATCTGACTGGTCCATGCAGCTTGCACGATCTTACCTGGACTTTCCAGACAGTGAGGAAGTATTTTATAATTCTTGCCACCATTTCTTACAACCAGTACATGTAGGAGAAATAGTCACCATACTACTCCTCTTAAAAGAAACCTCGCAGAAACGGAAAAGAATTCTTTCAGAACCCACGAGGGTGCAAACACAGGGTGCAGATTTTAAATGGAGAAAAAACAGGGAATTCCCAAAGAGGTACTAAGTCAGGTTTGTCAGACAAAATATATATGAAATCATTTTTAATTTGTGTAATTAAATGATTAATTTAATTTGAATTTAGGGTAATTAAAATTGAAATAAATTTTAAGCTTTAGAAAGCAAACTGTTGCTATATGACATTTCTGACTCCTGTCTATACAGTGAGTTTAATAAGCACTGTTTTCCTTAGTGAAATGTGGAGTGTAAGGTCTGGCTATTGTGTTTTATAAGAGTGTCATTTTATGATACGTGGCCACATGGCGCAAGACTTCAGATATTTTTCCTCCATAATTTGTTGGGACAGATTTATACTTTAGTTTCATAATGGACTCTACACTTGAAAGTAATAAAATTCCATTTCACTGTGCTGTAACGGGAATAAAATAGGAAGGATTTCACACAATCCACAGGCTTATGCTGAACAAGGCCAAAACAGGCTCTGCTGAGCTGAGGCCACCATTCCATCTGAGGCTCTGATTCCCCCACCCTCTGATTCTGGAACGTTCGGAAGATCAGATACCAAGAGGATAAAGAGGAAGGGCCATGGGAGCCAGCAAGGCTAGGTCTTCAGAGCCATGCATGAGGCACCAGGGGACACACACACACACTTGCACAGGCCAGGGTCATCAGGGTCATGCATGTGGCACCGAGGGACATGGACAGACATGCACACACAAGCCAGGGTTGTCAGGGTCATGCGTGTGGCACCAGGGGACACACACAGACATGCATGCACAGACCAGGGTCGTCAGGGTCACGCACGTGGCACTGGGGGACACACACAGACACGCATGCACAGACCAGGGTCGTCAGGGTCACACGTGTGGCACTGGGGGACACACGCAGACACGCATGCACAGATCAGGGTCATCAGGGTCACACGCGTGGCACTGGGGGACACACAGAGACATGCAGGCACAGACCAGGGTCGTCAGGGTCACGCGTGTGGCACTATGTGACATACACAGACATGCATGCACACAGCAGGGTTGTCAGGGTCATGCATGTGGCACTGGTGGACACACACAAACACGCATGCACAGAGCAGGGTCGTCAGGGTCACGCGTGTGGCACTGGCGGACACACACAAACACGCATGCACAGAGCAGGGTCGTCAGGGTCACGCGTGTGGCACTGGCGGACACAAACACGCATGCACAGAGCAGGGTCGTCAGGGTCATGCGTGTGGCACTATGTGACACATACAGACATGCATGCACACAGCAGGGTTGTCAGGGTCACGCGTGTGGCACTGGCGGACACACACAAACATGCATGCACAGAGCAGGGTCGTCAGGGTCACGCGTGTGGCACTGGCGGACACAGACACACAGATGAACGCACAAGAATAACTGTCCGTTAGCAGCAACAGAGCATCAGCTTTCTCCATGGAGGAAAACAGACGTCAGCACTGAACTTTCTCCATGGAGGAAAAGAGATGTCAGCACTGAGGCCCTTTTGCAGATGCCTAGGTGTGTTTATTGCCAGTCTGCGTAAGCATAAGAGTGGATAAAGATCCACATTCTGGCCTATGATCTCTAGCATGTACAAACTTATTGGTAAAATAAACTCTGGAGAGGAAGAGTCCAAATGGAGAAGGCATCCAGATAAAACAAGACTTGTTTCCGTTTGCTGTGAAATAAAAGAATTTCAGAGAAAAAGATTCAGACAGACACACAGAAGGCCCAAGGATTTGACTTACGGTGTGAAACGCTGGGCTCAATGGATCATTTAACATCAACTGCCATGAACACCCCGAGAGAGCAAAAGGCCAGTGGGGTCCCAGGCAGATGGCTGCAACCCCACGAAGGAAAACATGACTTATCCCTGACTTATCCCTGCCCTACGCAGGGCACCCCCAGGGCAGGTGACAAACAGCCCCAGAACCTTATGTCAGTACCAGACTAAGTAAGGAAAGATCTCTTCCACCATAACCACCATGCACCCAAGCACGCGTAGCTTCACCAACAACGGGCCTGAATTGAGCTTCACCAACAACATGCCTGAAAGCCTCCGTCACTGACAGGCACTTGCGGATGGAAAACAACCCTTTGACAAAAGACCCTATCGGCCAAATAAGTGATCAGCCCCCAGGCCCCCAGCCACACAGAAACCCGTTTCTAAAACAGCGGTCCTCATAATGCGATCTGGGGTCCCAGAGGGTCCCCGAGACCTTTACAAGAGGTGTGTGAAGTCAAATTTTTGTTCATAATAGAAAAATGTCATGTGCCCTTCTCTCACAGGGGTACAGTGGACATGGACTGAACGAGAGCCGGTGTGAGAAGCAGAAATACTGTCGCCATTAAGCCACACCTTCCATAGACTGGCAAAGGGTAAAATGATGCCTCTCTTCTCACGACGCTTTGTGTTTTACCGAACGGTTATTTTTTGTTAAAAATGTTACCTATCTATTTAACATGTAATGGGTTTATTCAGTTTCAAATGAGTAAGCACGTTTTTTAGATGTGTGTTAGTTTCTAATACAATAAATACCAATACAGGTTGAGCATCCCTAATCTAAGAATCCACAAACCAAAATGCTCCAAAATCTGAAATTTTCTGAGCACCAACATGAAAACCCAAGTGGAAAATTCCATACCTGACCTCATGTGATGGGTCACAGTCAAAACTGTTTGGCGAACAAAATTATTAAAAATACTATATGAAATTACCTTCACATTATATGTATAAGGTGAACATGAAAAATAAATTTCATGTTTAGGCTGGGTGTGGTGGCTCACACTAATCTCAGCACTTTGGGAGGCTGAGGCCGGTGGATCACCTGAGGTAAGCCTGGCCAACATGGTGAAACCCCATCTCTACTAAAAATACAAAAACTAGCCAGTCATAGTGGTGTATGTCTGTAATTCCAGCTACTCGGGAGGGAGGCTGAGGCAGTAGAATCGCTTAAACCTGGGAGGCGGAGGTGGCAGTGAGCCGAGACCACACCACTGCACTCCAGCCTGGGCGACAGAGTAAGACTCCGTCTCAAAATAAATAAATAAATAAATAAATAAATTTCATGTTTAGACTCAGGTCCCATCCCCAAGATATCTCATTATGTATACGCAAATACTTCAAAATCCAAAAACTCTGAGAGCCTGAACACTTCTGGTCCCAAGCACGTCAGAACGACAGTCAGCCTGTGCATCTCAATCATTGAAGCTAAAGCTCTTTGGAGTCCATGCTAATTTGCAGGAGTGTGAAGGGCTCCGGAGTTTGAGAACCGTGGCTCTGCAGGTGTGTTCCAACCCTCTTCCTTCGGAGACACAGGAGGGCCCTGAATGTCAGATGTGAGGGATGTGGGGCCCGCAGAGACACAGGAACTTGGCTGTGAGGAATTCAGGGACTAGCAAAGGGGGCGATGAGAAGACCCTGAAATGCACCGTCCAAAGCACAGTACCATCTTGCGTGGCTGGCGCTGCTGCATTTCACCTTTCTTCACGTGGAGGGGGTCTCATCAAGGCAGCAGAACAGCTTCTTGAAACAAACTCAAGATTGACAGGGTGCCAAGCAAGAAAAACTGGAAACTGACGTGTCCCAGCCGCCCACCCACTTCCTTCTCCATTGGGGGATAACAGGGGGGTACAAGTGAAGGGCCTCCGTCCTGAGGAGAGGGGCACAGGCTGTTTCCTCCAGACACAGACACTCCTCAGTGGTCAGGACCGTCCTCTCCATGCCTGTCTCAAGCTGCAGGTGCCTCTCCTGCCCAGGTGAGGTGGGAGACCTGGGCAGGCAGCCCTCCCTGTTCTGCAGGTGAGGTGCTTATCACTGCTGGAGTGGACCCTCCTAAGTGTTGCGTTCTTTCGGACCAAAGCAGTAAATAAAGGTGCTTTGATTCCAGGTGATAGCCCAAGTTCCTCCCCAACTCTACTCAAAACTATCGATGTCGGCATCGACAGCTGAGGCTGCCCTGCAGATGGGAACCCGCAGACAATCCTGGTACCTGCTGCTGTGATTATTCACAGCCGTCAGAGAGCCCTCACCTGGGGGGAGGTGAATGCCAACCCCACGGGTGACACACCACTCCCCTGGTGACCCCAGGGAAGCTGCAGGAAGGTGACAAAGGACCTGCACACACAGGCAGTGGACAGGCTCGCCGGCAGGGAGGAATCCTCTCTGTTTGACAAGACACAGACAGGCCCTCTCTGGTGACAGTCTCCAAGAAAGGAGGGAAGGCTTGGACAGATGCCAACAAGCGGGAAGGAAGACAGCAGCACGGCCCATTCCCCGACGGTCCCCTTTCATCTTTCCAGGTCTGAACTGCCCACAGTTCTGAGTTTTGGGTCCCAATAAATGGACGTCTGGACCAAGAGCATGTCTACGGTTGGAGCTCACACCTGCTGGTGGCAGCAAGCCGACTGCCCGGCGGGGGGTGGGCAGCCCGGGAGCCACAGGGCTCCCCAGAGACAGCCGCTTGGGCTGCAATGTCTCCAAGCTACAGTCCCGCTAACCCGGTTGGTTTCCCAAGCATGTGAGCGAAACTCAGAGGTTCGTTAAACTCCTACTTTCTAAGTTTATTTATTGTTGCAATTGTTTACAAAAAGCATTTTTATTTTAATGTAAAAAGCAAAGCTATTTCTATTTTAAAATAAATTAAAACTGCTGCAGATAATCAAGAGACGGGTCAAGCCCTGCTCTCATTTCCGCGTACACGGTGTAGCTGGGCATGAAGTACTTATAAACTCATGAAGTCAAGAAGTGTTCAACACAGCGCCTCGGAAGCCAGGTTGCTGGATGACACGGCCCATGACGTCTCAGCAGGCCTGGGCCACCTTCTCTCAAGCAGAACACACAGAATCGTAGCCACCTTTCATAGAAAACAACGGAAATGAAGAGCTTAAAGGAGCTGAGGACAGTGCAGGGTGCATGAAAGGAAGTGGCACAGATGCCTGAAGGCTTGTACTGAAAGTGGCGTCATGCCCTGATGGGAACTTCCCATTCCTCCCTGGTGGGCGGAGAGAATCATAGGACCGCCACATCCTGTCATCTCCACTTTTCTTTCTCTTAAAGAACAGATGATTGCAGCGTGGCTGGCGACACACTTCATGAGGCAGAGAAAAGCACGCCCAGATGCACGGGGCCCTGTACAGGACGGCAGGCCGTCTGCCCTGTGTCCCCGGGACTGGCAGGTCAGTGAGGGTAGCATCCCGACTTTTCCCAAGGGGCTCTGCGGGGTCAAAACAGAGTTTAAAAATGCAAAGACAACCATGCAACCCTTAGCCATGGGCCACCAACAACCGTCAGAGAGTGGTGCTAGAGGTCCAAAATGCTGCGCTGAGGGAGGCACCCCACAGCTCTGAAATGTTCCAACTCCCTCGATCCCACTGAAAGACATGGCTCGGGGCTCTCCTGTTAAAGGGTAGAGTAAAAGCAGGTATGGTTCTCGCAGGCAGGAGACAGGTGCCACACCAATCAAGATGCAGTTTTAAAGACTGCTACTTAGCAGACTTGTAAAACTGGATTTGCCCAGAGACAGACCAAACCCAGTCAGCACGGGCACTCTGGACTCCCTGCAGCGCCCCCCTGAATCCAGGCCTCCCTGCTCCCTGCCTTGCCAGCCCTGGGGCCTGTGAAGCATGTCTGGTGTTTTTCAGGAGGTCATGCACTGTATGGTTAACGGCAACAGATAGTGCAGAGCTGATCCTGCACAGCGGCCTCCGGGAGAGCAGGACTCTTGTGCTGGCCAGGCACCTGGTGGAAAGGCTGGTGCACCTGCAGCCCTGCGGCGCCTGGAGGAGCCGAGCAGAGGAGCTGGTTGAGCACCCACTGGACTTGGGCTTGAAAACCTGTCTTCACAGCTCATCCCCGCATCATGCTGGGTCTTTTCAAAATGATGATGATTACTTTAAGAACGTTCCTGGGATGAATTACAGACAGCTAAATGAGTCATAAAGGTGAAGGACCAACATGCCCCTCATCTCCTAGTTGGATAGTCGATGACAGCTGCCATCTAGGGCAATTGCTCTAACCCTCTGCCCTTTGGAGCCACTGATGTGCAGCTGCTGTCCACACCACAGGGCTTCCCACAGCCTGTCGCCCCCAGAGTCAGTCACTCCTCAGCTCCTGGCAGCCACAGGGCAGGCCCCAGCTGGGACAGGGAATCACCCAGGACAGAGTCCACCTTTGTCCAGGCAGGAACCCTGCGCCTCAGGCCACCTTGTCTGTGCAGACACCTGTTCTGGCCTGCACCACGGCCCCGTCCACTCAGGCCAGGCTCCAACAAGGAGTCCAACATATAAACACGTGTGTCACTCACACATGACCTCAAACTCACACACTCAATCACATACACACATCCTTATACACTCACACACACTCTCACATAACCACAAACTCACAATCATGAACACACTCAAACACGCACACTCAAACCCATGCGCTCATATACTAACACTTATACACTAATACAAACACAAGCATGCACTTACACAACCTCAAACTCACACATTCAATCACACTTGCACACTCACACCCAGGCACTCACACACACTAACACAAACACACAAACATGCATGCTCACACACATAACCTTAAACACACCCGATCACATTCATGCAAACATGCACTCATGCTCACAGTGTAACACACCCACAGACATTCACAAACACTCATGCTCACACATTCACACTCACAAATACACTCATATAACCTCAAACACACATACGCACGGACTCACTCACACACACACGTGTGTGGCAACAGCACAGGGGACCTGGCTCAGGCATGGCCGCACAAGCAGGATGGAGACTGGAGCCTCTGTCGGCGTGGCCCGGGCCTTTACCTGTGGTCCCTCAAAGCTTTTGCACAAAGATGAGGATCTGGGCCTGCGCATCCGGCCCTGCCTCATTCACCTGTATTGTTAAATCGGAATCAAGTGATAGCACAGGCATGGACCCAAAACAGTGAAGAGCCCGTGGAGGGGCAGGGGGCAGCATCCATCAGAGATTTCAACAATGCCCCACAAACATCCAGCAGCTGGCGGACGGGAGCAGCTGCACCCGCAGAGCTGCAAAGCAGACCAGGGCAGGGCGCGTGGGTGGCTGCTCGGCCAGAGGCATCCTCAAGGCCCCAGACTGCTGGGGGTCTCTCCAACGAGGGCAGTAGGGTGAAGCAGGAACCCATAGGAACCTGATGGGGAGCCTCCCTGAGGGTCTCTGTCTCAGGAACTCCTGGACAGTGGGCCCCAGGACTCTCCTCTGCAGAACCAGAACAGAACCCACTGCCCGAGGCAGCAGGTGGGGAGTTTGTGATCCAGAGAAAAGGCCCTCAAGCCGGCACTGGAAGGGCCCAGCTACTCATCCGACCGCTCCCCATCCCCGGGCCCTCCTCCTTACTCCTGCCTTTAAGAAGCAACACCTCAGCCATGCACTCCCATTTACAAAAGTCGTTGTTACCACAAGAGTAACACCACCACACAAAGACACACACAGGTGATCTCTGTCCCTGGCTCCCTTGCAAGGCCACCAGGGTCCTTCCTTGGGCTGGGCTCCCGCGCACACACGCGCGCACACACACAGACAGGCTTCGCTTCTGTGAGTGCCCAAAGACTCGCACTCCACACGCTGCTCTGCAGCTCCCACTCCTACATCCCGGCCTCCCGGTACACCAGGAGCTCTGGTCCCCTCTCTCTACAGAGTGTACGCGGCAACACGCACAAGCAAGCAGTTTATACACAGCGACAGAACAGACACACTGCTTCATGTTCAGAGCAATAGCTTCTTTCTCTCTTTCCTGCTCTCTCCACCATCAAACACCCAACAGGAAACCTTTGCGTGGTTGCTGTCCACACTTCCCTCCATTCCATACACATACACACACACGCACACACATGCTCACAATGCACACATGTGCACATATGTACACATGCACACACCAGGTGGTCACTGCCTCCAAAAATGAAATTGTATCCTACAGACTTCTCAGCATCTTCCGTTTCTCATTCAATACCATGTCTCGGGGGAGTCCGTCACGTGGCTGTGCCAACATTTAGCCAAGCATTCTCCCACTCATGGGCACAGACTTTCCTCCAAGCGTTTGACTCTTACCACAACACTGCAAGAGACTGCCGGGTGCAAAGAGCCTCACGTCCTGGGGTCTGTGGCCCTGTGGAGCACAGCCCTGGGAGTGGGGGCTGAGTGAAGTATCTGCTTATTTCTCACATCAGGACATGTGAGCAGAACGACCTCTAAAGAGGCTGCAGCCGCGCGTACCTCCTCCAGCCATGCCCGACACTGCTGCGGCCTCTACATCCTCCCTTGTAATGGACACCATCTCTCTTGCCATATTCTGCCAAGCTAGGTAAAAAGCACGATCTCTGCTGACTTTTCTGGGCATCTCCCTGGGGGCTGGGGAGTTTGGGCATGTCTGCAACGACCCCTCTTCCCTGGGCTGCCTGGTCACACTGAGCGTTCATTTTCTAATGTTGGTCTTTCTCTCCAGTTTGGAAGAGACCTCTCCATAGTAAACTTTTTGTTGTTGTTGTTGTTTGTTTGTTTTGAGACAGAGTCTCACTCTGTCGCCCAGGCTGGAGTGCGGTGGTGTGATCTCGGCTCAACCTCCACCTCCCAGGTTCAAGCGATTCTCTCACCTCAGCCTCCCAAGTAGCTGGGATTACAGGCGTGCACCACCACGCCCAGCTAATTTTTGTATTTTTGGTAGAGATGGGGTTTCACCATGCAGGTCAGGCTGATCTTGAACTCCCGACCTCAGGTGATCCGCCTGCCTCAGCTTTGTCAAATGTTACACATATTTTTCCAAAACTCTCATTTCTTCATTGACTTTGTTGCTAATATCTTTATCCACTCAAAAGTTGTCATTTTTATTCTGTCAATTGCATCTTTGTCCGCTTCTAGAGATCCGGGGTCAATGAGGACGGGTCCTTGATGCCCCAATTGTCTTTGGAGATTTCTCTTGCTTTACTTTTTACAGTTAAGCCTTGAATCCATCTGAAATGTATCTTCCCCTCATACTTAGATATGAACAATTGACCAGCCACTGAAAAAGTTGAAGCAAGAAAAAGAATGACCAAGGTACACAGAAAAACTGAGCCCGGAAGACACAGAGGTAATTCAAGCCCCTCTAAGGAGGGACACTGAGAACAGTGATGCTATGGCGTCCGCAGAACAGGCACCAACGGATGCAAAGCAGAGGCGATCAGGCAGCAGGGCCTGGAACTTCAGCCGGTGAACAGCAGAACAAAACTGCACAGAGGACCTGGGAGATCACATTGAGTAAATATCAGAGAAATAAACCAGTAGCCAAAATGGCATTCACAGGAATCCCACCAAAGGAAAACACAGGTCAGAGGTGCTGCAGGGAAATGACAATGATGCCGACAATGATGACGAGGGTGACCAGGAGAGGAGGAAACCACCCCAGATGAATAGAAAACAAGGCTTTTTTTTTTTTTTTTTTTTTTTTTTTTTTTTTTTGAGACGGAGTCTCGCTCTGTCGCCCAGGCTGGAGTGCAGTGGCGGGATCTCGGCTCACTGCAAGCTCCGCCTCCCGGGTTCACGCCATTCTCCTGCCTCAGCCTCCCAAGTAGCTGGGACTACAGGCGCCCGCCACTACGCCCGGCTAATTTTTTGTATTTTTAGTAGAGACGGGGTTTCACCGTTTTAGCCAGGATGGTCTCGATCTCCTGACCTCGTGATCCGCCCGCCTCGGCCTCCCAAAGTGCTGGGATTACAGGCGTGAGCCACCGCGCCCGGCCAACAAGGCTTTAAAAATTAAGTTAACTCATGTGTGCTAAATGGGATAAATTTTAAATTTCAGAATATCAAAGATAATCAGAAGATCTCAAATTTCAGATAAAATGAAAATAAGACACCTAAACCTGGACGAGAGCCAAGCTGGCCACAGGTCCTGTCAGCTGCACAGGCCCACCCTGGCGGTACGTGAAGGGCAGCGTGCAAATCGGGCACCCTGTGTAAGTCAGAGACCCGATCTAAAGAGAGGGACGGTCCCTAAGGCTCACGGCCTGAAGACCCAGGTGAGGGGTGACGCTGCCAGGGCACCTGGACGGGTGGGTGTGAGCTAGACAGACTCAGGAGTTGCCTGCTGCGGGCAGGAAGGGCAGCCGCAGGGGTCTGATGGGTCAGCTGGGAGAACACGCAGAGCCAGGCAGGGTCCACAGAGCTGTGAAGAACACTGACATTGGGAACCAGGCAGCAGGAACGCCCAGATGTGCCTGGGGCAGGGCAGCCACGTAGGAAGAAGTCAGCAGAGCCAGGGGCCTGGGAATCAGAGGAGCAGAGGGTGCCCCGGGAGGTGCCAGAGCCTGCTTGGTCTCTCTGCTGTCCTGCAGGCCTGCGGACTCCGCCCACCCACCCTCCCATCCACGCATGTCCCTAAATGTTCCCTGAACACCTGCCAGGCCACGGACCGTCCACTCACTTGTCCTCACCGGGCCAGCGAGGATGCCTGGTGGCCCACGGCCAGCCCAACCCCACCGTGAGGATGTGTGAAGCGAAGCCCCTGCCTCAGGCCTGAGCGTCCTCCATGCAGATTCAGCCCCACCAGGGCAACACCACTGACCTCAGCGAGTGGTGACGCCTCACAGCGTCCACAGGATGGCACTCACGCCTACCTGGCACACGGACACCACGGACGCTACAGGCCATCACAGCCTTCCAGTATGACTGCAGGAGAGGGTCCTGCCAACTCAGTCACGCACAGGCTCCAGTGGCGCAGCAGAAGGGCAGTCTGGGGTGGAAGATCGCATGGGGACGCTGCTTGCCATGGAGCACCCACTGCCAGGTGCTCTGGACGGGCGTTTCCTCCATGGCCCCCCAGGGGGCCTGGGGAGTCTGGGCTCCCTCAACCAGTGAGTGCCCCCGACTGCAGGCAATCTTGCCCAGCCCAGGCCTCTTGCCGGCCCTTATGGGGGAGGGTGCTGGAGAAGAGGGGGGTGCCTGGCAGTCACCCCACCCGACTGCGAGTGTCACCTGGACCACGTCATGTCCTGTCCACAGCCTGCTGGACGCCCTGGGGCCAGCCTCGTCTGACTCTGCTTCAATGTGTCCTTTGATGGTCCCTAAAGCAGGGCTGGCAGGTTCTGGGCAATGATGTTCCACCATCCAAACAGCAAGGCAGGTGCTGTGTGCTCACAACCCTCCACCATCCAAACACCAAGGCAGGTGCTGTGTGCTCACAACCCTCCACCATCCAAACACCAAGGCAGGTGCTGTGTGCTCACAACCCTCCACCATCCAAACAAGGCAGGTGCTGTGTGCTCACAACCCTCCACCATCCAAACACCAAGGCAGGTGCTGTGTGCTCACAACCCTCCACCATCCAAACACCAAGGAAGGTGCTGTGTGCTCACAACCCTCCACCATCCAAACACCAAGGAAGGTGCTGTGTGCTCACAACCCTCCTGATGGTGCCCAGATGTGAGGAAGGTGCTGTGTGCTCACAACCCTCCTGATGGTGCCCAGATGTGAGGAAGGTGCTGTGTGCTCACAACCCTCCTGATGGTGCCCCAGATGTCACCACCGCGCCATCAGAGGTGGGACACAGACTCTGTCGACCGCCCTGGCCCGAAGGCACGTGTCTACTACCATCAGTAACATGGCCTCCTGGCCACACCACACACACCACCTGCCGGGAGCACAACACCCGCCCCAGGGGGAGGTGATGAACGCCATCCAGCCACAGATTGCCCGGGACGCCTAGTTTTTTGTTAGTTCAGACCGTGTGTTCCTGAATACAGCCTGAGTGGCCACACTTGAGTAACGATTAAAAAGCCACAGTGCTCAACAGAACACGCCACTGCTATGACACAAATCCTCATAATGCAGGCATACGGCTGGGAGGCAGGGTCTCGGTGGAACCAGACTCCCTGAGTAAGCACAGCACAAAATGTTTCTGACACACTGATGACAACTACAGCACAAACTGGGGTTGCACGATGATAGCAAGTTTCAATAATAAGTGGCTCTGAGTGCAGGTCCTTATTGGAAGGGGAGCTATTCCACGCCCGTCCCTCCTGGACATAGACCACTTCCTTACTCACACCACTGCCCTGCCAGACACGGTCACTTGGAACCAACACCTTACCCGTGAGCGTGCTTCAGAGACATCCCCAGCCTGCGGGGCCTCTGCCTTCGGTGCCCAGATGCTGTCCTCCCAAAGCCGGGGTGGGCTGCGCTCCTCTATGGCAGCCCAAAGGCTACCTCTGCTCACTCTGACTCTGAACTTGAAACCAAAAGCAGTTCCCCAGGCGTCAGCTGCCCCAGCTCAGGCGTCGCCACCACAGGTTACGAGGCCGTCCACTAACCGAAGCCACTGCCAGGGCGCTGTCCACACAGGTGCTGGCTCACAGGCCACGTGTGCCTCTGGAGGCCCCAAAATGTCCAGGGCCTCTGACTCCGTGACTCTCTGTGTTGCCAGCATGAGAGGCCTGCTCCAGGCTGCAACACAGCACCTGTCACGAGGGCTGCCCCGACGCCTGCATCCTCTCTGCCACCAATGGGCCTCTCTGGACCCTCCTGGAGGCCCTGTCTTCTATGCAGATCTCCACACCTCTCAGTGCATCACCACAATGGAGGGAGCACGAGATTCTCCTTCCCCAAAGGGACCTATGATGTATCCTGCCTCACTTCGCCCAGACCACCAACCTGGAGCAGCCGAGGTGCGGGCAGGAGGCCCCAGGGCCACAGTCTCACCACTGGCTTCTCACAAGGGGCAGGGCTGACAGCTCATCTGGCTGGGACCAGTATTATGTGCAGAGACCCAACGTGGTGAAAAGACCCCCAGGACCCTAGAGCACCTGCCAGGATGCAAGACGGACATCTCAGACACAACTGGGCACGGCCAGGCAGACAAGCCCAGGCCCAAGACTGATCACCGCGCTGAGCTCAGCTGCCGCCACCTTCTGCTGGGACTGTCTCCATATGCCACAGGGGGAGCGCCCCACCTGCTTGGTTTTACACCCACCTCAAGGACCTCTAATTTTCCCTGAAATAGGAGTTCTATGGACATCAAAATGCCTGGTTTTCAAAAAGAATTATGGCCATTGTCCTCCAGGGGAGACGTCGCGTCCTGAGGCATCCCCTCTGTCCAGCAAACGCGGTGCCCCTCCACTCAGCCAACATCCGGGGAATGCCAGCGGCAGGTGGGTGCCCCTCTCAGCCTGGGGACATGCCCTGTGCACATAGATCTGGCCCGGGAGACACCTCTTGGACCCTGAGGCGTCTGTCGAAGAGCAGCCCAGTGGGCATCCGTGACAGCTTGGGGACTTCCTTCCTTCCTGGGGGAGACGAGCACCCAGGCACATAAAGTCCAGCGGTGACCAGGGTGGGGAGGGCACTAAAGCAGAGTCCAGGATGGAGACGGAGTTGGCAGCTGGGGTCCACACGATGATGGCCTGGAAGAGGGAAGGCGTTGGCCCCGGGGAACGAAGAGCTGAGTCACATGCTCAACGTGACCACGGCTGTTCTGACACTGCGCCAGGGCTGGCACCCACACTGAACGTGCACCACCCAGATGGCAGCATCACAAGGACCATCGTACTGTTGAGGGCCATATCCAGAGGTCCCTGTCCTCACCTCCCACTCTCCTCTGCAGGCCTCCATGGGCTCCCCTCGCTCTCAGGAGCCAGAGGTGGCCTGAAACGGCCCCGGGAACCAAGAACCCCGGGAACCAAGAACCCCGGGAACCAATGACCCCGGGAACCAATGACCCCGGGAACCAATGAACCCGGGAACCAATAACCCCGGGAACCAATAACCCCAGGAACCAATGACCCCAGCAACCAATGACCCCGGCATGTCCTGGGCTCTTCTCTTGTTCACTTGAGGGATCCATGCATCTCCTACTCTCCTTCCTGCCTTGGCAGAGTCGGACAATTTGGCCTGAGGCAAAACAGTCTTTCGAACAAAGAGGACACACCAGGCCTCCTCGAAGACTGCCAAGCTCTGTCTAGTTCCCCAGGAAGCAGCCCTCTTTCCCCTCATTTCCAAGGAAAAGTGTCCCATGCTGGGCCCGCTCACTCACTGGCACACAGCAGAATCTTCAGTGTCAGCCGCAGGGGTGGGACGGGAAGGTAAAGAGGAAGTGCCCTAGGGAAGGAGACACAAAGGGAAGAAACGCTCCTCAGGCTAAGTAATTCAGAAGTGACAGGGAGCCCAGGGGCAAGTCACTCCAGGAAGGCAGGAGCTGGGGGTGGAGGCCGCCAAGAAAAGCTGTTCCTCGGAGGACAGAGGGAGAGTCCAGCCAGGGGGAGTGGGCGCTGGGGGTGGAGAGGAAGGAAGCCAGGTGACCAACCCAGGAAGGTGGGTCCCTGCAAGTGCTGGCTCCCGCGCAGGTGGGCGAGCCCCGGGGAGACGCACCAGGCCGGTGCCAGGAGAAAGCAGAGCGTGTGATGATGCTGGGCATGCTGGCAGTCACTGACAGACACCAAGACTCACCCCGTCTACCCGTTGTGGAGCCACTGCCCTCTTCTGCCTGTCACCCTCCAGTCCCTCAAGCACAGCCCCAGCCCAGCCCCATCAAGGTCTGCTCCTTCTTACCCAAGGAGGTCCAAGCTCCCAGGAGGGGTCTGGCAGGTCCCCTCGGCCTGAGCTGGCCCAGTGCCCGCCCTGCTCTCAGGGCACCGGCTCCTGGCAGGGCCTCCCTAGCGCTCCCCACAGCCCCCACCTTGGTGGCCCAGTCATCTTACCCTATCTTCAGAGCCAGCCTGGGCACCATTCCCCTGGCAGCCCCAAGGAGCCCCAGGGTGGGGTAAGCGCCCTTTCTCCAAGCCCCCCATCGGCTGCCGGGGCCCCTTGCTCATCCTCTCCACTGGGAAGGCCAGAGAGCAGCCCCTGCCCCACCACGGGGTCACACTCACCACAGGGTCACAGGAAACAAAGGACAGAAGAACACCAAGCCAGGCTCAGCACCTGCACGCAGACACTGACAGTGGGATAGGGAGACAGTGGAATGCTCCGGACCTGGCTGCGGGGTGACTCGGGGGGAAGCGGATGCAGACTGCAGGCTCCATCTGGCCCGTGGTGGAGTGTGGCCAGCCTGCCATCCAGCCGGGGGCGCCAAGACTCCACTGGGCTGGGAGGGCGTGCACGAAAAAGGGGATGAGACCTGGGGTCGGGGGCGCGGCGTGGGCCCATGGGTGCCAGAGCCAAGAGGGCCCTCATGAGGCTCGATTCATTCAGAGAAAGAAAACAGCACAATCAGTTCTGGAGATCTGGACCAGAGGAATAAGAAGAAATCCCACTGCGGAATGCGCGAGCTCTGCAATGGCCCGCGTCTTTGGGTAAATCGAGGATGGGCATATGCACACACACGTCCGTGCACACATTTAACTTCTTATATAATTCATGTATTTAATGTACATTTACATTAAATTATACATATGTTATAAATACACATTTACTATGTATTCTATATTGATAATATAGACATATTTTATCTATGTGTAGCTATAGTTATTGTATGTATAAACATTTGTTTTTTCCCATCTTTCTCTCTATAGTTAGCAAACATTTGAGTTCACCACGGGCCTGACAGTAACCTTGTGTTTCAGAAGAACCACCTGCCTTTAAAAACTCTAATTGAATAGCTATTTAATGGGTGTATGTTAATAGCTTCAGTTTTGCAAGATGAAAAAATTCTAGAAATTGGGTGCACAACCACGTGAATATAATTAACACTGCTGAACTGTACACTAACAAATGGTTACAATGGTTAATTTTGTTAGGTGTTTCTTACCACAATTGAAAATTTTTTTTATATTTAAAAGCCGGAAACACACACACAATCAAATAAATTGCCCAAACTGCTTGTTCACATGGATTCTTTCCCGCTTTGTCCCCAACTTCAGAGGCATTGCTGCTGCCTACCGATCTCCACTCGGCCTTCACGTCCCATCTCAGAAAACGAGGGATGCCCGGTTTAAACGTTCCCGTACACAGCGCACACTTCCTGTGGATCGAGGTCACCCCTCAGCAGCGCCTCCCGGATGCAAGGAGCAAACACGGGTTCACGTCCTGATAGCTGAGAAAATGACTGGCAGTGACTGAAACAACAGCATCCCACACACAACACACACATCAGGATGTTTAAAGTATATTTATGGTGACTGAGCTGTCACCTGAACACGTGACGTACACGCGATGCTCTGAGGAAGGAAACCGTCTAGGAACCAAGAGTCACGGAGCTGCCTCCCGCGACCGCCTTCCTCAATCACTACAATGAAAACACGCAGTGAGCTGAGCTGCAGTGAAGACAAATGACTCTCAGTGCTTCGTTTTAGCATATTCTAAAAATGCAATTTACAATTCAGCAATATCCTTTCTTTTTATGTAGTCACTACAACACAAACATGCCTCTTTGTTATCTCGAACTACATCTGCATGCAAAACACGCTCTGGCTGGGAAAATGTAAGTTCTGGGGAATCGAAACCCATTTTTCAAATCTGAAAGAGATGGAGAAATGAAAAGAAACGAAAAGGAGAGGAGAAAGGTACATTTTATTCACATGCAAAAAAATGTAAATGAAAGCTGGTTTCATTTCCTCACCCCCAAGCTGGTAAATGATGTATGTAACTTGTCCCAAGAGTTTTCAAAATTACTATTTAAGTTCTATGACTGTACAGTGGAACAAAATCCATACTGGGCAAATGCGGTGCCATTTACTTCTAATGCTAAATAAATGCTCATGTTCTGGACTTAATGACAAGAGAGCTTCTCACCCTAGGTACCAATGACATTTGCGACGGACAATTCATTGTCCCATGTGCTGTAGAATGTTCAGTGGCAACCCTGGCTTCAAACTACTACAGGCCAGTACCACGCCCCCAGATGTGACAACCAAAACTGTCTCCAGACACTGACAAATGTCCCCTGGGGGAGGAGGGTGCAAAACCTCCTAGGCGAGAGATCCCCTAAAATAGACTCAAGCCAGAGTGACTGAAGTCACCGCCCCCCAGTTCCACGTCACACACACACACTCCATCAGCTGAGACTGCTCACTGGGCTTTGGAAGCCAGGGCAACACAGTCCCAGTTGCTCAGGCCCCCAAAGCCAACAGTGATACAGATCACATACGGCTCCCTAGGGCCAAGGGCTCTGCTTCCCCAAGGGCTGGGATCTCCATATTCCTCAGCACAATCAGCGACAGCACAGACTCACACCAGCAGGAGCTGCCTTCCCAAGTTAGTCAGGACCTGCACCCACGTAACAGATTAAAATTAGGCACGCTAATTGTTAAACTGTCGCTGCAGAAGCTGGGAATACCATTTTTTTAAATGAATAGAATTAATGGATTCTTTATTTGCGTGCATTGGTGATACTCAGCCTGTCTTTTATTATCAAAGCAATCATAAAACGTCGCTTCTGCCACATATGCAAATTAAATCATTAGTATTTTTCCCAATTACAGCAACTGCTTATTTGTATTGCTGATCTATTCTACCAATTTAGTTCCTCTAATATTAATGATACTGGAAATGCTTTAATAAAACTCTCAGGCAATACAAGATACACATTTTCTACTTTGTGCCTTTCTGATCATGTAATGGGTAGGACCACCCAGAGTGACCCAGATGGGCCACGTCTCAGAGACTGAACCCCGGAGCCACAGTGCTCTGCCCTCTACATGGGCCCCCAAACAGGGCTTCCCTGACTCCTCCCCACAAAGGGGAGAAACAGCCCAGGGGTCCTGTGGGTGGGGCCAGGCCAGGAAAAGCCAGCCCACCGTGATGGGAGCTTTCTTTAACAGCTTACACTTTCTTTTTCTTTTTTTTTTTTTAGACGCAGTTTGGTTCTTGTTGCCCAGGCTGGAGTGCAATGTTGCGGTCCCGGCTCACTGCAACCTCAGCCATCCAGGTTCAAGCAATTCTCTTGCCTCAGCCTCCTGAGTAGCTGGAGTTACAGGCATGAGCCACCACGACTGGCTAACTTTTTTGTATTTTTTTTAGTAGAGATGGGGTTTCACCATGTTGACCAGGCTGGTCGTGAACTCCTGACCTCAGGTGATCCACCCACCTCGGCCTCCCAAAGTACTGGGATTACAGGCGTGAGCAACAGCTTACACTTTCTAACAACTCAAGTGAAGTGTTCATTTCACTGTGTAACTGCCCACGTTACAGGCATGGTTGGCTTAATACCCAGTGTTCTCCAACACGGTCTCACAGTCCAGTTCACGGATCTCACCCCGCTCACCCAAAGGCTCCCCTTGTCGAGGAAGATGTGCTTGTTTCCCGTGGCCACCCCTGACCCTGGCTCCAGCCCACAGGGGGAATCCTCCACCATGATGCCCCTCACAAGCAGGAGGCCCTGGCACTGCTCTGAGCCCTGCACCTTCCCGTAAAGTGCATAACCACTGAGCAGATCCTCGCTTGGAGGCTGGACAAACGTCAGTGTCTGTGAGTTCAGAATCTGAAAGAAGGATAAAGCTGCCTCTCGGGAGATGGAGCAGGGCTTGGAAACAGATCTGATGACATGTGGGCAGGCAGGGGCAGGGGTGGCAGAGGTCGGCTTCTTAAGCACTCAGCCGGAACAGGTGCCTCCTCAACTGGCTCCTCTGAGCGCCACAGAGAAACCCACGGCAAGCGCAGTCTGGGCCACAATGAAGCAACAAGGAAGCAGTTAGTTTTGCAAACCCAATACGCTCAAAGAGCGCCCGATCAATCCATTACCATTTATTCCCTCTCTGTACCTGGTGGGAGAAAGCGCGGCAACGACACCGCCTCAGCAGCTCTCACTCAAGGGCGTGGGGTGGGGGGCAGGGTAGAGCACTGCCTCGGGCCAGCTGATGGCCCCTCCCTCAACGATGGCCGGGGCAGGAATGGACAACAGAGACTGGAAAGTGAGAAAAATGATACAAAGTGGAAACAGGATGCAGACAGGATGAAGCTCATCCACACAGTCCCACAGAGTCCCCCAGACAGCATCAGCCCCGCCAACAAGGCCAGACAAGGACAGACGTGAGAGCCACTGGAGGGCAGGGCGGCTGGAAGAGCTGCCATCGCTGGCACCTGGGCACCGTGCGAGAGGCCTACTGACGTGAGTAACGAGGCGCAGTCCACTCTCGCCTCTAATGGGAAGCCACGAACAGCCCGGACACAGACAGAGAAGCAGCTCGTGGGCAACCCTCCATCGTGCTCTGCAAAGGCAGAAAACCCAGGGGGACCTGGCTGCACACCACATCGATGGGAAAGACACCCAGGCTAATATTAGGGGATGCCCAGATCCCAGGTCCTCTGTATCAGCTGTTCGTAATCTGGGATACCTGCGTGGGCTGAAAAGATCCATGATCTCCCTAAAGCCACATTCGAAATGACATATTTTAGTACCTCTCTCTATCATATGGAAATGTTTAATGAAAAAGAAAACTGAGGCTAGGCATGGTGGCTTACACCTGTAATCCCAGAACTTTAGGTGGCCTAGGTGGGAGGATCCCTTGAGACCAGGAGCTCAAGACCAGCCTGGACAACATAGTGAGACCCCTGTCTCTACAAAAAAAAAAAAAAAAAAAGCCAGATGTGGTGGTGCACGCCTGTAGTCCCAGCTACTCAGGAGGCTGAGGCAGGCAGATGGAGAGAGCCCAAGAGGTCAAGGCGGCAGTGAGCCATGATTGTCCCACTGCACTCCGGCCTGCACAACAGATCAAGGCTCTATCTCAGAAAAAGGCAAAGGAAACGGAAGAAAAGAAAGAGAAGGGAAAACTGCCCTGCATCCGAAGGAATGGGTCCTAGGCGGCAACAATGAGTCTGCTTTGTTTCAGTGGACATGGCCCCAGCACCATATACCCCACGGCTCTGTCCCCTGCTTCTGATCCCTAAAATGCCGATTTGTATTCAAACACATACAAAGATGACACTTTAACAATACAACAGCTTAAATAAAACTTCCAAATACATCAGCCCTCGGACCAAGCACCAGGAAGATGAGACACAGGCAGGACCTGAGGAGGGGCTCAGGGCTCCTCTCTGCACCCCACCGGGCCCAGAAACTGATGGGGAGGTGCACACCCAAGGGCTCCAGCGAGCCAGGATACAGGAGAACAGAACTGCGGACATTTTGTGCACAGGGACAGGGACAAGGCTTCCATGGAAGAGCCCTTCCCATCCCTTCCCTTCCATCTTGGCTCTCTCTCCTGAGAAGGGCACCTTGCTTCCCGGCCGCCTCCACAGGACTGGCACAATCGGAGGCCCATAGCCCCTGACTGCTTTGCGTGGAGGCCCTCTCCCCAGCATCCCCAGCACCTCAGCTGAAAGGTCTCCTCCAAGCCTCAGGAAGAAGCCTTGCCCTCAGCTTCCCTTAGCCAGAGGCGACACTCTTGGAGCTCAGTACATGGGGGCACACAGCGGGCTGGCTGCTCTCAGCAGGAGGAAGCACTGGCTGGCAGTGTCAGGAGGTTCCGGGGGCCTCCGGGTCACCTCCGAGGACTGAAGAAAAGGAGGCTCCTGGCCCACGACTCTGCCCAGCTCAGCAGCGGGGAAGCTCTGCCTCCACCCGGCTCCCTGTTGGTGGCCAGAGCGGGAAGGCAGAGCTAGAGCATGGAAATGAGTGGCCACAGGGGCCCCTGTTCCCTCTGAAGTCTCAGCCTCAAGCCCCCTGCCTGCCTGTGCCAGGAGCCCTTGCAGCTTCACGTGCACAGCACAGCCTACCAGTGGGCAAAGCCGGCCTGTGATAAGGAACACGCACACGCCTGTCCCTGATTCTACAGACGCCACCCCAGGAGCCCCAGAAGGACCATGTGATACAACAGGACACAGGGAGCCTGACTGCAGCCTCGTCCATTACTCACTACAACTCACAAAGGGGACAGGAGGCCAGGCAAGCCACGGTGAGTGCCGAGGAAGCCACGGAGGCTGTGATGACCCTTCCTGCCGGTACAGAATCAAAAAGAGGCCACTGGGCCCCGGAAAGCGGTCCAAGACAGTCTCCTACAGCTCTGCTCTGGGAGCCCCAAACAAGCCCCGGAGGCAAGGTAAACAGAGGCCCAGGGACAGGAAAGCTCAGGTGTGCCCTAAACAAGGGCTAAACAATGTGGCCAGACCCAAGGATGAGGGAGAAGGAATCTGGGTCGGGGAGGCTGGGCCAAACCCTGGAAGACCCGGCAGGCAAGGCAGAGGGGCCTGCGTTTTACTCTAGACAATGATGAGCCACAGGATGCCAGGACCAGGGCAGAGAAGGAAGGCTGAGAGTCGGAGCACAGGGAAGAGAGGCTGGGGCCTGTGTCTCGGAGGTTCAGAGCCACTGTCAGGTCCCAGTCCTGACTGTGCTGCTGGGGCTGGGGCGGCCGCACAGGGGGAGTCAAGGTCACAGACACTGAGACTCAAATGCTCAAACGGAATTAGAGGCATCCTCAGTTTCTGTACGAAAATGGGTGGCACTGGAGGGACGAGGAAAGACCAAAGAGAGATGGGTCACACCAGAGGCAGATGAGTGTGTCCCAACCACGGGAGGAACCACATGACAGAGGTTCAAAACCACCTTCCCAAGAGGAGCGTCAGCTGAGGGTGCAGGTCCTGGGGGCATCCCGGGGTGGCCGGCCAGGGGAGGGTGCGAGGCCTCTGGAGCCCACGGATGTTGGTGGGTAAGGCGTCCATGCAGAGGCATGCTTGGAGCACCACTGTGTGTTCCAGACAAGCCGCCAGACCACGTCTGGGCCTGAAATTTAACAATGTAATGCACTGTAAGGAAATCCCATGAGCACCGGCTTTAGGTGTAAGAGCTTGACTTTCATAAACAACGTAGTCACGACCTAGAGGAGCAAGAGCCACATCCCAGACACAGTACCGAGAACTTCTGCTCGTAACAAGGCTGGCCCTTGTCCAGAGACAGCCCAGTTCTAACAGTGAAAACACAGTGGTCTCCCTGGAGAGAAGAGAAGCTGGGTGAGAACTGTGCATGAGAGAGGATTTCGCCACCCTCACCACCATCAGATGTACCCATTTTAGAGAAACTCCACCCTTCCTCATTAGGTGGCAGCGATCAGAGGTGAGTGGCTGTTCTGGGTTCACCAGGAATCACGCCAGAGGAGCCAGACTGCACACGACTCCAGTGCGTGAGCACGTGTGTGCAGATGTCTGTCCGTGCGTCTATCTGTATGAGGGTGTGTGCGTGTCCGGGGAGCACGAGTGTGTGGGTGGGAATGCTTGCTGTGTGTGGCACGTGCACACGCACGTACATGTGTGTTGAGGAGGAAGAACACTCACTAGGGCTGCAGTCCTAGAACTTCAGTGGGAGCTAAAGACAGAGAAGAGGGGACTGCTCACAAGTGGCCTGGATGGGGTCACCCACTGAAGCAGCCGCGGGCCCACAAGCACCAGAATGGCTGCAGCAGGGGCTGGAGAGTGGCCAGAAGATCCCCCGGTGCACCCAGGCCAGGAGGCCACTTCCAGCCTCAGTCCCGCCGCTGCGTGCCTGGCCAGGACCACAGGGCCGGCCGCCACCAACGCAATGCCCAGGAGAGCCTCCCACCCCTTACTTTACAAAACCCCCCACCTTCGCCTGGAAGAAACCTCCTCTTAGAGGTGTGCAGGTTTGAGGTTCTCTGCCTCTCCCTCCAGCCTAGAGACAGGACGAGGCACAGCACTCTGTGACCAGAGAAAGCTCCAGCCTGTCTTCAGGCAGCATCTGTGCCAGCCTTGTGCCCCAGCTGACAGGGACAATACGCTTTATACCCAAAACAATTCAGCCAGGGCAGGGATACTGCAATTCTGATCGTGTGGAGAAGAAAACCGAGGCTTAGAGCGGTTGGGTCAATGGCACCAGAGCAGCTGGAACGTGGCTCCACCAAGATGCACCTGGGCCCTAAAAAGCCTAAAAAGCCGAGCTCCTCCTCACTCTACTTTCCAACAAGAGTGCGCCCCTGGAGGAGCCGCGCCTCCTGCCTGGGGCTCATGGTTCCACCACGCATTGCAATGGGCACTAAGGGGAGTGGAAGGCGTGGGCTCAGGAGCAGCAGCCAGCTCAGATCCACACCCCCACCCCACCGCTCTCGCTTGGGGCCGCAGTGGCCACAGGTATCAGACGGGAGGACGGGTATCCACGCCACAGGTGTGCAGGGACTAACGGACCACACGTCATAACATGGGGCCCAGCACACAGAAGACACCCACTGCAGAAACATGGCAGGACGCGGCTGGGCAGGTCCTCCCTGAAGCCGAGGGAGGCAGCGAGTTCATTCACCTCATAGCACCTGGGGTTGGGGAAAGGCTGGGCCATTGACCTCCTGTGTTACTTATCCTGACAACAGTTCTTCAAGGAGGAAACCCTGAAGTCTGCTTTGCAGATGGGTGGACCCGGATGAGGGAGGTGGCAAACTGACCACTGTGGCTCTCCGCTCGCTGGAGGGCCGCAAGCCTGGACTTTGAAGCTCATCCACCTAATCCCAAAGCACATTCCTTCTAACACACCACTTGCCCGCAGGGAGGCAGATGCGGTCAGTGCGGCTTCCAGGACTATCTGGGCCCGGGCCACGTTTGCATCGGCCTTCTCAGGCACCTGCCCACCTCTGCATGGGACAGATGAGCCAACATGGCTCAACCCTTCTCTGGAGCATCCTCAGATGACCAGCAGAGCCTTGGTCCTCTGGGTGACCTGGGTGCCTGGCCCCAGAGGGCAGCTGGACCGCACGGCTGGAAGGACCACCCTCTGGGCCCCCCTTTGGCAGCCATGGCCCTGATCCGTCCTCCACCATCCTGTGGGTTGGAGCCCCCACCCCGCCCCTTGGGGTCACTGGGCTGCAGCCGCAGGGACTCTGCCACACAGGCTCCTCCCTTCCTGGCCCCCACTCCCCACTCTAAGGGCCCCAGGCTTCTCTGCATCCAGCCAGTCATCAGCGGAGGGAGTGTGTGGAGGGATCTCCCTGCTGAGCTGCCATTACTTCTATCCACCTTTCCCACTGGCCATTTTGGCACACTTGGGCTCTGACTTCCAGGGCCCCGGGTTTTCCCAGGAAGCAGCAGAGACACAGGGAGGCCACTGTGTGTTAGTCTCCACTGCCAGAGAACCCTGCCGAGGGCTTCTCCCACAGGCCCTGGGAGCCCGCATTCTGCCTCTGGGATTGAGAGGTGAAGCCAGCTGGACTTCTGGGTCGGGTGGGGACTTGGAG
The DNA here is from genome assembly GCF_000001405.40 of Homo sapiens. Taxonomy (NCBI): domain Eukaryota; kingdom Metazoa; phylum Chordata; class Mammalia; order Primates; family Hominidae; genus Homo; species Homo sapiens. The sequence goes on from NC_000002.12 coordinate 239,389,061, forward strand.
AATTTTTCTGTCTAGCTAGAGGATTGTAAATGCACCAATCAGCACTCTGTAAAAATGCACCAATCAGCACTCTGTGTCTAGCTAAAGGATTGTAAATGCACCAATCAGCACTCTGTAAAATGGACCAATCAGTAGGACGTGGGTGGGGACAAATAACGGAATAATAGCTGGCCACCCCAGCCAGCAGCGGCAACCCATTTGGGTCCCCTTCCATGCTGTGGAAGCTTTGTTCTTTCGATCTCCACAATAAATCTTGCTGCTGTTCACTCTTTGGGTCCGCACTACCTTTAAGAGTTGTAACACTTGCCGCGAAGGTCCGCAGCTTCATTCTTGAAGTCAGCAAGACCACGAACCTGCTGGACAGAAGAAACCCCGGACACATCTGAAGGAACAAACTCCGGACACACCATCTTTAAGAGCTATAACACTCACCGCAAAGGTCTGCAGCTTCATTCTTGAAGTCAGTGGGACCAAGAACCCACTGGAAGGAACCAACTCCGGACACAGGATGGGGCCCACCCTGCCCTCCTAGAGGCCCGCTAAGGGATTCTGAGGCGAGGTCCGCAGAGCGTTCAGTGTGGCACCCATGCACACTGAGCCCACACCAAGACTATTCTGGAACTGCTGCTGGGATTCATGAGGCACGAGGAGCTAAATTCACTGAGGACGCTACTGGCGGCTTTCCTCCTCAGCATCTGTCCCCTTCCCCCTTCCTTCCTGACATCAGTGAATTCCATACCAGGGAGGCCAGTTCCCCAGCCGGCTTCTGGAAGAGGCATGTCCAGCACCCAGGCTGAGCCACTCGGTGCGCTCTGCACCCCGGTCACAGTGACTGGTTCAGAGTTCAATACGTGGCTGGAGCCAGACCGAAGGAGAGTGAATCCAAGACTTGCTAAGACAAAGATGCTGTCCTTCCTGATGGGTGTGAACCAGCCAGTGTATATAACCCTGGGAGCAGCGGGCAGGGCCTGTGTATCCCATGAAGCTGACTCTCCCCAGGTAGGGCAAAGAAACAAGCCCCAGATGACACTGTGGAGGAGCTGGATCAAACAGTGCCTGAATACTTCCTCCTCCGGCACTTTCTAGGAAAACAAGCCAAACAATTCCCTGAGGCCACAGTACCTAGCGAGATCCTATCTGATGGGGAGCTACCAGAAATACCTCCCTGCTCAATACCTCCCTCGAAGCCAGCCAGGTACAGTACCTCACGCTTGTAATCCCAGCACTTTGGTAAGCCGAGGTGGGCAGACTGTTTGAGCCCAGGAGTTTGAGACCAGCCATGGACAACATGGCGAAACCTCATCTCTACAAAATATACAAAAAATTAGCCAGCCATGGTGGCATGCGTCTTTGGTTCCAGCTAATCAGGCAGCTGAGGCAAGAGAACTGCTTAAGCTGGGAGATCAAGGTTGCAGTGAGTGGTGATTGTACTGTAGTGAGTGGTGATTGTACCAGTACACTCCAGCCTGGGCAACAAAGCAGGACTCTGTCTCAAAAGATATATATATATATTGGAAGCCACCCCCAAAAATCCCCTTAGAGTGCCTTTCCCACCCTCCACCTGTGGAGGAGCTGTGCCCACAGGGGCACCATGCGGCCGCAGCCCCAGCCCTGACCTCTCCCATCTCCCTGTCCTTCACTGCCCTCCAGAGCGGCACTACCCCTCACTTTGCTACCAGGAGCCGCCACATGCCTGGAGCCCCGAGCCTGGACCTGAGCACCCAGCCACGCAGCCTCCCTTGAGACACTGCAGCCACACCCGGTAGCCCTCTGACCAAGGCAGTGGGCAAAATGCACACAGTCCTTCAGGGTCCCTGCTCATGCAAATCAGAAGCAGTGAAGACGGGACAGAAAGAACCAAGGGGAGGGAAAGCGGGGCAGCCTGGATTTACGCACAGCCACAGTCTCAGGGCAGCTCCCTCTCCCAGCACACTGGGAAGCATGACAGACGGCAAAGCCGTGGCACAGTGTCCATCAGACCGCTCGAGTCATCCTCAGGGCCAGGGGCCTCGGCTCGGCCTCGATACGAATCACACTGTGGCCAAGGCGCAATCTGGACATGCCATAGCAGCTGAGCCACCATCACGAGCCGGGCTCTGCATACCGGGTAGGGACGCTGGCCCTTCAGGTCCCTAACAAGCGCAGCATGCCCTGGGGGCTGACAGTGTCCGTGGGAAGCATCACGGTGCTTCTGAGCTTTCAAGAGTCTAATCTCTGTAAACTATGACACAGTCCCTGCAAGGACAAAGGCAGACGAGAGCTTGTTCTCAAACTGTACTAAGGTCCTTCGGGGAGACGTCCACCACACCACGACCTGCTGCAGAGACACCCTGAGCAGGTGCAGGAGCTTCAGAAAGTCCTGCAGGTGCATCCAAGGCCCGGTCAGCAGCAGGCCCCGGGCAGGGGACATACCCTACTCCTCATTCCTCCCAAGACCTGCCAGCAGAGAGGGCTGTGTGTCCTCAGAGCCAGCGGGGGAGGAGGAAGAGGAAAGCTGAGTCTCTGCGGGAGAGACACTCACTCAGCAGATGACAAAGGACTCACTGAGGTGATGGGGTCATGACAGTGAAGCTGGGATCTCAACCGATGCTCACTCAACACCCCAGAGCCATGGAACACAGGACATCACTGCAAATCACTCTTGTCCACTGCAGGCACATTGGCAGTGTGACGAGCAGGAGAGAGCACATCCACCAATCAGACCCTTCACCCCACACCCACGAGAGCACCGAGGAACCAGGAGAAGGATACGTGAAACAAGAGAAGAGGCCCTCCGCAGCTCCCACGTGCCTCAGCTCTGGCCTCCGCTTAACCAGAAGAATTCTGAAAACAGAACTTCGTCAGAACGCAGCCCGCGTGTGCTGAAGCTGGCACGCTGACATGGAAAGACACTCTTCTTCAGGGAGGGACCGCGGGAAGCACTGCACATGGTTGGTTGTGAACTCCGAAGCCCAAAAGGTCAACATCCCCACCAGCTTGGGAGGTGAGTTGGATGCTCCCACACCAGGCCCCATCCTGCCCGGGCCACCATGCCGGGCAGGGGTGGGATGGCCCAGCCCGGCTGCTACCCTCGGATGGCAGCGGGCATGCACGTAACGGCTCTGCAGGTCAGCTGCTGCCCCAGCCAGCAACCGAGCTACGCTGGGCTGTGCTGCACACTCAGGGGCAAAGGAAAGCAAGCTGCTTCAGGGCAGGCACTCGAAAGGCGAGAAGACACAGGCACCCCAGTGACATCTCCTTTGATGCATCCTTCTGACCTGGAGAGCCAAGGGGCGGATTCCAACACAGAGCCCTTGAGCTGGCAAACAAGTGTTCTCCAAAGAATGGGGACTGTGACCACCTATGAGGATTTTTTCAGTGCAAAATCTGATGTAAATTTTATAGTAGAGGGGGTTTTAATATGCCAGAACCTCCCAATGGTTTTCTTTATGGCTCACTTTAAAGGTCCAAAAGGTCAGAGGGCCACCCACATCCTGCAAGCAAGGAGGCACAGTTGGCATCACTAATTAAGATACACCCCGCTTGTGTGGACCCACAGGCCATCTTCCCCTCCTTGTCCACAGCCCCCAGAGGTGGAATGGGGGTCAGCCTCCTTAGAACACTCTAACCCCTGAGCTTACGGGGCTCGGACATGAGTCCTGGGGGTGGGTAAGTCCTCAATAGCCAGCTGGGATTAGCCCCAGGCCACAGGGAGGACTGAGGCTCAGGGGCCCTTGGCCACGCTCTGCTGACCTGCTGGGGGCCCACTTTCTGCCACTTGACTTACATGGCACGGTGCCAGCCAGCAAGGCCCCTGCAGATGGGCCAGGCTGGGCTCAGCCTCAGACCCGGAATTCTGGTGTGTAAACCGGTGGCACTGGGGGTGCCAGCTCGGGTCCCCCAGCGGGTCCCCTCCAGCACGGTTTCTACACAGACTCCTGGCAGGCTTCAGTCCTGACAGCTACTCTACAGAATCCTGGACCTAGGCACAGAGGAAGCTCTCGCCAGCACTGCTAGAAGGAAGGAACCCCCTCCCTTCTGGATGCGGCCCGTCTCAGAGCCACAGGACTGGGACCCCCGGCGTGTGAGCCACCTTCTTCACCTTGCCCTTGTTTTGGAAGCTGCCCTTGCTTTTCATGCAGAAGTCCCCACAACAGCACCACCAAGCATGTGCCCCAAGGAGGGCCTAGCCGCGCCATGGACCACCTGGAGGCCTCCTTGGGATGCATCTGAATGGGCCTGCCTCCACAAAGTTAGAACAAGAGAGATCAGGTCCATCACCCAGCTGGAGCCAGGCACCAGTGCACAAAATAGAAAGAACAGAAGCAAACTCTCCATTAAATGCAAGAAGACTACACATACATGAAAACGCAAGGAAGTCCTTTGTGCAGACCACACCTCCACCCCACCCAGGCAGCCTGCCAGTTGGCCCGGCTCATCACTGGCTCACGCACTCTGGCCTCAGAGACCTCAGTCACCAGGCCACCATCTGGCCACAATGCCCTTTTCACAATGCAGCCCCGAAACTCTGGCTCTGGCTAAAAAGGACCACACCCCATTCCCACCCACCCAGCCTCCCCTTCCTCCTCCTCATCTGGGCCTGGCTCCTGCACCACGGCTCTCCCTACCAAGCAAGCCCTCCAGCCACAGCCCTGGTTCTCAGGATGGTGACCCGTGTGCACCTGCCTGTTTAGCTCCTTTTTCTCCTCTGTCCCTACCAACACCAAAGCCTCTTGTGGGCAGAGGCCAGTTTTCCTGATCAAGCCTGGGGTCATGGGGCTGGCCACTGCGTCTGGCACAGAGAATGTGTTCAACTGAGTCTCATCTCATGTAAAACCTAGTACTTGGGCTGGGGTGTAAAATGAGTATTTGCAAAATAATAACTAATCAATTAGAAATATTCAGGGAACATGGCCCCCAAGGACCACCCCCCCTCCACCCCCAACCCCACCACCAGGGAGGCCAGTGGAGATACCACAGAAACTTCTCTTCCTCAGTTTAAAAAAGAACCGCTCCAGCAAATAGCAACACATAAACCAGATGATGGGCCATTCCCAAGGGAAAATGCAATTCCATCACCGCTTGAACAATACTCCCACTTGGAATGCTGGTTCAGACTTTCAGGTCCTAAGAACTGATTTATTGTTTCAAGCTTAAACATCAATCCAGCAAAAGCACTTGACTCACACAGACGGAGTACTTCATAAACAACAGTAAACTCACAAAGCCCAACACTCACATTTTTAAACAGAGCAGACTCCAAAATGTTTATGTACACAAACATATTAATGTATCATATTAAAATTATGACGCTAAATAAGAAGTGATTAAATAATGTCATTAATTCTAATTTAAAACAAGCAGAGAAAAACTTCTTCATAAAAGCACCACTCGCCTCCTCACACGCCGGGGCCCTGGGCGAAGCGGCTGGAGAACAAGCTGCACACACCTGCCTTGGCCTTGGCACAACAGTCGCATTTGCCACTCGACAGCTGTGTTGAAGGCCCTTCTCCCTCCCATTCCTTTCTGCATCACAGAATTCCCTCCACTTGCATTTATGACATCTCCTTAGGAGCATGTAATCTCCAAAATCAGGACCAAGAAGTTCCCAGATGGGGGCAGGGGGTGTCAGGAAACAGGCAATTCCAGAGCACTGGCAAGAACCCCGCAGAGGGGCCAGGCCAGAGGTGGGGCCTCACCCCAGCTCTCCCACCCAAGGCCCGCATTGTGCCATTCACTGGGCTACCTACTCATCCATTCATTCATTCACTCATTCATTTTCTTTCATTCTTCGAGCACCTACACTGCCAAGCACAGGGTACAGAGCAGGCATGAGGCCCTCAGGGCCCCTCAATCCTACAGAGCCCCAGCTAGTAGAAAAGGTGGCATTAAACAACTAAGGTCACAATGAGCTCCTTCCTGAAATTGCACAATGGGATGCTGTTAGAAAGGAGGAAAAAAGCTATTAGGCTAAGTTTAACAGGGGATCAAAGGATGAGAGGATGAGCATGAACTGAGGGGCTGGAGAAGAGGAAGGTAAAGGGAGGCCATTCCAAGGAAGGGGAACAGTGTGTGCAAAGGCCCCGAGGTCAAAGGGGACTTAGAGAGAGCTAGAAAGTAAAGCAGGTGGCAGCTGAAACTCCACAAACACAGCAAGTGCTATCAGATGAGGCTGGTAAAACAGAGGCCAGGATCAGGCAGGCCTTCCAGGGCCCTGAGACCTTAGGATCCTAAGAATACAGGAAAGTCATGCCAGGGTTTCAAGCAAGGGAATGAGAGGTACAAACCTGCTTCTGGTGGAAACCTGGGAGACTGTTTGTAGGATGGGCTGTAGCAGAGCCCGCTCAGACCCCGAGGGTCAGTCCCCACCTTGAAGAGCTTACATGTGAGTTAGAAAAACAAATGCCCCTAAATTCTTCTATTGCAAAGCATATTTATCAACTTGCCAAGGACTTAAAGAGTACTTTTCTTTCCAATGAAGATATCTAAATGTTTTCAAATTACTACTGTAAAAAAGTAATACACGCTTACCAAAAGAATCTCTACAATACCACCATGTATAAAAGAAAAGTGTACCCCGTCTCCTCACCTCTGATGGTTACCTTAGAGACCCATGTACTTAAAACCAGGAGTGGCCCGGGGACTGCTCCAGACCCCGCCTTTCCCTCTTACACTGCACACTTCTGCCTGTCTACACATGGAGGATGCCACAGTGCAGAAATGCCAGCAGGTTTAACAAGTACTCCTTTTATAAATAATGCAGCCCCGACCTCCACACACGTCTGGATATCTACACACTTATCTTCTTTCCTTAGAATAGATTTCAAAATGTAGAACTGTGGGGACAAGGAGAATGGCATTTAAGATTTTGACACTTAAGACTTTTCTAGAGAGCAATTCGGTAATCACTATTTTATGTTTATACATTACATATATAAACTTTTTTGGGGGGGACAGCCCAGGGTCTCGCTGTGTCACTCAGGCTGAAGTGCAGTGGCAAAATCACACCTCACTGCAACCTTGACTTTCCAGGCTCACGTGATTCTCCTGCCACAGCCTCCCAAGTAATGGGGACTACAGGCACACGACGTCATGCCTGATTTTTTTTTTTTTTTTGTAGAGATGAGGGTCTCACTATGTTGCCCAGGCTGGTCTTGAACTCCTGGGCTCAAGTGATCCTCTCACCTTGGCCTCCCAAAGTTCTGGGATTACAGGCATAAGGTACCTCGCCCAGCCCTATTATATTTTATATAATAATACATATGGGTCTCTCCAGAGAGCAAATGATAATAAATAACAGCCAACATTTATATCATGCTTACTACATGCCAGGCCCTATTCAAGGAAATTTCCATACATTAACTTAAACTTTGCAAAAACCTTACAAAATAGAAATTATTATTATGACCAGCAACAGGTATCATCAAACTCGCCAATATGATAGGCATAAAGGGAATCTCCTTCACACTGAATTGATTAGTAATGCTAACCTTTCATCACTGGCACAATGATTCAATGTTCATACGTTCTGCTCATCTTGCAATGGTGATCTCATGCTCTCCTTATTGGTCTGTAAAAGCTCTTTATATATTGACTGTTAAGCTTACACAGGCATAATGTGGTATGTATTTTCTCTCTCGTCTCTTAGCCCGGCTGACGGAGTCTTTTGCCAAAGAGATTTTTTAAAAAACTCTTATCCTATTAAATCTGTCAAGATTTTCTTTAAGGTTTCTGGGTTGGTATTGAAAGAGTAGATTAACTTGGTCCTCAAATGCTTTCTTCCAATAAAATCTTCCAAGGTAATCAACAGACCGAACAACAAACACTAAAAGCTGCTCCGGCTGAAGTGGACTTGGAGCATTAGCTCCCTTCCGTCACCCCCACCTGCCTCCAGGCGTCCTGGGGACTTTGCAGGAGAAGAACATGATGTCTTCTAGTTCTGCAGTCCCACACGTGACATAAGACAGCATGAGAAAGCCAGAAGTACTGCCCAGACCTATGAAACGCGCCTGTAACAGCGCCAAGAACAGTCAACACAGCACTAGAAAGTCTAACGACACTGAACTAGAAAGGTATTCCAAATCGTCCTCTTCTCTAAGAGGCTGTGTTCGCCCAAGCACCTCGACAAGCTGAACTTCAGCTTCAAGGTCACCACCAGCCTAGAAGCAGAGGCACGGAGAGGAACTGGCCTTTGGGACTGGAGATGCAGGGGGTGGCACATGGTCCATTTCATTCTACCCCCAGTTCCTCCAGAGGTAGAGCCCACCTGCAGGACTGTGCTGACACCTACATGGTGAGTGCATGAAACAGCACGAGCCCCAAGCAGGTGCTCATCTGGCGTCAGCTACGGGAGCACGTGACAGCTGCTCGTGGCATCATCTCCTTGCTCCAGGATACATCCTCATCCCCCGACAGTGATACAGGAAGTCACGGTGGGGGCAATCTATGCAGGACCCCGACCTTCCTTCCAGGAAGTGAGTAGGAGGTGTGTCAGCAAGGCCACAGCAAGGGGACATGTAGGACCCTGACCCTCCTTCTAGGAAGTGAGTAGGAGGTTTGTCAGTGAGGCTGCAGCAAGGGGACATGGCCATTTAATGCTGCAGGCACCATGGCCCTCATGCCACCCCAAAACAGGTCCCACTCTTCCCACGCACAGAAGCCCAAGAGAAGAAAACTGACCGTATGAAGAGAACTTACTGACCTTAGTGACACTTGTTCCCACAGAAACGCTTATGAATGAGTTAAGGTCTGTTCAAAGGTAGCATCACTTTTGACATGGCACCCCTCATCTGACCTGAACCAGAAGGTGCAGTACCCGCCTCTAACGTCAAGGCCAAAAACCCAGAGCCCACCACACGGCAGGGCATATGCTGACCACCTGAAATCAAAACAAACACTCCCTCCAAATCCATCCTTTCCGACTCCTTACCCCAGGACAGACTGGGGGCTGCCAACAACAGGGCAGGGGCTCAGTCTCGGTTCCACAGCCCCAAGCTTAGGTGGAGACTGGGCCCCTTCGCCCTTCAGTTCCCCCATCCCCAGCTAGTCATCAATTCTGAGCCTCGGAGGAAAGCCCGGCCACAGCCTGTCGCCCCGCTGCCTCTCAGCAACGGCAGTTCTCTCGGCCTCTGCGGCTCCTTCGCGCCCTACATCAGGTATTAATATATTACTCATGGCAGCTTCTGAGCTATGAAAGCCCAGCCGTTTTCAATAGAGAATGGTATGGATGAATTCTACAGGAGTGATGAAATGTTTCTTCTGCTCCGGCAATTAAGACAGCATAAAGTCGCCTTTCCTTTGGTGCCACCCCCAACATTAAAGGATTGGAATTCAAAGCCATTCATGCTGCATTGAAACCTCACAATGAAGCTGGAGAATGGAAGTCGATTACTGGGCATAAATATGCAGTAGTTAAAAGGAAAGAGTTATAACAAAATTAAACTGCAGCAACCCCACAATGTGTGGAAACTTCCAGCACTAGAGTCCTCCTGGTAAACATCCATAGGGCATTCTTCTCAACGAGGTCTCTGGCCACAGAGTCCAGATGGGCTGCCTGAGCCGCACGTGGCCAGCGTGCCAGGTTGTCCTGTCCATCTTGCTACAGCAACAGCCCCCAAGGCCTCCGAGAATATGGCATTTGGGGATTTTTATTTTGCATGGCTAGGAAGCTGCTGAACACAGAACATTCTCTCTGGTGCAGGGCTCCGAGGCCACATCTGTCCTTCGTCCCTAGGCCTTCCAGGCCCATATGCAGTCCAGTCATCTTCCCTCCACCCCGTCCCCTTAGCCCAGGGCTCCCCCGGGGGCATGCCTGCTGCCAGCTCCCCTTGCAGGAGAAAGAACCCTAAAGAGGGCAGCGTTACATCTGCCTGCTGAGTACAGCCGGCTTCTTTTCTAATTGATTACTGCTCTCTTTAGGATGGGATTTGATCTCTAAAATAAAAGCCCAGAACACAGAAAGCTATAGAAGTCTTACAATGTGTTGGGGTGTGTGTTTTTAAGGCATGAAAATACTTCCCTCCCACACAAATGTGAGTTCTTCTGGGGAAAGATGCCACAGATCCCAGAGAGTAGAATATCTGGGAAAGCCCGATCAGTCTTAAAAATAGGTAATTGAACACAGATTTTAGAATTCACAAGAGCTACCTGAAAAAAAATTAAATTTCACATATTTTTGATATCCAAAACTCCATTCTGATGAAACTTCTAACTCGGTGGCATTTTGCATTTCCAATTATAATAGAGTAATTGTGTTGCCATAGTTACTGCAAAATTCTGCAATAACTTTTGTTGCTTTGTAACTGCTGTAGTGTATATTTGTGTACAAGCAGCTGAGTTTTCTTAATTCGATCTCCCTCCCTTCCACCCTCCCTCTCCCCAGCCACCACCACCACCTTTCCTGGCTAGGTCCTGAAACCACCACACCAGCCTTCTTTGGACAGTCCCGAAAATAATGCACAGAATTATCAGAAGCAATTAAAACTCCAGGCAACCACGATCATATTACAAAAGAAAAAGTGAAACCAGGTCAAGGTGCAAACCTGCCAGTATCCCCCCAGTCCTGCTGGGCTGGCGCTGGGCCAGGACTGTTTACAGGCTTACTCCCAGGCCTTAACTGCTTCGGTGATTTGTGGGAATAAACAGAAAAGCCTGAACAGAGAAAAACGGGGCGGCAAAGTGACTGCACAGGCCCTTTCCTCCCTCACGGAGAGCAAGCAGAACTGCTCTCAGCAAGCAATTAGGTAGGTCTCTACAGTCATGCAATTAGGATTTAGTGAAGAAAGTCATTAGTTTTAAAATAACTTAAGTTTAATTTCTGCAACGCTTTATTTGAAAACTGTGTCACAGCAGGTCAATTTACAACATGCAATAAAGAAAACACTCATATCAGCTGCCTCAAGTTATTACAAATTTTTGATGTGCATTAAATGAGTACACTGGGTTCCACCCCCGGCCTTTCCAACTGATACGCACGGTCTCCTCCTATAACAGTGTCAAATAATTCAACGCTCAATGTAAATACGAGATAATTTGCTTATGATTCCGTGGTGTGTTTTCGCAACGCCGGCAAACGCGGATCCCACCCCCGAGCGGGACCGGGCCCCGTCTCGGCCTGCTGGCGCCCTGCGGGCTGAGCCGAGCGGGTCCCGGGCAGCCCCCCGCCCTCCCGCGACCCCCCGGGCGCTCGCAGCGGCGACGACAAGCGCGGGGCCGCGGACCCCCGGCAGGGACGTTTTTCTGCAAACTCACAGCATTTGACAAAGTTACATAAACGGCGCCCGGCCGGCCCCGGCGCCCGCCCGCCCCCGCCCTCACTCCCGGCGGCCCGGAGCCCACCTGCTCGGGGGGCGCGGGCCCCGCACCGGGAGACGGCGCCGCTGCCTGCCGTGCCCACCCCCGCGCCCCCGCCCCGGCGGGCGAAGCCGCCTCGCGGCGCGGGTGGAAAGGTCCAGAAGGGGCCGGGCGGCCCTGGGGACCGGCGGGTCCCACGGCGCGCGGCCAGCGCTGGCCCCCGCCTCCCACGGCCGCGCGCGGGGCGGGTGTGGACCGGCGGCGTCCACCTGCCGCGGGCTCCAAGGCCTGCAGGCTGCGCGGGGCGCGGGGCGGGCGGCGGACAATGGCCCGCGGGCGCCGGGCCGGGGCTGCGCTTACCGCGGCGGGCGGCGGCGGCCGGCTCTAGCCCTGCTCCGGCGCTCCGCGCCGCATCTCCTCAGCCTGCGCCGCCACCCGCCGGCGCGCGGGCTCGGGCTCGGGCGGCGACAGCCGGGACGCGGCCACGGCGCCGCCGGGGGCCCAGGCTGGGAGGCTGTTCGGGCGGCGGCGGCGGCGGCGCGGGCGGGTGCGCGGGCTCGGGCTCGGGCTCGGGCGGCGGCGGGGACGGTGCTCCGCGGCGGCGGCCCCACAACCTCCCCTCCTCATTCACAAAAAATTGACCCACGTTGAACCATGATGCTTCTCCCCACTCCAGCGTCGAGCCAGGCGGCGATAGGCCACCCCGCACGCCCGTCAGCCGGCCCGGCCCCGCCCAGCCAGCCGGCGGCTCGCCAACCATTGGCTGCGGCAGCCTTGCGTCACCTCCCCTTGCGGGCCCCGCCCTCCCGCCTGGTTTCTAATGAAGAGCTCGTCAATTACGGCTCGGCCCCGCCTCCCGCCCGCCCGCCCCGGGCGCCTGGCCGGCCTTCCATTGGCCCGCTGAAACCTGCGCACAGCCCGTCTGCTCCCACCCCTCGCCCAGCGGCTGCTCAACCGCGGGGCCGGATGCCCTATGAGCGGCAGAGAGGCTCCACCCCTGCCCGCCTCCCCGCACGCGTCCTGGACCTCATTGGCTGCTGGAGCTGCCAATTCTAGAGGGTGGGGCGTACCAAAAGACGCTCCAGGCGCCAGCCGCTGGGTGCTTCGCGGTTGAGGAGGCGCAGGGACCGGGGGCCAGTAGTGGCCGTAAACACGGGCCCCGGCCGTGTCCGGTCGCACTCGGTAGCCCGCATGGCTGCCTAGCGGTCAGCACCGCATGTCTGCGAGCCTAATTCGCGCTTAGAGGGCACACAATGGGGTGCAGGCTAACGCGGGGAGCCGGCCAGGCCTCGCCGCGGCGTCCATCTTGGATACTGGCAGTGGGTCACGTGGTGCTGCGTGCGCACGGAGGCGCAGGGCGGCCCGGTCACTGAGTGCGCAGGCGCCGTGGGCCTCGCCCTGCCCCGCGGCGGGAACGCGGCCGTGAGGGTGTGGGGTGTAGGTCCGCCAGGCCTGCAACGGCTGCCGAGGGTCGTGGGATGCGCTCGCCGCGTCCCTGCTCAGGCGGAGGGAGCCCGGCCCGCCGCCAGGGTCTCGAGTCCGGGTCCAGGCAGGCGTGGAGGTGGCGGGAACGGCGCACCGCCCGGGTGGGCGTTGTTTTAAGGCCGCAGGGCTTGGGAGGCTTGTGTTGAGTTACAGGTCGGCCCGTAGATCCCCGGAAGCGCCTTTGGTTGCCAGCAGGTGTCGGCGAGGGTCTTCAGTGGCCACCCTCCTGGTGGTGATGTTTCCGTTTCTTTCCAACAGGAGTATGACAACTTTTCAACTTGAGTGCACACACTGTCCCCGGAATCCCGCGTTCCAGGGAGGAAGCGCCTTTGACAGCGCGCGCCGGTTCGTGGGGCCCGACGGCGTGGGCCTGTGGTTGCGGACCTGGCGGAGATGCGCGTTCGCTTCGATTGTAGGCCATTCCTTTTAGGAGCTGAGAAAGGATCCGTTTTTACAGCATTCTCGACCTGTGATTCTTGGTGGGGGAAACTAGTTATGTGGATAAAAATACAGTTAGCAAAATAAAAATGCCAATTTTACATTTCCTTAAATATCTCATTAATAATTAGAAAACTTTGGTCATTGCAAGAAATGCTTAGGCTAAACTTAGAAGGAAAGGAATGGTGAATTAGAGAACTTTAAAACAAGATACAGCTGAAGAAAAGGAGAGCAATTACGGGGTTTTGGAGACTTGGCTGCTGATGGAAACGGTGCACTATCTAATTTTCATGTAGAATGAAACAGGGTCTGTAGCTAGCTAACATCTAGATAAGATTCAGTATCATTTGACAGGATTCTCAAAAACATACAATCACGAGAAAATATTAAAACCTGCCTGTAAGTCTACCAAAGTTAGTTTTTCACGTACAAAGAGAAGTGCCTGCGCAAAAAGTCACGTGAAACGAGCTCTGGGATCTAATGCTTGCAGAGGTAATTTTTAAAAAGTAGATTTCCATTAGAAGGAATGGGTAGCCCCATTGCTGCGTGCCATTTAGTCCTCACAGGAGTCCTGAGAGGCACTCCAGCAGAGTGAGGCACCACGCAGACGTTGGGTGGATGGTGCAAGAACCTCACTCGCCATGTCTGGAAAAGAGAAACTTGGCCTGGGTGGCTGTGTCTGCCATTATGTGTCAGAGGGGCTGTCTGAAGGAGACCGGTGCACAGCCAGTGCAGAGCAATTCAGTACGATAGTGTGCAGTGAAAGCAAACACGCTATCCTGTGAGCTGTGTATAAGGAGAAAGGTGGGGTGACAACCCCAATGCCTGGGAGCATTCGCGCTTGGGACTTCACATACAGGTATTTGACAGAGTCAAATGAATCACACTCAAAGGAATCTCCGTGTTCTCACAGTTGAAAGAAACCAGCATCAAAGACTCAAATTTTAAAATCTAGGGTTGGTGGATCCAATAAATTGGTAGAACTCCTAGACTGGCTACGATCGGCAAGCTGGCCAATTATAAAATATACAAATAACAGTAACTTTCAGATAACTGACAACATTCAATCGGTAATTAAATAATTGTTGCATATTCAGTATGTGGTGAGCTTTGTGCTAAGCACTTACATATGTGTTAGAAAATATGAAACATTCTCAATTAGCAAAAACATTTTAAGTACCTAAATGTAACAGTAAGTTCCAACAGAACTTCCTGGGAATTGTGAAAATCGTTAAATAGTTCATCTGGAAGAATAAAGATTTGAGAGCAGTCAAAAAGAAGAGTAATGAAGGAGAAACTGTGCTTCCAGAAAATAAAAACATGTTATCTGGGCTCCGAAATGAAAACAACGTGATATTGGCCCAGATCAATGCAAAATAATAGAAAGTAAAGGAATGGCCCCAAGCAAATGTACTGACTCCAGGCTGATACCCAGCCGATATGTGTATGATCAGTGTGCTCCAGCTGTTCTTAATGGGCAGCTTTGCAGGCTGGTCAGTGCCTGTGCCTCACCAACTATTGACTAGTTTTAATACCACCCCTGTAGGGATTTAAAGTATAATGAAAGTGGCTTTTCAAATCAGTGAGAAAGCAATATGGTAGGGTACCTGCTAATCATTTGAAGAGAAGATATTAAAGTTGAAATCTTTACTCATCAAATGGAGTAAAGACTTCAGTTTTAAAAAAAGTACTAAGGAAAAACTCTGGACATCTCTATAGGGTTGTGGAATATAAAGAATATTGTCAACAGTCATAAAGGGAAATAATTGAGAATTTAGCTATGTTGTAATTAAAATTTAGTGTATAATCAGTGGGAAAATGGATAAACCCCAACTGCAAAATACAAGGGAATATTACTCAGCAATAAAAAAGAATGAACTGTTATAGACGGTTGAACGTCAAGAACATCATAAAAGATGTCAGATACAAAAGGGTTTACACTGTATGACTGTTAATATGAAATTCAGCCAAATATGGGGTAGAGATCAGAACAGTTCTCTCCAGATTGGGGGCCTACAGAGGGTGGACTGGGAAGGACACGAGAACCTTCCCGGGCAATGGAGATAATACACTTTCTGTCTGGGGTGTAGATCGCATAGGGGTACGTACCGATCAAAACTCGTTGAATTTAAGAGCTGTGCCTTTCTCAGGAAGATTTTAATTCAGAAGAAAAAAAAATTGTTGAAGGCAGTGGCTGCCCCAGTTTGGAGGGGAAGGGGGGACTTCTGGTGCTTCAGAACACAATAAAATTAAGACAAGTGAGTGGGGAAAGCGTTTGCGTGGGATTCGTAGAGGCTGATCTTCACAGGCAGGAGGGTTTTCAGAGCGGAGCAGCCCATACATAAAGCAGGCAGGGACAAGGAGAGGCAAAGACAAAAGAAGAAACGCCCATAAACATGACAGGATGTTCTCTAATAAAAGAAGTGCAATGCTTTGTTTGATAAAAGCAAATGTGTGGAAATAAACGCTATTATACAGCAACTGAGTGTCAACTGATAGAAACTTTCAGACAGCTACTTAACCACACTCATAAATAAAACCTGCAAAATTTGCACCTTCTTTCACCTAGTGATTGCAATTTTAGAACCTCATTCAAAGAGACAAACATGGATGCTGATAAACATTTAGCTAAAAGGTCCACAGAAACAATGGTTGGTTGGGATGAATATGTATGCATATATCACCAAAAATAAGGGGTTTTATATCAGGGAAAGAAATTCACTTTATAGTTTCAAGGGAAAAGAAAGACAAGAAGACCTCATTACAATGTGATGTAATTTTTACAAATGAAAGCATTTATAGACACAAAAACAATGAGGAAAAATGTGTCCTCTTCTAAGTGGAAAATGAGAGATTCTTGTTTTCTTTTGCTCACTTGTTTTCTTAATTCTTCAGTGAACATGTTTTTCTTTTGTAAAAAAATAATTATTTAAAAAAATTCAAGAAGGACATGAAGTTCACTAAGGAGACAGCAAGGTCTGAGAGACTCTGTCAAGCGGGCACGAGCCGGGGGCTGTAGGACAGATGTGGGAGGTGCAGCCTGGGCTGCAGTGGAGGGAGCAGGGGTGGGGTAGTTCAGGGCTCTTCTCACAGCCCTAAAACTTTCTTTTTTTTATTATTATTATACTTTAAGTTCAAGGATACATGTGCACAATGTGCAGGTTTGTTACATACGTATACATGTGCCATGTTGGTGTGCTGCACCCGTTAACTCGTCATTTACATTAGATATGTAATGCTGTCCCTCCCTCCTCTCCCCACCCCACGACAGGCCCCGATGTGTGATGTTCCCCAGCCTGTGTCCACGTGTTCTCATTGCTCAATTCCACCCTATGAGTGGTACGCACTATTCACAATAGCAAAGACTTGGAACCAACCCGAATGTCCATCAATGATAGACTGGATTATGAAAACGTGGCATCGATACACCATGGAATACTATGCAACCATAAAAAAGGATGAGTTCATGCCTTTGTAGGGACATGGATGAAGCTGGAAACCATCATTCTGAGCAAACTATCACAAGGACAGAAAATTACAGCCCTAAGACTTTCAACTCTTCCATATCTTTCAGCGGACCCTCTGCCCTCCAACACTTTAACCCAAGACCTGCTCCAGATAGGGATGACACAACCAGCTCATTGAAATAAGTAGCAAGAGACCAACAAAACAGCTGGTGATGGACGCTCCCCTGGGTCCCCTTGCCCAGCTTTCAGCCTTGGGTGACTGATTCAATGGAAGTGAACTTGACCAAGCAGACCCAGTCAAAAGCTACCAAAGTTGGCTTGAGATTTTTGCTTTAGTTTATGTTTTTTGAGGTAAAATATTGGGGTCATTAGCATGTAAGGAGGAGCTGAAGTCACTACAGGGGGTGAGGCCAGGTAGGGAGTGGCTAGAAATGGCAGGAGCAGTGGAGTCCAGGAAGAGAAGAGAGAAGAGGCCGAGAGCTGAGAGGCTGGAGGCTGGGGGACTGGGAAAAAGTCCTCCGGATGAGGCCTTTGCTGTTCAGGGAAGTAAGTTTGCACGTGATTGCTATCTGAGGAATTTAAGTGCCAACTACCTTAGCTCAGGTCCAAAAGCAGAGCCTGATACAAGGACACAGGTGCAGCAGGGGTTTGGGAGGAGGCCCCAGGAGGCAGGAGTGACAGACCTGGGGGCTGGAGATGGGACAGGAAAGGAAGGACAGCCAGTCCTGGGCTGTGATGTGCAGTTGGCCAGACTGTTCATCTCTGAGAAGGAGGAGGAAGCATTTTTCGATCAGCTTCCAAACACCAGTGGTCAAGTGCTGCCCCACAGGGGTTAAGTAAGGCCCCCCATGCTTCCAGGCTGGGCAAGCAGGAGTTCTGAGAGAGCCCCCCAAACACCCCACTCTGAGCATCAGAGAATCTCTGGGAAATGAGACAAGAGAGGCACCACAGGCCAAGGGGAGGAGACACCAGGGCGCATCTGCGGGGCCCAGGGAGCACTGGCCATGGAAGCGTGGCTGAGATGAGAGGGAGCTCCAGCTGCTAGAAGGGGTGCTGAGGCGAGGCCAGAGGCCAGGTCTCCTGCTGTTCCAGGAGGTGCTACGGACCCTGGAAGGCTCAGAGGCATCGGCTGGGTAGCTACCACGGTCACCAAGCAAACATGAAGTGAGGAGCGTCTGAGGAGCTGGTGGGGGAGACCCAAGGCAAAAAGTTTCATGTGCGGCTCCTCCACTTCCCGCAGGCAGCATCCCCATAAGTCCATCCTAAGTGGAAAATGCTTCGAATACACCGAAACTGCCAAGCGTCATGGCTCAGCCTCGCCTGCCTCCAGTGGGTTCAGAACACATGCATTAGCCTACAGTGGGACAAAATCATCTTACACAAGCCTGTTTTATAATAAAGGGTTGAGCACCTCACGTCACTCATTGAACACTGTAAATTAGGTCAAAACTGCAACAGGCCAAGTCAGACCCTCCTGAGTCGGGACTGTCTGTATTTTCCTCTTAGTACGGGAGACCGGGGTAGGTCTGTGGCCAGGGCGGAGGCGTGGGGGAAGTGCCCCTGAGAGAGTCCCAGGGAGGAATGTGGAGGATGCCGTGGGAGTGCCAGGCCCGTCCCGAGCGTGTGTGGCACGTGGCAAGTGTCAGGCAGAGGCTCACACATCTCGTGTCTAAATACTATAAATAAAAGGGCAAATTCAGCCAATAGACTGTGACAAGGAAAGTGCCCATCCTCCTCCTGCCACACTCATCCCGCTGTAACTGTCTGGAATTTAAAATCCTCAGGGGCCTCAAGATTCTGCCTCAGAGGGAGCTGCAGTCAGCCTCTGCCTTGTTCCTTTCTCCTTTTGCCACTGGCCTTGTCTTGCACTTCAAGGAGCCTGTCTCCCATGCCCAGCCTGATTCAAGCTCTACCCACACTCCCAGACAGCCACCCCTTGGCCTCCCTGCAGACCTGAGTGTGGCAGCCCCGTGCCACAGTCTGCCTTTGGGCCATGGATCTCAGAATAGGCCCGTGCCTGTTTGGAAATGGCTTCGGGTCATCTGGATGTGGAATCCTGGGCCCCTGTCACCTGGAGCATGGGTCCCCGAGCAACACCCACGATGGTCGGTCGCAGCGACTTCTCAGCTAGAGAGAAAGATACCCTGGAGGGGCCAGATAGCCTGCTTCAATAGCACGGGTCCTGGAACAGGAGGCCAGGTCAGGACCCTTGTGCTCAGGTCTCAGACGGGCTCTGAAAACCCCAAGCAGGAAGATCCTCAAACAGTAGGGGGCCTCTGAAAGAAAGGGGAGGGGGTGAGAATGGGCAGAGATGAGTCTACAGGTGAGGGCAGGAGGCTGAGGATGGCAGCCTTATGTTTATAATAGACATGGTCCTGAGCTGAGACCCAGGAGTAAAGACAGGGTGATGACAACAATAATCAACACGTGATGTGCTTGCTATGAGCCAGGTGCTGTGGGAGTGGCATTGGCAGGGTATTGAAGAGAGAGCTGAGCAGGCTATTAGAAAGCATTGCTAGCCAGGTGCTGTGGCTCACGCCTGTAATCCCAGCACTTTGGGAGGCCGAGGTGGGCGGATCACGAGGTCAGGAGATCAAGACCATCCTGGCTAACACGGTGAAACCCTGTCTCTACTAAAAATACAAAAAATTAGCCAGGCATGGTGGTGGGTGCCTGTAGTCCCAGCTACTTGGGAGACTGAGGCAGAAGAATGGTGTGAACCCGAGAGGCGGAGCTTGTACTGAGCCGAGATCGCGCCACTGCACTCTATCCTGGGCGACAGAGCGAGACTCGGTCTCAAAAAAAAGCATTGCTGAGTGGTGCTGAGGGCCCACCCAGTCAAATGCAGGGTTTGTAATGGCACCAGGGTCATTTATCTTTTCTGGTAGCACTGAGAAGGCCAGCTGCAAAATTCTTGTATTGTTGGATAGATGCAAGGTTGGTGGTAGGGCTGAAGGACAAAGGAGCAAAGCCCTAGGGGTACTAGCTATGGTGGTGGGCATGACTCACTGTGAGGTCCAGGCCGCAGAGGACAGGAAGGGCAAAAGGGCAGAGTTGGATGAGAAAAGGGCAGGGGTAAGGACCTGGAGGTTCCAGTGAGCTCAGTGCCCGGGCTGAGTAGCTGTAGCCCAGAGACTTGTGGAAAGACATTATTATTTTCAGCTTAAGATTTCAGTGGTAGGGGAGAGGGCAAAGCTCAGGATCCTGGCAAGGGGGCTGACTCGCTTACCTGGAAACATTCTCATTACAAAGGACCTAGGAGTGCTGCCTAAAAGGCTGCGTTTTGAAGAACACATGGCTGAGTATATACAAGCAAGTAAGGGAACTCCGTAAAGACGAGAAATCTCCTAAACTGATGCCTTAGGAAAAAGCCCTTCCTGATACCTCTAACTCAGGGGCTGAGGCGTTTGAATTCTAGATCCTTAGTGAAAGGACAGACTAGAAAAAAATCTGGCCAGTGGAACACAGAGACAATGAGGAAGAGCATCTGTTTCCACCTTGGTTCTGGGTGGGGAAAAGGCTTCTTGCAAATTTGTAGCAGGGCCTACCCTCACTTGGGTTTGATACATGCTACCCGCGCAATCCAGGAACTCTCAGGCCCCAAAAGTAACATGAAAAGTAGTCCAGGTGTAGGATACTCTCAGAACTTCTGGCAGAAGCAAACAGTGGCAATGAGGGTAACACCCTCAACCTAGGTTACACGGGATTCCCAGGAATAGAGCCTCACGCAAAATGACCTCACGACCGAAAATGACAGGATGTAAAGGTTTTATATAAATATGTAAAATGTTATGTAAGTTTATAAAACCCAAAGGAAACAATTCACCATGAGCAAGAGTCAGCAGATGAAGAACAGGATGATGCCTCCAGCCAAGGCAATGGGATTATAAGAGAGCTTAAAAATAAATGTTAGAAATTGCTAAAGGCATCAAGGAAGTTACATTGACTATGAACCGAAGAATAAGACACTAAGAAAAAGAAGAGTGGAATTTTTCAAGGAACCAAGTAAAACATCTGGATATGAGAAATGTAGTCATTAAAATTAAAAATTCGGTGGGGAAAATAAAAAGCATCTTAGAAAACCTTGTTAGCAACTTGTCAAATGGACCCAAGGAATTTATCCAAATGCAGACCCCAGGATAAAAGATATGGAAGCGTCTCTTTTTTACTAGGAGAGTGGTGGCCATGTGGGTGCTTGGGACAGATCTCCATTACCTGGAAGTGTGGCCTGCGAATGGCTTACAGCTGTGTCATGCTCCAGAGAGCTGTCGTTGGTCAAAGGGGAGTCACCTCACCTGGAAATGCTTGGGAGGTTACCTGTCTCCGCTCCCAGATGGCCAGTGTCTGACCCCCAGGGATAGGAAGCCCAGATCCCTGTACAGCAAGTCATGCTCCTGAGCTCCCCATGGGCTCAGGCTGAGCCTTGGCTGGCTTGAGCCTAAATCACGACCTTTCCTAACTTCCCCCCACGCCTGCTGTGCACTGTCCTTCCTCTGGCCCTACTCCCTGCCCTGCCATCCTCCCTTCACTTCCTGGCAGGGTACCCCCTGCGAGTCATCCTCGAGAAAGCATTTGTACAGCAGCCCTCACCTCACCCTCAGCCTCTTGGGTATCTGATCTAGAACAGGGCATTGCAGGAGGAGAGAATGGAGGAGGAGCAAGATAATGGCTGAGAAGTTCTTAGCATTACGGAAGGAGGGGGATCCTCAGGCTCAGGAAGTCCTGCGAGCCCTGAGGATGGTAAGTAACATAATGATACACTGGACCTATGGTAGCAACACTGCCCAATGCCAATGCAAAGAAAGCTTTCCTAAAAGCGCCACAAAGAAACGGCAGGTGGCCTCCTGAGGAATGATCATTGGACTGATGGCAGACTATTTGTTTTTTGGGTTTTGTTTTTTTTTGTTTGTTTGTTTGTTTTCTGAGACATAATCTCACTCTGGCACCCAGGCTGAAGTACAATGGCCTAATCATGGCTCACTGCAGCCTTGAACTCTTGGGCTTAAGTGATCCTCCCACTTCATCACCCTCCCAAATAGCTGGGACTATAGGCACACACCACCGTGCTTGGCTAATTTTTTAATTCTTAGTTTTAGCAGCTTCTGCAGTTGGAGAGCAAACTGTGCTGAAAATCAGGCCCAAGCTTGGATTACAAAGTGATAGAGGCTGAGTTCATACTCCAGCAAGCTTCTGGTGTTAAAGTCAAGGGTAGGGTCCTTGGTGGGGAAAGAGTGGGATCCTAGATGTAGGAGAGGAACATTTCAGAGGATGCGTGTGAGGTCTTGGAACCTCCAGACTCTCCTACGGGCCCCAGGCCAGCACGAGTGGCCTTCCCCATGCCAGAGCAGAGACTCGCTCAGCACCTATAGGGTTTGCAAAGCCTTGGCTCAGGCAGTTCCTCCCAAGGTGAGGAGCCACCTTCCCTACCTTCCCTCATTGCTTCTAGGGTGACTGTCAGCTCCTCCCTGGATCAGGCAGGAGGCTTACAGCCCCAGCTACAGGAAAAAAGGGATTATTTAACAGAAACTTGGGAGCTAATGAATATAACATGGGCAGGAACAGGAGCATAGATCCCGAGGGTGCCGATGGGAGCAGCACAGACCCAAGAGAGAGAAGACGTAGTCACGTAGGTCCCCCTCTGTGACTCAGGATTTCACACCCCAGTAAGGACATGGAGGACTGGAACTGATGGGTTGCCAGAATGTTCCTTGAAGCATGGAGACAATGGCCAACAGTGGTGGAGGGGAGCCGCCAGGCCTGCCTTGGGGGTCAGTAAGGAAGGGGTCAGGAAGTCCAAGAGGTGGGCGCACTGAGAGAGATTGATCACATGAAGTTCCCACAAGGAACACAGGACTCTCTCTGCATTCAGGTGGCAAGAAAAGAACTTTTAGAAGAGGTGTGAGCATCATTGAGAAAGCTGGAGGTGTCTGTCTTCAGTAGGACAGGGCAGAAGAGGGAGGGCCTTGATGAACCTGAGTCCTCGCGTGTTCTTGGGAGTGGCAGGATCCTGAATAGCAGGGGCAGTGGCAGTTCACCATCTGGGGCAAGGTGCACGTAATTTCCATGACGGGCAGCAAGCCAGGACAGCAGATAAGGTGCTCAATTCACAGGTGTTGGTGGTGATGCCAACAGACCAGGGAGGTCCTGGGGGGCCGAGAGACAGCAGCCAATGGGGGGCACTACTTTCTAACATAGAATCAATAAAGGCTAGAGGTGGGTGGACAGAGGCTGGTGTCAGCTGCCACAAGGAAAATCACAACCCCTCACCCAATGGCCAGACCTGAGTCAGTTCTCAGCCACCAGTCCAGCGATGGAGGTCCTGAGGCACCACAGCCAGTTAATAGACTAGCTCTTTTCCCTGTGCTTCCCCACAGGACCTCCAGCCATTCAGAGCAACTGCCCCCTGTGGAGCAGGGAAGATCCAGGCCTCGGGAGAACTGCTGCATACAGGATTGAGCTGACACTGAAATCAGAGGTGCCCCTACAATCCTTGTTTGAGAAGGGCACACACAGTGCAGATGGTACCTGGGTCTTGCTGTGTGAGTTATCTATGGCTGCATAACGAACTCAACAGCTTAAAATAACCCTCATGAATGATTTCTTTTGTGTCCGTGGGCCAGGAGTCTGGGTCCTCTGTGCAGTCTCACCAGGCTGAAATCAAGGCGTCGGTCAGGACTGAGTTTTCATCTGAGGTTCGGGGTCCTCTTCCGAGTTCACTCGTGATGGTAGAATTCGATTCCTTGTGGTTGCAGGACTGAAGTTCCTGCTTTCTTGCTGGTTGTCAGCCAGGGCCTGTTCTGAGCTCTTACGGGCCACTTGCAATTCTTTGCCACCTGTCCCCTCCACGACCAAGCAGTCTGCTTCTGCCTGGCCAGGAGGAGGCTCCCTCCAGCTCAGCATCCCTCTGATGTCTTTTGAGTTCACCTGATTAGTTCAGTGTCACCCAGGACAATCTCCCTTTGACTGTCTCAAAGCCCACTGATTAGGGATGTTAATGACACCTGCAGAATCCTTTCTGACCTACAATGTAATGAAGGGTTGCAGACCATGCCACCCCAAAATACGTCACTTTGGTAAAGGATCATTTCGAGCTAAAGGCACCTTAAAACAGCAGACACAGGAAGGGTGCTCTGACCTCTCCATTGATTCCTGAAAACAGGAGATAAAACCTGTGTGAAAGATGCCCTCCCTGTCCCAGCAGAAAAAGAAATGTTCTTCAGTGGGAGTCAGAGCTGAGAAAATGCTGTACAAATGGATCTTGTTAAAATAATTCTTATCTTCTTTTGGCATCCCACATAATTTAGTTACTTTCCTGCAATTGCCTCTCTTTGCTCGAGCAGGTATAGAAACATTGTGGTTTTGCCGGTTCTTTCTGTTCATTTCCTAATGAGGTTTCCTGTGTTACATAAAATTTAGATTAAATAAATCGGTATGCTTTTCTGCTGTTAATCTGTCTTATGCCAAGTGAATTCTCAGGCCTATCTGGGAACCCTAAGAGGTAGAAGTAGAGTGTTGCCTCTCCTATGGTTGCATAATTGCGGGAGGGATATCCCATCATATTTGCAAATCCTGCCATCCGTCACTATGCGCCAGAATCTTGGTGCCCTCGAAGAATTCTCCTTCCCACACCACGTCTGTCACAGTGGGTCTAAGGGATTTGCAGACCTCCCTGTGCTCACTTCTCCAGCCCTTGACTATATGTGGTACTGATTCACTGGTATATGTTAATATTTGTTTTGTGACCTGATGTGTGGTCATAGCCGGTGTTTGTCAATGTTTCATGTATGCCTGAAAAGAACGTGTTTCCTAATTTAGGAGTGCAAAATTATTATTATTATTATTATTTTTCGAGACAGAGTCTCACTCTTTCACCCAGGCTGGAGTGCAGTGGCACAATCTCTGCTCACTGCAACCTCCGCTTCCTGGGTTCAAGAGATTCTCCTGACTCAGCCTCCCAAGTAGTTGGGACTACAGGCACACATCACCACGCACAGCTAATTTTTGTAACTTTTAGTAGAGACAAGATTTCACCATGTTGGCCAGGCTGTTATCAAACTCCTGACCTCGCGTGATCCGCCTGCCTCGGCCTCCCAAAGTGCTGGGATTACAGGCATGAGCCACCACATCCGGCCAAAATTATTTTGATATATAAACATTAGTTTAAGCTTAGGATGGATGTATTTAGTAGATTGCAGAGCCTCTTCACCTCTTGGGCAACAGGTATCATGATAGGAAAGGCCCAGTGTAAGCCCTTGAATTGGCCTCCCTGCTCTCTGGAGCCCTGCCCTGGCCAAGACAGTAAATTAGTTGCAAGAAAATGGAGTGCAAAGACATTGTGTGAGTAAATCTAAGCAGGCATGAGCTATAGCATACATGATATAAGATAAGGTGATGGGTGGTGTCTGGCATACAATAATATAGCTTATAAGGCATGAGGGGACGTTGGAGTTGAAGCTCTCTGCATTCCTAGTGTTGGTAGGAAGTATACATTTGTATTTTGTTAAGCAAAAAATGTTTGTTCAAATTTTTAAAGAAAACACTAAACCACTTGAAATAAAATATATAACTTCCAAAGCAGCAGAGGGGACAGAAAAAAAGAAAGGAGAAAAAGAGGTGGGAAGATCAATCAATCCAAATGGGGGAAAACAAAAGAGGCATAGAAAGAGTAGGGTAAAACCAAAAGTGAAACTGGGAAATATGTCCAAATATATCAGTATTCACAATGAATGTAAATGGACTAAATTTGCCAGTTAAAGACAGACTGCCAGGTTGGGCTTAAAAATAAAAGCCATCTCCCTATTTTTTTTTTTTTTTACAAGCGATAGCATGAAACATGAAAATTCTGCAAAGCTAATAGTCTGAGCGGGGCAAAAAAAAAATGATGTTCTTAGCCAACACAAATCACAAGAAGTATCTGTTGTTATAATGTCAGTCAAAATTGACCCAGAGGAAAGAAAACATTTTTGGAGATAAAGGTGGCCACTGCATAAGGGTAAGAGGGACAATTCACCAGGAAGATAAATCAATTTAAACTTTTTGCATTTAGTGATTTAGCCCCAAAATAATATAAAGAAAAAATTTTAAAAATTCTAAGGAGAAATTTATAAATCCATAATATTGTAGAATACTACTCATTTGATAACTGATATATACAAGATTTGAATTAATTAACATGGTTATACTAATGTCCCCATATCAAAAGAATCCTACACTCCTAAATGAGGAAGCACATTTTTTTTTCAGGCATTCATGGAACATATAAACACTGGCTAAGGCTACACACTAGGCCAGAAGGCCAATCTCAACACATTTCAAAGAATTGATATCATACAGAATATATTCTCTTACCAAACTGTGATAGGGCTAGAAATCAATGGCAAAAAGATGACATCAAGAGAATCTATAGGCAAACTATTTGAACTGATAGGGAAGCTCAGGAAGTTTTCCAGACATAAGATCCATACATCAAAATTCATCGTATTTCTATACACAGAAACACTTAGAATTCTAAAGACACCATTTACAGTGCAAAAACTTCATGCTGCCTAGGGATAGACCTAACAAAACTTGTAAAAGATATTCGTGGAAACAGTTGTGAAACTTACTGAAATATATTTTAAACGGAACCAAATAACTGATGGTATACACCAAATTTCATCAATTCTGAAACATGCATTTTTTCACATTTTTAACATCTCAGAAATCAAATATGTCTTAAAATTAACTGTGTCATAGTTTCGTGTCGTAGATCAATTGGCAGCACTTTCTGTTTCCTCATAGCACATAAAATAATGGTGCATCTTCTACTTGATGGCATCTCGGATTCAATTAAATGAATACCATATCCATGGATGGAAAAGCTGAAAATTGTAAAAAATGATGATTCTCTTCAATGCATTTTAAAACCTCAATGCAATTTTTGGCAAATCACTTCTGAAAATCATTAAATAGCAAAGAGCTGAGAATAGGCAAGGCAATTTTGATAAATAACACAGTGGTGGAGGGGAGGTGTTTTACCCAAATGTCAAGATCTATTCTAAGCTTTAGGAATTGTGCCACATGGCCTTGGCACAGGAATAGACAAATACAGCGGCATAACAGAACAGGGTCCAGGCAGCAGCACATGTATGTATGGAAACTTGATCTATGACAGAGATTGCATTACGGAGCAGAGGAGAAAGACGACTAAATCATTGATACTTGGACAATGGGTTCTCCATATTAAACAAAAGAAAAATAAAATTACATTTCACATCAAACACATAAACTTGGCAGAAAAATAGTCTATATACGAAAAAGTAAAACTTCAGAGTCTTAGAAGGAAATGGGGTAGGAATAGTTTTATGTCCCATGAAAAGATTTCTTTCATAGCACACAGAAGCCAGAAGCCATGAAGGAAAATATTAATAAATTTGACATCACTGTTCAATATCATTAGCCATTGGGGAAATGCAAATTCAAACCACAATGCGCTGCCACTTCACATCTATCTGCTGGGCTGAAAGAAAACACAGTGGAGACTATGAGGCTGATGGGGATGCAGAACAACTGCAACTCTCACGTCTGGCTGATGGGAATGCAAAGTGGTGCAGCCAATGCAAAAAAAAGGCGTCTTGTTGCGTTGCAGTTTTTTCCCATTGGTAAACATCCACCTACCATATATATGATCCAGTGATATGGTTTGGCTGTGTCCCCACCCAAATCTCATCTTGAATTATACCGCCCACAATTTCCATGTGTTGTGGGAGGGACCCATGGGAGGTAATTGAATCATGGGGGTGGATCTTTCCCATGCTGTTTTTGTGATAGTGAGTAAGTGTCATGAGATCTGATGGTTTTGTTTTTTTGTTTTTTGGTGTTTTTTTCCGTATATGTGTGTGTGACAGAGTTTTGCTCTTGTTGCCCAGGCTGGAGTGCAATGGCACGATCTTGGCTCACCACAACTTCTGCCTCCTGGGTTCAAGCGATTCTCTCAGCCTCCTGAGTAGCTAGGATTACAGGCATGCGCCACCATGCCCAGGTAATTTTGCATTTTTAGTAGAGATGGGGTTTCTCCATGTTGGTCAGGCTGGTCTCAAACTCCCAACCTCAGGTGATCTGCCCACCTCGGCCTCCCAAAGTTTTGGGATTACAGGCATGAGCCACCACACCCGGCCGACCTGATGGTTTTATAAAGGGGAGTTTCCCTGCACAAGCGCCCTTCTTTTGTCTGCTGCCATGTAACACATGCCTTTCACCTTCCGAGATGATTGTGAGGCCTCCCCAGCCACATGCAACTGTGAGTCCATTAAACCTCTTTTTCCTTATAAATTACCCAGTCTTGGATAGGACTAATACACCCAGCAATCCTGTTCCTCAGTATTTACCCTAGAGAAATGAAAACATGTGCTCCACAAAAATCTATATGAAAATGTCTATCATAGTTTTATTCATAATAGCCACAAACTGGAAACAACCCTAAGGTCTTTCAGTGACTGAGTGGATAAACGGAGTGGTCCATCCATGCAACGGAACACTACACAACAAAGAGGAATAAACGATTTTGGATACATATGATAACAAGCACGGACACATGTGGTCATTAACTCTTCTACTTCTCTCTAAGCTTGGAATATTTAACATTGGTATCCAAAATAAAATACACACATACATACATAATAAATGTGGAGGACAGTTCCAAGATCAGAATCTTTCTCTTTCAAGATTGTGTTAGTATTCAAACAGCCAGTGGTTTACCCAGTGCCCACCTTCCACAGTGGTCAAGCAACTCTGACGCCTCCTCTCTTTTCCACTGATGAACTTTCTCACCTCACACAGTTCGTGACCCTCAACAAATTATGTCGAAAGGACAACTTCACTTCTGTGATCTGGAAAAGACAAAAATTCTATGTTATTTCTTTTTTTCTTCTTTTTTTTTTTTTTTTTTTTTTTGAGACAGAGTCTCGCTCTGTCACCCAGCCTGGAGTGCAGGGGTGCAATATCGGTTCACTGCAATTCTCCTGCCTCAGCCTCCCAAGTAGCTGGAATTACAGGCGTGCACCACTACACCTGGCTAATTTTTGTATTTTTGGTAGAGACGGGGTTTCACCATGTTGGCCAGGCTGATCTTGAACTCCTGACCTCGCGTGATCCACCCGCCTTGGTCTCCCAAAGTGCTGGGATTACAGGCGTGAGCCACGGCGCCCGGCCAAATTCTATGTTATTTCTTAATCGTGTTTAGAAGCATTGCCAGTTGCACAATTGAAACTCATAAAATTTCCTTGGGTATCAGTCTTAAGAATTAAATTCTGTGGAGACTATTGAAGTCAATTATTTTTGCATGAAAATCAAATTACATTTTTCACTAACAAGTAGTTTCTAGGACACAAAAGAAATTCCAAACTGTCATAATGAAAATTGGAATAAATGTGTATAAGGGTGGGCAAATAGTTAACGTTACTTTTCAAGTGCACACGATGCTCTAAATTCATTTTGTTGAGGAAGAAGGCACTTAATATGAGAAATCATGTTTCATCAGGATTTCACTTTTAAGTGGAAATATTATTTGTTATTCCTTGACTTTTTTTTAGCGTTAGATGATTAAAAGCCCCGCATGATCATAATTTAAACATCTGAGCAGTGACTGTGTGTGCGGGCACTGAGGCAAGCCCACGGCAACCCTTGCAAGCCCCCTGAGAGGCAGGTGCTCCTGGTATCACATCGTACAAGCACAAGAAGACTTGGGGAAATAAGAAAGAACTTGTATCTATCTTCAATTCACTGCGGAAGCCCTTGCACTTAGCATGCTGCCCAGCAAGTAGTGGGCATTTAGTGAGTAGCTGCTGGGTGAATTATTCCAGGAACATCTATGTAGAGCAGAGCTAGAGAGTCTGGACCCAGGTCTAGCTGAGCCAAAAGTGTGTGCTTTTAATTAGTACCATAAATTTTGTTATTCCTTTCTTTAGTCCCAACCCCCATTGGACATTTCCCTTCTAAAATGGTTTAGTAGGATAGGACTAATTAAATAATTACTAGATAGGACTAATTTAATAACTCCTTTAATAAAATGAAAACCACTCTCTGCTCTGTAACACCAAAGGTAAGAACCATTGAGAAACAGTTTCCATACCTTGTTGTGCAAGACTTTGAATCTGTCCTTGGGAGAGTCACGTTGAGTGTTTAGCACTGGAGGTGTTTCATTATACAAGACATCCTCTACCCCAAAACCCCAGGGCTTAGTTCCCAAAACCAGTGCTGAACTCTCCTAACTACACAGGGTACTTCAAAGCAACCCATGCAATTACTATATAAACACAATAATAGGGCATCTGTTTTTTAATTTTAATTTTATTTTTTCCCACTAAAATATTCAAGCGAGAAACATTTGGAGATTTATATTCAGGGCACAAGACCAAATGGCATCTGAAGCATTTCTTTGTTAAATATAATTAATTTTTCTTGGCTTTTTTCCCCCATCATGACAAAGCTGGATCTGTACCATTCATCCTGTTTATAGGTGACTCTTTTCCTTCCCCAAAGATTCTCTGCAATAACCACAGAGATGCTGGAGGGGAGATGGTAATTCTGTTTCCTTTCTTGTCCTCCTATGGCCAAATAGGAACCAGGCACTTTGAGTTACTTTAATTTTTTAAAACAAGCAAACAAACAACGCTCAACTGGGCTTTCATTGTGTGTAAAGAAAGTGGCCGAGCTCATTCTATTTCACTTAGAATGGGCACGGAGAAGCATACCAGCTGCTGAGGAAAGGGTGGGTGGCCGATATGGGTGTATAGGGGAGACAAAGAAAATATTGCGTCTTTCTTTTCCCTGTTTTTTTTTCTAGAAAAAGAAAGACTTCTTTGTTATACACACACACACACACACACACACGCACGCACCCCTCAATTAGAATCTGAAGAACTGAAGAAAGCGAGACTACATAGCAAATGTTATTTTTCCAATAAGAGATATATGTGATCTGGCCCCTGGGTGTTGGTTTTAAGTGGAGATATTGACTTCTGGCTGACTGATGAGTGGAACATCTTTCTCCTGAAATATTGATAGTAGATTACACAAAACCACAAACTATCTCCATAAAGCATATCATTTCGAATCCTAATGGTGTTTTCTTTCCTCGGGATGACTGCTACATTCATGATATGATGGCTTTATTCTATCTTGGGGAAAAACTTTTTACCATACTGCTAAATTAACTTGTCAAAAGGCTTCAAACTTCGGAAGCTTTTACAGCTCAATTCAGTGCTATTATTCAAGATTGAATGGGAAGGTCATGGACTGTAAAAGCTTGCAAGAAATAAATTTCACAGGCTTTCCTAGACGGAGTGAAATACTTACCTTTTGTTCAGGTTGTATATCTTTATTGAAGACTCTGAGAATAGCTGCATTTTGCCTATAAATCCTCTCTGTTACCCTGAAAGACTGTGTTTTTGTCCGTTGCTCTTGAAGGTCCTACCCAGTGTGTGCCATGTTGATAATAACTCGTTCCTACAGAGCACAGTCGGGATGGGAGCGCTCTCCAAAACGCGGGGGCAGAGGAGAAGACAAAGGCTCCTGCTCCCAGAAGGAACCTTGGTGTTTTTGAATTCTTTTCTTCTCGAAACAGATTCACAAAGGATTTGATAGCTAATTACTGCTTATAAATGCAAGCCAACTGTCATGGCGCTTTACGAGGTTCTATCTGTAGATCTGAGAGGAAGGAAAACAAAGATGTGGCTGGATTAATGTCAGCGCTCGAACTGCGAATGGGCCATTTGGAAAGTCAGGGAGGTGCAAATGTCCAACATGAAGTCAAGTCTCAGCACCAGCCTCCTGAGAATGCCGGGATGACGGGGGGTTGGGTCAATGACACATACGTGACTTGATTCGCTGGGAGGAAACACTGCGTTGGTGAGAGGGGAACTGGTGGCCCTGTGCAGATGCAGCCCAAGGCTCTCACCGGGCAAAGCCCCCACCTGTGCACCTGGCACTGGAAGAATCCAGCACCGGTCTGGGAAGACATTTGATAGGATTTGCCTCTCCCTTCTGTAGGTAATTTCTGTTTTCACAGAATTATTTCTTAAATAAATGCCCTTGGTAGATGCTGGTGTTTCTTAGCCTTCTGAGGAGGTTAGTCATGCTGGCTAGGCTGCCCTGTGGTCTTGTGGATGAAGGTTTTGAAGATCTCTCCTCAATCAATAAGAACTTATTTCAGGCCAGGCACAGTGGCTCTCACCTGTAATCCCAGCACTTTTGGAGGCAGAGGCGGCAGGATGGTGTTAGCCCAGGAGTTTGAGACCAGCCTGAGCAAGATGGCATCTCTAAAAAATAAAAACATTAGCCAAGTGCAGTGGCACATGCCTGTGGTCTCAGCTACTCAGGAGGCTGAGGCAGGAGGACCGCCTGAGCCCAGGAGGCAAAGGCTGCAGTGAGACATGTTTGCGCTACTGAACTCCAGCCCAGCCTGGGTGATGCAGCAAGATCCTGTCTCAAAAAAAAAAAAAAAAAAAGAAGAAGAAAGAAAAGAAAAAAGAAAAAAACAGGCTGGGCCTGGTGATTCATGCCTATAATCCCAGAACTTTGGGAGGCCAAGGTGGCGGATCACCTGAGGTCAGGAGTTCGAGACCAGCCTGACGAATATAGTGAAACCCCGTCTTTACTAAAAATAAAAATAAAAATAAATTAGCCAGCCATGGTGGCAGGTGCCTGTAGTCCCAGCTACTCGGGAGGCTGAGGCAGGAGAATGGCATGAACATGGGAGGCAGAGCTCGCAGTGAGCCGAGATCGCACCACTGCACTCCAGCCTGGGCAACAGAGTGAGACTCCGTCTCAAAAAATAAATAAATAAATAAATACAAAAATTAGCCAGGCTTGGTGGCGGGTGGGTGCCTGTAGTCCCAGCTACTCGGGAGGCTGAGACAGGAGAATCGCTTGAACCCGGGAGGTGGAGGTTGCAGTGAGCTGAGATCACACCACTGCACTCCAGCCTGGGCAACAGAGCAAGACTCCGTCTCAAAAAAACAAAAAAAAAAAAACAAAAAAAACAAAAACAAAACTTATTTCAGCATTTTCCAAACTCAAGATGCTCAAGATAATTAAAAAACACTTAGATTTTGTGTGCCCATGCCCCACAGAGTTGACAAGATTGTTGGGAAGGCACAGTATGTAAATATACCACCCATCTCTATGCTCCTCATGTATACAGGCAGGTTTAAAGGCCTTGTGTCTCACAAAGCCTTCTGTATTCCCCAACCCTAAGAAATCTTTTTTCTCGAACTTCTTTGGGAACATAACCTTCTTCTCTCGCAACACCCCACAGCTCCCATCTCATGGAAGGGGTAGTTGCATGCATATGTTATTTCCCCCTCAGATTGAAAACATCTGTGGTTTGGATGATGTCTTAGTCTCTCTCCCCAACACCCATCCCAGTAGTTCACACACTTAATAAACCTCTCGGGGTGGGGCCCAGGAATGAATATTTTTAAAAGCCCCTTGAGGTGCCTAATGGACAGTGAAGATTGCAAACAGCTGTGCCGGGTGACCAGGAAATAAGGAACTCCCTCTGGGTTTCTATGACTTGCCAGGGGAGGCTCACCAAGGGATGAAGGTTGGAGCTAGGTTATAGGGGGCAGGTGTGGCTGAAACACGGGCCCAGGCAGCGGTGCATTCAAGGTCTGGGAGGACGTGGGAAGTACAGGGCTGGCACAGAGGCTGGTGTCTGGGCGCATGACCTAGGCTGCCTCCGTTGCAAACAGAACTGGAATCTTGCTCCAGGGAGGGTGTCGGGCTACCCAGCAGCCAAGGTGACCTGGAAGCCCAGTGGTCTTGAGCAATTCAGATCTTCAGGATTCCAGCCTGGGCAGCACTTCTGATTCTCTGTGCCCCTCATGGCCACTCCACAGGGCTCCTGCTCCCACTTAGATGGAGTTTTGGGGCTGGGGCTTCAGATCTGGTCTCCTGCTTTATCTCTTAATGCCAACCTAACTTGGATGGACCAGTTAAGAGGGAGGATAGGGAGAAGATTGCTGAATTTTTCAAGGAGGACGGTTACCCTGAAATGGATAAGCTGGAAAATCTTCTCACGGATGCTCTATTACTGCTTCATTAAGAGTCTCATCTTTTGCTCTGAGCGGCTTAAGTGAAGCAGGAGGAGCAGGAAGGGGACTTACACTCACAGGAGCATCTGCTCTTTGCCGGGCTCCATGCTTGGCATTTCACTCATGGCTCATATTGATTCTTTGCCACAACCCTAAGTATCTCCCTGATTCCTGTTTTCCAAGAGGAAAGTTGACCACTCAGAGACTCTGGGCAGCTCCCCAAACTCACATGACCAGGAAGTGGCAGGTCAGGGGGATCTTCGATCTGTCCACATAGGGCTTTCCCCATGCACAAAGCCACCTTCTGTGGTTGCCAGGGATGGAAAACGTGGCCCTGGGGGTGTAACGCTGAATCTGACCAGGTAGACTCTGCACCCAGCCCAAAGAGCAGAGGAAAATGCAGACTCTTAACAAAGTCAGAGATTCATTGTTTGTATTAACAATGGATTTTGTTGGCCGGGCGCGGTGGCTCACGCCTGTAATCTCAGCACTTTGGGAGGCCGAGGTGGGCGGATCACGAGGTCAGGAGATTGAGACCATACTGGCTATCATGGTTAAACCCCATCTCTACTAAAAATACAAAAAATTAGCTGGGTGTGGTGACGGGTGCCTGTAATCCCAGCTACTTGGGCGGCTGAGGCAGGAGAATGGCATGAACCCAGGAGGCGGAGCTTGCAGTGAGCCAAGATTGTGCCATTGCACTCCAGCCTGGGCGACAGAGCAAGACTCCATCTCGAAAAAAAAAAAAAAAAAAAACAATGGATTTTATTTGCCAGAGATGCTTTTCAATATTGAAGTTTTTTTTTTTTTTTTTTTTTTTCCAGTAGAGGTTTTCTGGCGAACTACTCAAAATATAATTGGGAAGTTAGAAATGTGATTTTTGCCAAGCTATCTTTACTGCACACACAAATAGATGAACTCGATGGACAACTTGAGTTTTATCCACGGTGACTGCATCTGTTGCATTGGCCTTCATGCTGTCAGTCTCAGGCAACAAGAACATGAGCAATGCAGGAACCAAGCAAAGCAGAAAAAAGTCATCCATGAAAAATGCTCTTAGGATTTTGAGAAGCGTGTCACTCTTGAAAATAACAAACACAGAATGTAAGTCAAGAAAAAGGAGAGAGGAAAATATTCTGAAACAGGTAGAGAGGGTCAGTATGAGTGTGTCTAGAGATGTACACACCAATGACAACTGTTATACAAATGTGCAATGGATCGAGTCTTTGCGTCCCTCCAGAATGTGTATGTTGAAATCCTAACCCCCAAGATAATGGTCTTAGGAGGTGGGGTCTTTGGGGATCAGGCCACGGGATGGAGCTGTCACAAATGGGATTAGCACCCTTATGAAAGGGACCCCAGTGAGCTCTCTTGCCCCACAAGGGTGCCGTCTGTGAACTGGGAAGCAGCCCTCACCAGGCACTGCATCTGCCAGCAACTGAATCTAGGACTTTCCAGCCCCCAGAACTATGACACATAAATGTGTGTTGCTTAAGCTCCCCAGTCTGTGGTGCCTTGCCATGGCAGCCTGTGCAGACTGAGACAGGCTGGATGTATGCTGTGGAAAAAATGGAAGCTGGGTTCCCAGTTTAATTGGTACCTGGTACCTGGTACCCCTGCTAAACCTAGGCCCCTGTGCTGGTGAGATGAGCTCTCCACATGAGGGTGGGGCGGCCCTGCCAGTCTTGGCCTGCTTGGGTCCTCAGCATCCCTGAGGGCTCGGCCCCACTGCCAGCTCCCCTGGAGACCCTCCCTGGCCCTTGCTTTTCTCTGTGACAGCCCCTGCTGGTTTCCACCTGAGGACTCACCAAAGCACCTTGGCTGCAGCCACCTGTGCTTCCACTATGGTCTGGCCCCAGCTGCGAGGGAGCTCCAGAGAGGAAGCATCTTCCCTGAACCTCCAGGGGTGGCCTCATGAGGGCATGGAATCAGAACTAGAGCAGCTCAGAGGCTCAGCACCCCTCCGAGGTGGGCCAGAGGGCTCCGTACCTGGGGTTCATCTAGGGCCCAGGTGAGGGTGGTTTTATCGTTCCATCAGTCTCACCCCCCACCCCCCAACCTCAGCCTTCCTGCCTGGACACCAAGGGCTCCCCCGTGCAGACTGTGTGTTCAGGGAGCCCACTGCGTGCGCTGTGAGAAGGAGCCACAGCTGCCAAGTGCCCCGTGCACTGGACCAGGTCCAGGGAGAGGGCTGCGGAGGAACCCCAGGGCAGCAAGGGCTGGGGACCCAACAAAGGGCATGGGGTGAGCCAGATCACAAATGACTTTTTCTAGGTGTTTAAATAAAAAAAAATGAATGGCACCAAGAAACATTATCTGTGAGACTTAGGTTCAGAGAGAGAAAATATTTATATGAAACAGGTAATTTTAGGGAATGGACAGAGAAAAATCGCTTTGAGAACACAGATTTATATGTTAATTAACATGAGAATTTTATAGAATATCCACTGCATTTATATTTATATGTGTGTGTGTGTGTGTGTACACCCATACACCCCTCACTCTCCCCCATCGCATGAGGGTTCACGCGAGACTGAAGCTTCCTTTACCAAAAAATATCCCAAAACAAAAGAGCTCAGAAGAATTTGGAGGGCACTGAGAGGAAGAAGTAAGAAAAAGAAGTAAGCGATTGTACTTTTTATGGGGTGGGGGAGGAGGGAGACAGACAGAGAAAGAAAGAAAGAAAGGAGAGGAGGAGGGAGAGAGAAGCAACCATCATCGCCCACGGCCCTCCAGTGGCGTGCCCAGGACAGCCTGTTTCGGCATCAGAGAAAGATTGACTGGCAGCCAAAATGTTGAAAAGATTGTAGCCCACTCTCGTTCCTCTTGGTCTCTTGTGTTTGGCTGCTTTTCCTGTAAGTAGCCAGCCACTGTGCTAGCATCATGTCCCCAAAACATGGCATCCAAAGGAAGAAACACAGTGTTCTCTGGACATTTACTCGGGGACATCCAGAGTAATCACTGGAGGTTTGAAGGGAGGCGTGCAGAATAGCAATTGTGTGAGTCTTTCTGCCAAGTGTTGGGAAGCCCCTGCTGGCCCGAGTAGGAGTAATCCTTTTCTGAGACACGGAAGCCTGGGGTCAGGGTGCGGAAGCTCTAGTCCTCATAGATGACCGCTGCTGGGCACAGCTGATGCCACGGGGCCACCCACAACAAGCCAACGCTCTCCCGGCCTGCCCTTCAGCTGCCCCTGCACTGGGCATTGGGGGAGGTGGGGTCCCTGCTTCCTGGGCGCTGACTCAGAGCTTTGGATCATGGCCTGTCCTGGACCCCAGGCAGTACTGATGTCTTTTCACTTTGGAGTCCAAGGGAGTTGGTGAGTAAAGAATTACAGGCTCAAATTTTATGGCACCAGCAACACCTTTTAGAAATAAGTTTCACAGCCGTGAGTGAAGTACGAGGCTCAAACCTTTGCGAATTCCACTCCCATTCACGTTAGTCAAGCCCACCTCCTCTGGGGCCAGCAACATTCTCGTTCCACCTCCCGTCATCCCAGCCATCCTTTAGCCCAACTCTTTTGTCCACTGGCCTTGGCCACATCCTTCTATCCTTTGCCTCGACCCAGCTGGGCCTAGCTCAGAGGTCAGCTGTGGGCTCTGTCCTTCATGGAGCTGGCCAAACCTGATGGAAACCCTAAGCCGATGGCTTTAACCCCAGAGCCATGCAGACGGTTGCCGACAGTGTTATCACTGGCCTTCCTCCGCCTCTGCCAGGTCGGGAGAGAATCACTGCACCGCCTATTCCTTCCAGTTTCTGCTCAGGCATTTTGTTTGCTGAGTGTCTCTAGGGAAAGCACACAGAGTGGGTGGCAGAGGCCCTGGCTGTCCAGGAGGGGCTGTCCCACCCACCTGCTGACCTCTTCATCCCTGGGAGTGCAGAACACAGGGACCTGGGCTCAGGATGGGCACCTCTAGCCAAAAGGCCTCTGAAAAGCCCAGTAGCCTCCTGAGCATCAAGTTCCCTTTGTTGAGGTGGGAAGCCCAGCGCTGCAGGGCTGTCCTGAAGATTAAATGAGTTAGTGCAGGAAGAGGGCTTGGAGCTCCCTCCACAACAAACCAGCCTTCCATCCTTCTGTCACCCTCCCTCTGGTTCCAGGAGCTCCAAACTCTCACATCCTGGTCTCACTTTCCATCCTAAGCCCTCTTCCTACAAATCAATTCCCTTCTTGAGATGCATTTGGCTAGTATGATTTTTCTACCTTTCTGTAAAGTTAAGTAAGTTTTCATACCATTGATAACATGTCAGAGTCCTTCTCCTTGGAGGGGAAGGACTCCCTTTTGAACGCCTTTGCAGAGTTATTTTAATAGAACAAAAACATTCGGGTGGCTAAGGAGAAAACAGAGGTAGAGGCTGTTGTCCCCTTGCCCCCTCCAACACCCGCCCCCACCCCCACCCCGTCATCCCACCAATACCCACTTCTCCATTCTTCCCCTTTCTTTGTTAACAGAATGCCAGTTTGTCCAGATCTGGGCGGCAGTCTCTAGATCTCAGGCACAGTTAATGCTGATCTCAGTCTCAGGTTTTAAGTCCTGATTGATCTAACCCTTTGCTGGTAGTTCATCTCTAGGCTAGTAATTGGTCTAGGGGCAGCTAGCAGTCCTAATCTGGCAATGAGATGTAAATGGAAGTCGGTAGCCTGGTTACCAGGGATGACTTTGTTTTCTGGATTAAAAAGGATAGGTTTGAGGCCAGGCATGGTGGCTCATGCCTGTAATCTCAGCACTTTGGGATGCTGAGGTGGGCGGATCACCTGAAGTCAGGAGTTTGAGACCAGCCTGGCCAACATGCCGAAACCCTGTCTCTACTAAAAATACAAAAATTAGCCAGGCATGGTGGTGTGTACCTGTCATCCCAGCTGCTTGGGAGGCAGCTGAGGCGGGAGAATTGCTTGAACCTGGGAGGTGGAGGTTGCAGTGAGCTGAGATCATGCCACTGCACTCCAGCCTGGACAGAGCCAGACTCCATCTCACACACACACATATGAAAGATACACTTAGATGCCCTGCCCTGTTTTCCTTTTGCTCTTCCCTGTAGTTTTGCTTTTTTTTTTTCAACTGGAGCATGGATGCGACGCTAGACGTGCAACAGCCTGCTGTAGGCAGGAGGCAGCAAGCATGAAGATGAAAGGTAACTTGCTGAGGATGCCAGAGCAGAAAACTGGGAGACCCCTATTTTCCTGGACAATATGAGTGAGGAGCCATGGCAGTCTTGGACTGTCCACCTCCAAACTTTTTGTATGTGAGAAAAATAAACCCCAATGTGTTTCAGCTGCTGAGACTCAGCGATCTGTTACTTGTAGCCTAAAGCATTCCTAACTGATAGCATGTATAACTTGAAGTTAAAAAAATACTTACAGCTAACAATCATGAGGGCATTACTTAGCTCTCTGCAACCTAGGGTAGTCCTGCAGAGCTCAACTGCATTTTCGTCTAGTATAACAAACCCTGAGTCTAAACGCTGGTCAACGAATGCCAGTATCTCCAGTGGAGACAGATGCAGATCGCAGCCTGAGGACCAAGGATCATCATTTCCAAGAGATGCAGATCTGTGCTCTGAAGAATATGCTTTTATGAAACTGATGTTAACACTTAGGTGCGTCTGTTATTAACAATTCTCTAACACCATCAGAGATAGCCGTGTCTGGTAGGAAACCCAACAGCCTGGGAGCTAAATTTGCTCTTAGTTATTTAATAGCAAAAACCACGATTATTTTTGCATCAACCTAATACTCAGTACCGTCTTCAGTTTGCATCCAGTCTATTGGTCTTATAATCTGAGCACTGCTTCCAGTCTTCTCTCTTCCAGCAAAATCAGATCAGTATCTGGAAGTAAATAATTCATAGGAAGTCCCTACACAATCTCTCTGCCTTGATCTGTCCTACTGGTTCTATTTTCCTCTCCTTTGATGCATTTCTTGTTACAGGGAATGAAAAGCAAACACAAATCACTTTTTTTTCTGGGTCATTACCGCAGAGAACCATTGTACACTGAGATCCCCTATATCTTGGAAACAGATATTTTAATACAACTTGTTTTTATAAGTAGTCCCTTCTTTGTGGAGTGGTTTCAATTACAATAAAAAGGGAAACTGTCAGAAACTGTAATTCATTATCTTAGATTGGGACACAAATGCCAGCATTTCAAATTTATTTGTTTCAGCATTTTTCCTTGAATAACAACTTTCAGTACCTGAAGGCTTCCTAACATTCTACAAAAGGTCATGGAAAGAAGTAAAGTGTTGTGAATTCATAAAATATGCACATTTTTATATATGTATGAGGAAGACATAAGTCCTTTATGACTTCTTTTGCTTTTATTTTCCTCTATTGATTTTTAGTTAGAGATGACTTTAGGTACATACAAATATGAAATTTATTTATCTTAATTCAAGTAAAATGTATTTCCACATATGTGATTAGCGAGGTTTAATAATTTAAATAAGATAATTGTGGTGGAAACTCTCTATAGTATTAATCATTACATGAAATTCTATTATTTGTTTTGTCGTTGATTTTGGTTCTCCTAGGAAAAAGGATTTTGACTTTCATTTTCACTGCTGGGTGCTCAGCACTGAGTAGAATGCCTGGGACTGAGTAAGCACTCAATAAATATTTGTATGTATTAATTACTGTATGATCCATGTGGCTTCTCTAGCGTTGCATTTAATTCCATATTCTCTATTTTTTAAAAAGTGTTTGGCTTTTGCCTGAACTGTAACATTTCACAAAATTTCATAATTCCTAGATTCCAACAGGATTCGTTTATAAAAGATGTCTGTTCTTTGGGTATTGTCAGGATGAAAGCACAAGATTACTTATTTTGCTGTTGACCCTGGTGACTGTGAACTGTGGCCTCCCTGGGCTGGTTCCATTCGCTTGTTCACTTGCCCATGCTAACTACAGCTGCCCGTGTGTTTATTTTGGTCATGTATTTCAAAGGACCATTTCTACCCCAAAGTAAACAAACATAATGGAACAGCTGTGACTGATAAAAACTCCCAGGCATAATCATCACCCGCTTGTACATATCCTGTGGTTTCAGATTTAATTTTAAAAATTTTCCCTTAACTCTTGATTCACGATTGGGACTGTGGAGTCCATGGAAAATGACTGCAAAACTGTTCTGTCCCCTGAGGAGGCACAGATGAAGAAGAACAATGGAAGTTGTCCTCCTTCCTGCCCGGGCAATGGGGATGCTGGCTGTGGGCTGTGGGCTGCAGGGCCGTGCCCCCCTGGTGCGAAGGTTGCTGGACCAG
Source organism: Homo sapiens (assembly GCF_000001405.40). NCBI lineage: Eukaryota > Metazoa > Chordata > Mammalia > Primates > Hominidae > Homo > Homo sapiens. The sequence continues at coordinate 239,430,049 of NC_000002.12, forward strand.
TGAGTGGGTGGATGAGGCAGGCTGTAATGTCCCCAGGTTGCAAGTCTCACATGGAGAATAGGCCGTGGGTTGATGCTGGGGCCAGGCATAAGTCTGGACAAGGACCCTCGTGAGAGATACCCCCACATAGCTAGGGCAAGCTCTGAGACCACTAGGGTCCACAAGTCTCAGGGGGGACCGCGGTGGCTCTTGGCTGGACAGAGCCTAGAAACTGTCCCCCAACAGCCTGGCACTGGACAAGGACCACATCCCTTTGTCATCCTGTCCACACAGCAAGTGCAGCCATCAGCCTCATAAGTTCTAAGAGATCTCTATCATGATGAAAGCTGTGAGATCCCAAGCGTTTTATTTGTTTTATGAATGCTAGATTACACCTTATTTATATGTGAAAAAAATACTCCTTTCCGAAATCATTCATGAGCTTTGGAGTTCCTTATGAGCCACAAACCACGGATGCTTTTGATAGAGCTAACCATTGTGGTGGATCAACAATGCATTTAAACTTGAGACAGTCCTCAAAACATCCAACGTATGATCCATATGTTACCATACGGTAACATGCAATCCCATATGAACCATCAGTCCCACTTCGTTACCATACGGTAACATGCAATCCCATATGAACCATCAGTCCCACTTCGTTACCATACGGTAACATGCAATCCCATATGAACCATCAGTCCCACTTCGTTACCATACGGTAACATGCAATCCCATATGAACCATCAGTCTCACTTCGTTACCATACGGTAACATGCAATCCCATAGGAATCATCAGTCCCACTTCGTTACCATACGGTAACATGCAATCCCATGTTCACAGAACATGATTCAGAAAAGCCCACCTTTCCAGTGGTGGGAACAACCCAAATGGCAATCAACAACTGAGGGTATAAACAAAATGGTGGTCTGTTGATACATGGAATATTATTTAGCCTTTAGAAGGCAGGAAATTCTGATACATGCTACAATATGGGTGAACCCTGAAAACCTCATACTAAGTGAAATAAGCCAGCCATAAAAGGAAAAATATTCCACTTATATGAGGTTCCTAGCGTAGTCAAATGCATAGAGACCAAAAGTAGAATGGTAGGTACCAGAGGCTGGAGAAGGAAGAATGAATGGGAAGTTAGTGTTGAATGGGGAACGATGAAGTTTGGGAGTTTGGGATGATGAAAAAGTTCTGGAAATTGACAGTAGTGATAGTTGCACAGCAATGTGAGTGTACTTAATGCCACTGAAGTGCACACTTAACATAGCTACAGTGGTAATTTTGTATGTATATTTTCCCACCAACAAACAGAAAACAAAAAACCCAAAAAAGCTGAAACAGAATAAGTATTTGCAAAAGAAATTACAGAAAATTCTTCTGAGGATGAATAAAGGTGATCATTAATCAAGTCTCTGTCTCATGAGGCTGCATAGCTTACACTCCTTTGAACAGTGGATACATGTGCATGTAATCCCTTCATCGGCTGGGAGCTTCCTGCCCCTTGCTTTATGAGAGAAGCTTTCTCAAAGGATCCCACTTTCCTACCTCCAGTTCCATGCTCTGTTAACATCCCAAGTCCTCTACAGGATTTTTGGGCAGGCCTGTGGACTTGAGTCATGGGGTCCCCTGCAGCTCCTGTCTGTGACTCAGCCTGTGGTGTCTTGTCCACTCCCACACCCACCTGGGAACAGAACTTGGCACTTTCACCGATTTCCTTGGGACATAGAATCAGGACCCACACAGGGCTCAAGACAAGACACTCCCACACCCACGTGGGATTCGACCCTGGTGGATTCTACCCTTCTTCACTTATGACAGCTTTGCCATGTATCCTGAGAGCTGGCTGGCAAGCGCGTCCCACTGCTCTTTTTCCAGAACATCCTAATGATTCATGAGCTTTCCACTTAATTGTGAATTTGAGGAACAGTTTGTCGGTGTCCATGTGAAATCTTGTTGGGATTTTGGTTAGAATTTCACTGAATTTATAGATTAATTTAGGGTACAGTTGATGTCTGTGGAGTCTTCTCATCAATAATGTGGTATTTTTTCTCTATTACCTTGAGTCTGATTTTTAAAGATCCTTCACCATAGTCTTAGCGTTCAGACAGGCAGAGCACACTTCCTGACTTCCTGTTGCATTTGTTCTTAGGTGTTTTTTGTAGTTTTTGCTGATATTATGAAGGAGGGCTCTTTTTCTGTTCCATTTTCTAGTTGGTTATTGGTGCTGTAGAGGAAAGCCACTGAAGGCAGTATATGTGGATCTGAAGTCTTAGTCCCTCAGGGCTGCTACAACAAAAACACCATCAGCTGGGCAGCTTGTGAACAACAGACATTTATTTCTCACAGTCTGGAGGCTGGAAAGTCCAAGGCCAAGGTGTCAACAGATTCAGTGCCTGGTGAGGGCTGACTTCCTGGCTCACTGTGTCTTCACATGGTGGAATAAGCAAGGGGGCTCTGGGATCCCTTTTATAAGGGAGCTAATCCCAATCACAAGAGCTCTGACCCCATGACCTAATAACCGCCAAAAGTTCCACCTCCAAATACCAACACCTTGGGGATTAGGCTTCAATACATGAATTTTGGAGGGACACAAACATTTGGTCTATGGAGATCTGCTATCCTGTCTCCTTGATGCATTCTTTTTTCTTTTTCTTTTCTTTTTTTTTTTTTTTTTGAGACAGACTCGCTCTGTCACCAGGCTGGAGTGCGGTGGCACAATCTTGGCTCACTGCAACCTCCGCCTCCCAGGTTCAAGTGATTCTCCTGCCTCAGCCTCAGCCTCCCGAGCAGCTGGGACTACAGGCGACTGCCCCACCATACCAGGCTAGTGTTTTGTATTTTTAGTAGAGATGGGGTTTCACCATGTTGGCCAGGATGGTCTTGATCTTCTGACCTCATGATCCACCTGCCTCAGCCTCCCAAAGTGCTGGGATTACAGACATGAGCCACTGTGTCCGGCCAATGCATTCTTATTCATTCTAAATGTTTACTAGTTGGCCAAGGCCCCCATGCTACACAACTCCAGGGAGCACTGCACACATGCATTCTGTATAAATGGCAGCTGTGAGGGGTGAGTGTCTAGGCAGCACTGCTTGAATCTCTTAGGTTTTCTATGTAGCTAATTATGTATCTGCAAAGAATGTCTCTTTTCCTTCTGTTTGAATTTTATTCCTTGTATTCTTTTTTCTTACCATTGTATTGGCTGAAACTTCTGGTAAAAGTGCTGCAGGATAGAATAATGAGCACATTTGATTTTTTTTTCTGACTTTAATGAAAATGCTTGTGCTACTTCACCATTCAGAGTGATCATTGCTATAGATTTCTTTTTTATCAAGTAAATGCTCTTTATTATGTACTTTTTGATTCTTAGTTTCCAATGACTTTTGTTTTCAATCATGCACATGCATTTTTAATTCATCAAAGCCCTTTTATTTGGCAAATATTGAGATTCTTTGCTCCATAAACCTATTATTGGAGAGAATTACACTGATATATTTTTGAAGTACTGACTCACCTCTGGATTACTGGGATAAAGGCTCCTTGGACACGATGTATTTTTAACTGTTTTCCTATGAAATATAAAGAGAAAATGCGTAAAACATATATGTACAGTTTAATGAATTACTCTGCATTGAACACCAGAGTCACCACTATTCAAGACAAGAGACAGAACCTCTCTCTGAATGCCCCTTCCCAGTCACAGCACCTTCTCACCCCTTCAGCCAGTCACAATCTCAACTTTTATTGTAGCTACTTTCTCATTTTCTTTATACTTTTTAGCCTAAATATGCATCTCCAAACACTATAATTTTATTTTGCCATTTTGACCTTTATATAAATGGAAACAATCATACAGTTTGTTTTGCTTGTCTGGCTTCTTTCCTGGCCTTTCTACTCTCTAGGTACCTGTACTGGTTTATTTTGTCTGTTGTTTGTATTGGTTCTCATTCATGTGGTCTTGTTTACTTATCTGTCTGGTTGTCTTTACTTGTGTAGTGAAGAGGGTATTGTTGTTGGTTTTATTTATTTTTCAGGAAAAAATGAGAACAGTTGTATATTTTCTTCTTTCAGAGGAGTTTCATTTATGCGTGAGTCACCTATGAGTTCACTACGAGTCATTGGCAATCTAGGATCACTTTAATCTAATTTCAGGGTTTGAGAGATTATCTGCATCATTCTGCTGATTCAGAGCTGGACCATAAGAACTGGCTTCCTCCGGTTCACCCTAACTTCTAGGAAGTGGTGTGCTGTAGCCATGAGAACCGACTGTGCACTCTTTTCTCAGCTCTGTGTCCAGCAATGTCATACTGGCAGCATGAAATTGGCCTTGGTAGGAGTATTTACACCATGGCAGTTAGCAGATGTTGCAAACAAGGGCTTTGTATCTTGGAGAGCCAGTTGTTAAGAATTTATTACTACATGACTGCTACGAGGGGTCAGCTCTTTGAGGTTTCTACCTAAAATGGGGGGTTGTTTTCTAGGCTTCCTGCCCTGGGCAGGCCTCAGACTTCAGATTTTTCCCTGAAGCCTGGCAAGGCTGAAACATACAACCCAGCCTCTCAGCCCCCTCTTCCACATCAGCAAAAGACCATCTTGGCTGAAGCAATCTTAAAAACTGGTATCACTTGGTTCGTTTCCATTTTGGCAATTATGAATAGAGCTGACATAAACTTTTGTGTACAGGTTTTTGTACAAACATACATCTTAATTTCTCCAGGATAAACACAGTGGGATTGCTGGGTCATCTGGTAAGTGTAGATTCAAATCTGTAAGGCGCTCCAGGTAGTTTTCCAGCATGGCCGCACCATTTTGCATTCCCACTAGCAGTAGATGGGAGATCCAGTAGCTCCGCATCCTTATCAGTACCTGGCGCTGTCAGGTTTATTATTTATTTACTTAGTTACTTACTGATGTATGCATATATGTACTTATTTTATGTTTTATTTTAGCAATTCTAATAGATGTGTAGTGGTGTATCACAATGGTTTCAACTGGCATTTCCCTAATGCCTAGTGACGCTGAGGATCTTTTTGTGGGCTTCTTTTCCATGGATATATCCTCTTTGGTGAAGTGTCTGTTTAGGTCATTTGCTCATTCTTAAATTAGATTATTGGCCTGGCATGGTGGTTCGTGCCTGTAATCCCAGCACTTTGGGAGGCCGAGTGGGGGTGGACCACTTGAGATCAGGAGTTTGAGACCAGCCTGGCCAACATGGTGAAACCCCGTCTCTATTAAAAAATACAACAATAAAAAATTAGCCTGGCGTGGTGGCACACACCTGTGATCCCAGCTAATCGGGAGACTGAGGCAGAGGAATCACTTGAACCTGGGAGGCAGAAGTTGCAGTGAGCTGAGATTGTGCCACTGCGCTCCAGCTTGGGTGACAGAACAAGACTCTGTCTCAAAAATAAATAAATAAATAAATAAATGGGATTATTTGTTCTCTCACTGTTGGGTTTTGAGTGTTTTTTATATATTCTGGACATAAATCGTTTGTTGGATATGTGATTTGCAAATATTTGTTTTCTCATGCTTATATTTTATTTAATTTCTTTTTGTTTCTTCCATTGGCTTAGACAAGTAGATAAATGGAACCGAAAAGAGAACTCAGAAGAAAAAACCCATGCATGCAGCAATTTCTCTGCAGGTACCTCGGAAAGAACTGAATGGTTTCCCATGACACCCATCATTATGAGTATCTTTGGGAAGTTGAGGTTGACTAGGGGCAATGGCCAAGGTGACTGTAGTTTTTTTCTGTAATGCTTGACATTTTTACTAAGAGAAAGTTTTTGATGTATTTATGAAGAAGCATATTAATGTGTGAATACAATCTACCATCTACTATCACCAATATGTCCCTAAATGAAAGACCTTTAAAGTCAGTAAAGCAAAAGAGATATTTTAAAAGGAACATTTAAAAAATTATAATTAATATATTTAACTTTATGAGAAGTCTCTTGCGCGCACACACACACACGCACATCCCCAAAGAGCACGTGACTAAAAACGGTTCAGCTGCAAATAATAATATGTTAGATTAACACCAGTCTCAGCAGACGGAGTGAGTCAGACATGCTTCACACACCTCTCTGAGTCCCTTTGGCATGGCGGTCCATGGCCCCTCAGACTTTTGTTCTGTCATCAGGACCCACTACTCACTTGCCCTGGGAGAGCCAGGCACCCCCTCCGATTGTTGCTGTGCATTCAAAGTGACCAGCTGTGCAGCTGGAGTTCCTGACTTCCCTTACCCCTCCCACCACCTCGCAGGGCATGTGATCAGGCATCCTAAACAACTGCCCAGGAGGTCTGAGATGACACCTGGAGGCCAGCGAGTTCACACCTTGTGGGGCAAATCTCTGACTAATCAGAAACAAGAGATGAGAGGGAGTTGTGAAGGTAACTGCCTTTCCCTCCTTCTTGTTGACAGACTGTTTTAAGACGTTGATCTCTACAGCCTGGCCAGAGGCATCCCATATGTCCAGCTGGCACATCTGCCAAACACCCTCAGTGTCCATTTGTGAGACAGTGGGTGCTGTGGCAATATGTCACCCTGCCTTCCTTCTCATCCTAACGTGACCCTTTGTCAGGGTTCTTTACTCTGGCAAACTGAGCACCAGCACTTAATCTTTGTCTCAGGCTCAGCTCAAGATATGAAATAGTACTTATTTTCCTCATTTAGCAAGAAATGTGGAGGTGAACAGACTAGGGATAGTGAAGTGTCTTTAGGGACCCACCCTCTTTCTACCTTCCTGTTTCGCCATTCCTCATATGTGGCTTTTGTCCTCACCATCACAATAGGGCTGCCGTAACTCCAGACCTTTCATTCATATTCCAGGAAGGAAGAAAAGGGAATGAAAAGGGGATAAATAGCTGTGTTCTAGTAAGGTTTTATCTTTTTATTCAGGACAGCAGGCACTGTTCAGGTGTCACATAGCAACTACTACCTTCAGGAGTAGTTCAGAAATTTTCTAATTAATTCCTACTTTTTATAGTAGGGGCAGATTAGTAAGAAGGAGGTTTAGAATGGGAGTTGAGTGCCAACCTATATGATTTGTTGAAAGTGGGAATGGAAACCAAGGACAGGAACTTACTTTGCACAACTCACATCACATGATATATTTCACTGGCTCTGTCTTCCTGCTCTCAACCTAGGAGAAAACAAATTCTTCTTTTTGCTTCCTGCAGGACAAGTTTTCTCTCTTTCTTCAAAACTAAAAATTGGGATTCCATAGTAGAAATTTTAAAAATCATTTATTTTTAAAAACAATGTTAGGTAAACATTTAAAAAGTGAGAGATTTCACATAAGCACCTAGATTTCCTTGAAAAATTTGGAAGAACTGGCCAAGTTCCTCTCAAAATTGACTAGTGCTGAAGAGTAACGCCCCGCTATAAGATGGTGCAGGTCAGCATCCACATCTCTCTATGGCCTTCACCAGCCTGGGGCTGTCCCAGGCCTTACCTACCCGCTGGCTTCTGGGGGGTTCTGCGCTACCACAGGATCCTGGATGCAGCTGAGCCCTCTTCTGTAATGACTTACCTTCTGCAAGAAAGTTTGCAATTAAAGAGGATTCTGCCCTAAAACAGCTCTGATTCTAGCTGCTAAGAAAATTGTGTTTCCTCTTTCCTTGTTACACATGCTTAAAGCCTGGCCCCGTAACCCCTTAAAGTGATTTTAAAGAATCTGATACAATAAAAAACCTCCTAGAATTAGCTCTTGAAGAAGAAGGTCATAGTATATAAAGGAAGCCATGACTTCACCATCGGGACCAGGTCATTCCTTTTTAAAAACTCAACATATTTATTCACAGGCATTAAAGATTCACAATTGATCACCTGTGTTCATGTGTGTAAGATATCACTCATTGTTTTTCTTATTTTTTTTTTCCTATTTACTTTCATTTATTTCAAATGGGTACACCTCGCAGAGGGAGCACATGGATAGACTTTGTAATATTGATGAACCCATGAAGTTGACAAAAGAGGATTTTGGCAGGTACGATTATAATCAAAGAAAGTGTTGTTTCATGGCCTTTTATTTTTGTCTTGCATTTATTTAGAAAGATCCAGAATTGTATATGAAAACACAATATTTTCAGCTTTCCTCCATTTCCCTTTTTTTTGGCTTTTGAAATATTATAAAGAATACATCTCTTATTGTATAGTGAGAGGTAAGATGGTATTTTACAACGTATTTGACATATCAATGTCTGACAAATGCCTGATGAAAATTATTTATAAACTGCACTGAGGTGTTTTTCTTGGTTTTAAAGTTTGTAGTCAATTTTACTATATGCTATTTGGAAAATAAAAATATATTTTACATAAAATATATTTATGTATAAAAAGTTTTAAGTAAAACATATTTTACATAAATCAACACCAACATAAGAACAGAATATAGAATATTATGATGTGGTGTCTGATTAGGTTTATGTGACTAAGCATTATGGGAAAAACTATCCTGGTTATAGTGAACGTCCTCTTTCTGTATGACAAAGGCTATTCTTTCCGAAGAATCCTGAATATGAAGAACCAGTGGAAGCATTCCTGTATCATATCACATCATGATGTCATACAAAGATGCAATAAAAACTCCAATAATTATATTTCAACCTACCTAAGTACGGTGTTCTTGGACTCTCCAAATATACATAGGTATTTAAATTTTCTTTTCTTGTGGGATGACAAAGAATGTTACATATTGAACCAGCAATAATTGTAAATGATGTTTCGATCTGAGATGCAGCAGGGGTTTGTGACTTTAGAAATTAATGAAGTTATGTAAGAAGGTGAATTTTAGAAGGTAATTAGTCATGAGATAGGGCCACATTTATCTCTAAGTGTGTTCTATGACCCAACTTTAATAGAGGGGTCTAAGACACCAACAAAGTCCCGCGTCTGAACATGTCAGGCTTTCCCCGCCTGGGACCTGGCTTTGGCTATCCAGATACCGGGGGTGCTGGTAGTCTTACGGTTTCTCATTCATAAAAATTTCATAAGTGAGAGTAGCTTTGGGCAGATTGAGAGCAGGCAGAGACACTATATCAGCTACTCATTTCATTCTGAATAATTTCCCCAGCAAGTTTCCGGTGTTTCTGTAAATGTGGAACTAACTGGCTTAATTCAACATTTTCTGGGGAATTGAGTGTCGAGAGTCAGAAGTTCTGTGATATGTTCACATAGTGTTCTGTGTTTCATTTCCTTAGGGATCTTCTTTAATGACTATGTTTTTTAAAAAGGGAGAAAAAGCCAAGTGAAAAGGAACAGGCGAAAGAAAGGAAAAATCCTCTCGCCGAAATCACAGGCAATCTTGGAGTCATTTTAGTGAAGACGCATTTCTGAAGCTTTTAATCTGCAGCTGCACGAGGCGAGATGCTGAGCCACCGCAATCCAAACCCTTCAGAAGATGAAGCTGTGTGTGCACAAAATCGCCTCCTTATTGCATTGCTCTCTCGGAGGCTGGATGTGTGGAGAATTCTAGGGAGGTTGGCGTGGGCGTGGACTTCGGGTGCTGTGTCGTGGGGAGGCCTGAGGGCGTGTCCGCCTGTCTGCCATACACTCCCAGAGCTGCTCACCAGGCAGCTAGATTGAGGGTGAGGTTAGAGTGGCACATGGCTCTGTACCCCATTGGGTACCTCCAGCAGGCCGGGCACTGCAGCCCCTTGGCCTCCGGCACTCTGCGAGGGAACATGCTGGCATGAGTTTGCTGGTCCCGATGGGGAAGAGTCAGGGATCCCTGAGAGAGCCTGTCAGGAGGAGAGAAGGGACGCCGGGGTGAAAGGGAGGAAGGAGGTGGCAGAAGAGGCCTCGAGGATGACGTGGGGCTGTAGATGCAGGAGGCAGCTGGAGCCTGTGGCACTGGGGCATGGCGGGCCTCAAGGATTTCACTGCCACCCTTGCCGAGGAGGGTACCCTGAGGTAGGTGCACCCCTCTGTGCAGTCAGGGATGTAGGGGAGAGGCTCAGGGAAGTCTGGGGACCTCCCAAGCCACAGATCTGGGCCCTGTTTCCTCTTTGTATAGTCCCAGAGCAGGACTCAGGGGTGCTCAGAGAGCTCTCGCCCCTAAAACTCCACCACGGCCCCTCCCTCCACCCCAAGGCTAAAGCCCCGGCCAGACCCCCTGGCCAAGTGCCTGAGTTCTCCATGGCCCTTGGCTGTTCGAGGCAGGCAAGAGCCCATCCTGCCTGAACCCCAGTTCCCAGCTCCCAGCTCAGGGTGGGGAGAAATCAGGGTTCCCCCAGTGCCATCTAATCAGTGGTGATGCACCAGCTGCCCTCGCTGGGGCCAGATCCCTGGCTTCTTCCTGCATGATCCCTAGGCTTCCTCCCAAGGAGCTGGTGGTCAGAATTCCTCAGCAGGTGAACAGAAAGCCAGGAAAACATCTTCCCAGGGACCTTGCCCAGCCCCAGGTGCAGCTGTTGTTCTGGAAAATTACTGCACTGCATTTCAGAAGCATCTCTAATCCCCAAATCTGTCATCGCCTTGCCCACCCTGGCCCAGCTTTTGTAAAAGGGCAAAGAGAAGAGCAGGTGAGAATCAATTCACAGAATCGCAGCCGTTCTGCCCCCTTCAGCTTCCAGCTCGGGCTCGCCTGGGAGCTGAGCCGCACCGGCTCTCTCTTTTGTCTGAAACAAGCAGCAGGATTGTTTTGCTCAGTGTTGTCAGAGTTGTTTTTAAACAGCCGCCCATCGTGCTGCAGGGAGGGAGGGCGAGACACATGTGGATCAACAATGAGATGGGTCTTGGCCTCGGGACGGGATGCCCGGGTCGGGGAGTGCAGCTTTGATCTGGCAGGCCGGCCTGAAGAACAAAGCCGGTCTCCTGGTCCCTCCTCGGCTGTGCCCAGCTGCACTCACTCTGAAGCTGAATCTTGGCAGTTGTGATTCTTCTGCTGGCAAAACGGAGATGGCAGGCCCCCTGGGTCTGGGCTGTTGAATGCCACGCGGGCAGGGGGCCTCTCCTTCCCCCACTGGCACGGGCTGTTGGAAACCCGTCAGTTCGGACTCTGAGCTGTGCCCCCCAACAGACAACATAATAGGACCCAAATCAGATACTCGTGAGCCAGGCAGTGACTTGGGCTCGCTTTGATTGGTGTGTGAGGCACAAATAAACAGAAAATGTCTATAAACTTCTTTTAGTTGGAATCAGAAGTGGGCTTTACTTGGATTACTCCTCCCCAGGGAGGGGCATGACAACCTATTTTTAAAGGCTCAAGTGGAAAAGTCCTTTTGCAGCTGTGAAAACACCCTCAGGGGTCAGCCCCCCCACCTCCCTGCCCCCCAAGGCTCTGTTAACCGCAATGGGGATGTGGTCTCCTTGATACGGGTTCGTGCCACGGTTCTAGGGCAGCAGGGAGGGAGGGAGGCCGGTGTTTACTGCTCTTCCTTGGGAGAGACCGAGGTGGAAACATGACGGAGAAGCGTAAAACCTGGAGAGATTTCTACGTCCTCCAGTGGGTCATTGAATGTTCTCAGGCTTCAGTGACAGCCCTTCCCTTTCATTTTTCTAAACGCGAGTGCATTCGTAGCGGCACTGAGAAGCTGAGATGTCTGATGCTGACTCCTGCTCGCAGGAAGAGATGGCTCTTTTGTTTCATACATTTGCAGCACGGCCCTCGTAAGAGCGGGCCTTTACTGGAAAACTGGACACATGTCATCTGGGGCTGTGAACACATATCCATAGTAAGTTGAAATCCAAAGGAGACCTTGGATCGTTGCATTTTGGTTCAGAACATCTGGAAGGCTCCACTGCTAAATTTTCTAAACTATAAACTGCCATGACATGGAGCCTCATCATAGCCTCAGCCAGTTCCCCAGGATTACACTCTGGGAGGGCAGAGTGTAATTTGCAGAGCATCTCCACATGCATCTTTTCTCTCAGTCCCCTGGGTGCTGGGGGAGGGATTTGTTGTGGCCGGCATGATCCTATTTTACACAGGAAGAAACAGACACCCAGAGGGTTTTTGGAAATGCCCAAGAACCCTCATTTCTGCAAGTCAAATTTCACCCCAGATACAAAGAGGCACCTCATGGTGACAGGGAAAAGCATCTAAAGAGAATTTCCTTCTTGTTCCTGGGCGTGAGTGTGAAAATGGGTTCTGCTAGCTTTTGTGCACGTCTGTGGTTATTTTAATGAATAGCTGTGTAAACATTATTCTTTTTGCAATTTTCTTCAGCAAGTTGTGACTGCAGGCTCCCTCTTCCCTGATGCCCAGAGGGAGCACAGTTCGATTTAAGGACCGGGCAAATGGATGTCATCCGTGTACTCCACCCATTCCTGCCCCAAAAGGCCAACTTTCCGTTGACCATTATTTTGGATTATCTGAGTTTTGGCGCTTCTCTGGCAAGTCACTGTGTATCTCTGAGCCTCAGGCTCCCCTCTGTGCACAGGGAGAGTGCCAGGAGGGTCCTTGCCCCCAGGGCATGGGGATTAAATGAGCTACTGCACACGCAGTGCTCACCTCAGTTCCCGGCACATTTGTGTTATGAGATGGAGTGCACAGAAACAAAGGAGTAAAGATGGAGAGGCCCAGGAGACAGAAGGCAGCACAGCTGCCTGAGTGAGGCTAAACATGAGCCCCGGCAGGCAGCGTGGGCACAGAGAGAGCACGAGACAGGACGCTCCATACCCAAATCAAGGCTCCAAAGCTTTGGGTCAGAGGCATCTTGCCCTGGAGCCAGAGGTTGCTGGCAAATGTTTATCAACCAGTTGTGTGGGGTGGGGGTGGGGGACGCTTTCATCTGTAGCATCTGCCCATGTCTCTGGTGTAAATATTCCCATTGTAGCAGATGTCAAGCTACTGATATGATGCCACTGAAAGCAGAGATGGGAAGATGCATTGTCAGCTTTTGGGAACCCAAGTGAACTCCATGACAGCACTGAAAAGGCATCTGACACCAGAGCTGGGCCCAGGGTAGAGTCCACTAAGCCTTCACAGTCCTCATCTCACATGATCCCCTCAATAGCCCACACATGAGGGGCTCCTGGGCAAGGGAACAAGCGGGCTCCAGCACACCACTGCCTAGAGTGCATCATGGTTTGAATGCTGGATGTGAACAGAGAGGGAAGTGGCTTTTCTTTCACCTGCCTCCTGGGTCACAGCAGCTCCAGGCACTGGCAGATGCAATCACGGCATCATGGCGTGGAAGGTGCTATAGAAACCATTTTGTTTCATCTCTCGGTCAAAGCAGGGATCTCTTTTCAAAGAGACACTCTTGGGAGGTGGTCCCCCAGCTCTCTGCCTTCCACAGGACCCTGGCATTGCTGGGCAGTTTGATTCCTTGGAGAAGTGTCTCTGTATTGAGCTGAAGTCAGTCTCTTGTCGCTTCCACCTTCCACCACGGCTTGGTCATCGGCGGTTCCTCCTGCATCTCCTGTGTGAACACCAGCCTGTGTCTGACCCCAGCTCTCATGGGCCCAGGTTTTCTCTCTTCCCGCTCAACTTGGCCAGTCCTAGTCAAGAGCCATGGCCCCCAGTTCTTTCCTGTTGGAGCTTCAGAAGTCTCTTCAGAGCATCATCCTAAGTCAATAAGTGTCCTCAGGACTGAGAAGAAGGTGTCTTTGGGGCACTGTTAATTAACATTTCAAAATCACATTCCCAAATCTAAATGAATTCCTCTACATACACAGATAAACAACCAGGACAACTTTTACAACCCTACAAAAGTGTACTAAAAGAGTATGATTTTTTGTATTAAAAGAGAGCTCTAAGAATTTTCCATAATACAGACCAGCGGCTGCCTCCATCCTGCCCACTCACCCCTTAGCCCTTTGCCTGCTGCCATTTCACCCTTTTGGCGGCCTTGGGACCCTGCCCCTGATGTCCTCTGCCTGACTTTCTGGGCTCCGCTGTTCCAGCTTTTCATTCCCCTTTGCCCTAATTGCAGCCTTTGGCCTAGTATCACCTGCCCAGAGCTCCTTGTTGTCAGGTTCAGCTGCCTTCTTGGTCTGGAGGCCTCTTACTTGCAATTGTTCAAGGCTGTGCCCGAAAGGGAGCTCTTTCAGAAGCTGTCCTTGTTTGCTCCAACCTCCGGCAGCTCTGAGAGCCCTTCTGCACTCACAGGCTACACCACTCTGCTGACTTTCAGGCTACACCACTCCGCTGACTTTCAGGCTACAAGCTGTCCTTGCCGCTTCTCGAGTCGGGACACCCAGAGCTGGCTGAAGATGGGGGGGCAGCACCCTTCCTCTCTGTGTTGCCAAGGCCTTGGCATCTGCTCATCAGGCCTTGGAGTGTGACATGGGGCTGGGGCTTCGTGTTTTCACTCTGACAAGCACAGCCTCTGTGCTCCTAGAGCTGGAAGGACTCCATTGCCCACAGTCGAGTGCTGGCTACACGTGTGTGTCTCTCCTTCCCGACTTCTGCCTGATCTGTCAGCCCTTCCAGGAAGGCCATGGCAGTGTCATGACTCACAGGGGCAGGAAATACTTGTTCACACACCCATCACTCATCCTCTGTGGATGCCTGACCTGCTCTTCTTCCATCCTTGGAAGTCAAGGACGTGAGTTTTGGAGTCAGATGGGTTGGGTCCTAACCTGGCTCCTCCACCTACCATTTGCGTGTTTAGACCTTGTCAGCTATGAAAAAGAACACATTGAGAGAAATGTAGAGTCATGGATTAGGTGGAATGAACCACCCAGGTCAAGAAACAGAACAAAGCCAAGCCCCAGAGGCAGACTGCGATGACTCCCTAAGCGGATAAAACACAAGGGAGGGTGAGGGAATTGGAGATCTGCCACGCTTTGACAGCGAAGCTGGGTTCCAGCCAGGCCAGTCCACGGGGCGCTGCTTCATTCTGTCAAATGGGCACTGACCATCCATCACATGGAGCTGGTGGCAATCACTACCCACTTCATCCTTGGGTGAATCACTTAAAGCAAAAGAAATACAGAACCCCGGAATCTTCCATAGTACTATACCAGGTGGACCCCTTTGGCTAAAGTAGCAGACAGATACATTTTAGATTCTACTCTCTAGATCACAAGCCTCCTAGTTTCTTGTTTCGGGAGCCCTCGATTTCCATGCCTTTGAAGGATGCTGGCGTTTCATAACAGTCAGACTTCTCGCTTTGTGAAATCCCGTCCTAATCTCCAGGTCAATAAAGTGACTCATCTTTGGGCTTAACGATCCTTTTGTTTAGGGAGAAAATAGTTTCTACTGAGTGATAATCTATTTATAAAACGTTGCATCTGATTAGCCACTATTTTATCTTCCAACAATGCTTAGGCTTTCGTGTTTTAAGGAGGAAAATTTAGTGGGGGTGTGGAAGGGGAAGGATACATTTTTCTTGGCCAACCTCAAAGGTGTCTGCTGGGATTGGTTCATTTTCCGGAATGCCTAATGCTTGGGATTGTGAAACATGCCCTGCCTCCCAGCAAGCAGGTACCTCACTTGGCCTATTGTGTACGACAAACATCTTCTGCCCTCTTGCCAACCCGAGCATGTCGCAATGAGCTGGGCTGCTGTTGATCCCTTCCAGCCGAAAGCATTCTGCACCAGAGAAGCTTGGTATTTGCATAGCAATTAGTTTGTATTCCTACAAAAATTTTCATGGATTCAAATTCTTCATAGAAAGAATGAACCAGAGAGTAAACTGAACCACAGATTAAAGGGCTCATGTCAGGCAATTCTTTGAACAGTTTTTTTTATGGTTTTGAACCATCATTATTTGTAATATTCTCTGAAAAGCCAGCAAATAATTGTTTTCCCCCTACTGATTTTGTTCTTCTCCTCTTAGCAAATATTGATTCTTTCCCCCCCTTCAAACTTGGTGCTGAATGGAACTGAAATTAACAGGGCTGCTTTTGTTTAATACAATGAACAAAAACTTGTGTTTGGAAGGTTCTAGTCCTGCCAAAACATCTGTGCAAGGCCCAGATGGCAGCGGGCTCTGGAAATAGGGCCTGGGAGTTACATGCTTCTGCCGAGTCAGCAGAGGGAGTGAATACGCTGAATTTTTATAGGTCCTACAAAAATAGTAACTTTTGAAAACTTCTTGGCAACAGAGACTTTTTTTTTTTTTTTGGAATGTGCTAAGATTGTGGGGCTTCCCCATTAGATAACTAAGTAGAGAAAAGCCCAATTTATCATCAGAAAGTCTGTTTGTAAGTACAACTATAACTTTTGTCAGCTTCATTCTCAGCAGGTCCCAAACTGCCAAAACTTTCAGCTTCTTTGGTAGGGTTGATGCCTGGAACATGTTTGCAAAATGGAAAAAGGCCCCAACAGTTTTTCCTTCAACAAGCAAAGCCTGATGTGCCTGCTGCGTGCCAGGTACACTGACCAGCAGGGCAAAGTTGGAGGACTCAGGAGGAAGGATGAGTAAAGGAGAGCGTCAACTCATGATCTCCCCTGCAATTCATGGTTAGAGACTGTTTCAGGCCCTGGAACTAATTTTGTGATTAGTTTGGAGAAGGCGAAGTGTCTTGTCCTGGCTGTGGGGAGACAGTCCTCCCCTTTGCCTTCTCAGAAGGCAGGTATCTCCCAATTCATCATGGCAGAGATTTTGAACTCCAAATCAATGGGATCTTACTGTTGGCATACTTTTGTACTTTGCTTCTTTTGTCCAAAATTATATTTGTGAGTTTTATTCAAGTACAGCTGTTACTGGTTCATTTTTATTGCTATACAGTCTTCTAGTGTGTAGAATTCAGTACGATTTGTTTGTCTCTTCTGTTTTCTGTGGGGATAAGGTTGAAAATTTTATGTGTTTATTGGCCATTTGGATTTTCTTCTTGTTTGAAGTACTTGTTGTAGTTTTTTTGGTCTGTTTTCTATTTGGTTGTTTGTTGTTTAACATTCGAATTTGCAGGAGTTATTTACATAATTTGAAAGACAGTCACAGTGGGCTGCATGTGTTACAGATATCTTCTCCTAGATCGTGTCTCCCCACTGGTCATGAGGGATGTTTTTGTGACTTTGGATAACTAATTTTAATGTAGCTAAATGTATCAATCTTTTTCTCTATGGGTAATATCTGTTTGTGTCTGGTTGAAGAATTTTTTTCCATCCAGAGTTTGGGAAGATATTCTCATATTAATATAGTCTAAACAATTTATTTTTTGTCTTTCCAGTTTAGTCCTGTTTATGGTGACCAGTCTATTTTTGCTTGGGACTTGACTAGTTTTAACACTAAAAGTTCTGGGGATTCCTCAGTCCTGAGCAGGCTGAGACAGATGGTAACTTTACCTATAATCTAACTGGAATTGATATTTTGGATATGGTGTGAGGTAGGGTGTAATTTCATATTTTTCTTGAATGGATAGTCAATAGGTCTAGCGTGAATTCTTAAAAATCCCACCCTTTACCTGCCTTAGCATATGATAAAGGTGGCATTTCAGCTATCTGTTTTGGGATCACTATTTGGTCTTATGTGACTATTTGTCTATCCCTTTTGTATTAACAGAGGTCTTAATACCTAGGAAGGTTAGACCTCCAAGTTATTTTTATTTAAAAATGTCTTGACTCTTCTTGGACTTTTGTATTTTATATAATGCTTAAAGTCAGTGTATCAGTTTCTACAAGGGATTTTGATAGGGATTATGTTGAATCCATAAATTGTTTTAGAAAGAATTGATATGCTTCTAATAGAGAATGCTCCCATCCATGGACATGGTCTCTCTCCATTTATTCAGGGCTTCTTCATAAATTTTATTTCTTTTTCCATAGAGGTTGTGTACATCTTTAGTTAGATTTATTATTGGCATTTTATGGTTTTGGATGCTTTTGTAGATGATATTTTAAAATGTATAATTTTATAACTGTTTATTATATTTCTGTATATTGATTTAGTACCTACCCATTTTACTAAACTCTTATTAAATGTTATCTATGAATATTGGCAGTTTTGTTTTCCCTTTCTAATTCTTATATCTCTTAGTTTTTTCTCTGGTCTCACTGTGCTGGCTGGGGCTTCCAATCCAATTTGAAAGCAAGTGTGAAAGTGTATGTCCTTATCTTGTTCTTTATCTTGAGTGTATAAATATTTCAATATCTTGCCAATAAGGGTGCTGTTTGCTGTGAAAATTTTGAAATACTCTTTATCAGGTTAAGGGAATTCTGCTGTATTTTTAGTTTTTAAATAATAAAAATGTTGAATTTTATCAAACACTTTCCCTCACATTTATTGAGATAACAAATGTTTGCTTTTCTTTTATTTGTTGATATGATAATTCATTACCAACCTTGCATTCCTGGTATAATTCAACTTGATCATGATGTGTTCTCGTTTGTATATATTGCTATCTTTCCCCTGATAATTGTTTTGTTGTCATTTTTAAAAAATGTATGTTGCGGGTAAATGAGATTAGCATGTATGTTTTCATTCTCATGATATCATTTTTGGATTGTGCTAGTCAGAATATAATAGCCTCATAAAATGAGTTAGAAAGTGTTTCTTCTTTTTCTGTTTTTTGTTTTGTTTTGTTTTGTTGGTTCAGTGGGGCAGGGGAAGAGATTTTGTAATTCTTTCTTTCCTGAGTATCTGAATTTTCCAGTGAAGCCATCTATACCTGGAAGTTTGTTTGAGGAAAAAAAATGTCACTAATGATTGCATTTATTTAATGATTATAGGCTGTTTCTTCTTAAGTTTTGAAAAGTTTTTAGGAATTTCCTATTTTATACACATTTTTAGATTCATTTTCACAAATTATTGGATATTTTAAAAAAATTCTCTTATTACATTTCTCATATATGTAGGATCTGTAGCAATGTCCCCTTTCTCATTTTTGATTATGTGTATGCCTTTTCTGTTTATTCTTGATGAGTCTTGCTAGGGTATTGACACTAATATTAGTTTTTTTCAAATAACCAATGTGTTTATATGCTTTAGTGAATGTTTATTTTTTACTTTATTAATTTGTGGTCCTATTAATATTATTTTTCCTTAATATTTTTGTGATTTTTTTTTTTTTTTTTATTGATCATTCTTGGGTGTTTCTCACAGAGGGGGATTTGGCAGGGTCATAGGACAATAGTGGAGGGAGGGTCAGCAGATAAACAAGTGAACAAAGGTCTCTGGTTTTCCCATGCAGAGGACCCTGCGGCCTTCCGCAGTGTTTGTGTCCCTGGGTACTTGAGATTAGGGAGTGGTGATGACTCTTAACGAGCATGCTGCCTTCAAGCATCTGTTTAACAAAGCACATCTTGCACCACCCTTAATCCATTTAACCCTGAGTGGACACAGCACATGTTTCAGAGAGCACAGGTTTGGGGGTAGGGTCACCGATCAACAGGATCACAAGGCAGAAGAATTTTTCTTAGGACAGAACAAAATGAAAAGTCTCCCATGTCTACCTCTTTCTACACAGACATGGCAACCATCCGATTTCTCAATCCTTTCCCCCCTTTCTATTCCACAAAACCGCCATTGTCATCATGGCCCGTTCTCAATGAGCTGTTGGGTACACCTCCCAGACGGGGTGGTGGCTGGGCAGAGGGGCTCCTCACTTCCCAGTAGGGGTGGCCGGGCAGAGGCGCCCCTCACCTCCCGGACGGGGCGGTTGGCCTGGCGGGGGCTGACCCCCACCTCCCTCCCGGACGGGGCGGCTGGCCGGGCAGAGACGCTCCTCACTTCCCAGACGGGGTGGCTGCCAGGCGGAGGGTCTCCTCACTTCTCAGACGGGGCGGCTGGGCAGAGACGCTCCTCACCTCCCAGACGGGGTCGCCGCCGGGCAGAGACGCTCCTCACCTCCCAGACGGGGTGGCGGGGCAGAGGCGCTCCCCACATCTTAGACGATGGGCGGCCGGGCAGAGACGCTCCTCACTTCCTAGATGGGACGGCGGCTGGGAAGAGGCACTCCTCACTTCCTAGATGGGATGGCGGCCGGGCAGAGACGCTCCTCACTTTCCAGACTGGGCAGCCAGGCAGAGGGGCTCCTCACATCCCAGACGATGGGCGGCCAGGCAGAGACGCTCCTCACTTCCCAGACGGGGTGGCGGACCGGCAGAGGCTGCAGTCTCCGCACTTTGGGAGGCCAAGGCAGGCGGCTGGGAGGTGGAGGTTGTAGCGAGCCGAGATCACGCCACTGCACTCCAGCCTGGGCGCCATTGAGCACTGAGTGAACCAGACTCCGTCTGCAATCCCGGCACCTCGGGAGGCCGAGGCTGGCGGATCACTCGCGGTTAGGAGCTGGAGACCAGCCCGGCCAACACAGCGAAACCCCGTCTCCACCAAAAAAATACGAAAACCAGTCAGGCGTGGTGGCGCGCGCCTGCAATGGCAGGCACTCGGCAGGCTGAGGCAGGAGAATCAGGCAGGGAGGCTGCAGTGAGCCGAGATGGCAGCAGTACAGTCCAGCTTCGGCTTGGCATCAGAGGGAGACCGTGGAAAGAGAGGGAGAGGGAGACCGTGGGGAGAGGGAGAGGGACAGGGAGAGGGAGAGGGAGAGGGAGAGGGCGTGATTTTTTTTTTTTTTGAGATGGAGTATCACTCTGTTGCCCAGGCTGGAGTACAGTGGCGCAATCTCAGCTCACTGCAACCTCTGCCTTCCAGGTTCAAGCGATTCTCCTGCCTCAGCCTCCTGAGTAGCTGAGATTACAGGTGTGTGTGCCACGTGCCTGGCTATTTTTGTAGTTTTATTAAAGACAGGATTTCACCATGTTGGCCAGGCTGGTCTTGAACTCCTGACCTCAGGTGATCCATCTGCTTCGGCTTCCCAAAGTGCTGGGTGATTTATTTTAGAACTATATATTTTTTCCAAATGTCCTGAGATGGATTGTTAGCTCATTAATTTTCCCTTTTTTCTAAGATAGACATAAAAGGCTATGTTTTCCTATAAATGCAGCATTACATGCATCTCACAAGTTTTGATACATAGTATTTGTTATTGTTCAGTACAAATATTTTCTGATTTTTCTTGTGATGCTTCAAACACATGGGTTATTCTGAACCATATTAATTTCCAAACATGGAGATTTCTAGTTATTTGTTGTTATTAGCTTGTAGCTTAATCTTATTGTGAGAGAACTTGCTTCTGTAGTTCAGCACATTTTTTTTTGGCATAACATATACTCAACTGTTTAGTATATTTTCTATGTATGTATAAGGAGACACACACACATAGAGAGAGAGAGAGAGAGAGAGAGTGTGTATTCTGCAGTTGATGGGTAACAGTGTTCCATAAGTTTGTTAATTGTGTTGTATAAATCTATATCCTTACTTAGCATTGACCAGCTTTATATGTGTATTACAAAAAGAAGTGTGTTGAAATCTCCTATTACGAGTATGTATTTATCAACTTCTGAGGTTCTATCGAAATTTCCTTTGTATGTTTCAGTGCTGTTATGAGGTGCATACAAATGTATTGTCACACATTTTATTTCCATCTTTTTGAACCCCTCCATACATTGTTGCAACCATTTAGTCAGTTTGTTTATATTCACCCACATATTTATATTCTTTACTCTTTTTTGTGAATTAGTTCTTTGAGATTACTTTCTTTTCCCTTTAAATTTTCCCTTAGTAAAGTTCAGTTAGTGGCAAATTCTTTGTTGTGTTGTTTGTTAGTTGTTTCATCTGAAAATGTCTTTATTTCTGTCTCATTCTTGAAAGATGTTTTCCAATTCTAGAATTATAGATTAATATTTCTTTTTCAATACATTGAAAATTTCATTCCACTGTTATCTGATTTTTATTATGGTTAAAAATGATACAGTTAGCTAACTGATATTCTTTGGAACAAACTGGTCCTTTTAAAATTTTCCTCTTATAGCTTTTTAGATTTTCTCCTTGATTTTGGTGAAATCAAATTTTATTAAAGAGTGTGTCTAGTTGCGATTTACTTTTAAGTATTTTGCTTGAGATTCATTGGGTGTTTTGAATCTGCACATTGGTGCTTTCCGCCATATGAAATAACGCCTGGCCATTATCTCTTTAATATATCTGTCCCACTCTTTGCTCTCTGTTAAAGACTTTGATTTAGGAGGGTGTTAGATTTCACATCATTGTCATGTATCAATCTCTTCATTATATTTTTAAATTTCCCCCTTTCTCTGTGGTACATTCTGGGTAGTTGCTTCTGAGTTTTCTTCCAGTTCACTAATTCTTTCCTCAGCTATATCTAATAACCTGTTATTTCTGTCCCTTGCAGTTTGAATGTTTTGATCACTGTATTTTTAATTTCTATAAGTTCTGTTTTTTTTCACATCTGCTAAGTCACATATTATAGTTTCCTATGTACTAGAGATATTTTCCAGCCTGTATTTTATTCCTTTAAACATAGTACTTAGGCTTCTTTCTAAATCTGTGACTAAAAAATGATGATGTTTGAAGCCTTGGGTCTTATTTTTCTATTTACTGTTCCTACCTGTCTCATTGTGACTTAGTTGTGTTCTTGACTAGATTTTTATGAAAAACACTCTTTTAAAAATATGTGTGTGAATATTCTTTAGGCCTGGGTGAAGGTGAAATCCTTTAGACAGAATATGTATCAGTTTCTGTCTGGTACTTAGGGGAATTTCTAGTACATGAACACTTTAAAACAAGTTTAAAACTGGTTTTATGAACCACACCAGTGATGTGAATTTGTGCTGCAACTCCTGCAAGACCAGCTTGGTTACAATTTCTCATGGACAATATTCCTCCTGATTTGATGAAGACCAGGGCAATTTTTCTGCTAGTCCCTTCTGGTTTTTCCTTACCCAGAGCTTTAGTCTTTTGTGGTCCAAACTGTGGGGACATGAAGGATAGGAGTCCAATCATACCTCTCTCTATGGCTGGGGCTGGCCTTTGTCTTCTTCCCTTTTACTTATTCCTCCCCGCAACTTACATGCTCTGATTCCCATGCTTTAATTCTCTCTCTACTTAAAGTACCATTATATCTTTATTATTTTAATTAATTTATTTATTTATTTTGAGATGGAGTCTTACTCTGTCACCAGGCTGGAGTGCAGTGGCGTGATCTTGGCTCACTGCAACTCCGATTCCCAGGCTCAAGTGATTCTCCTGCCTCAGCCTCCTGAGTAGCTGGGATTACAGGCGTGCACCACCATGCCCAGCTAATTTTTGTATTTTTAGTAGAGACGGGGTTTCACCATGTTGGCAAGGCTGGTCTCAATCTCCTGACCTTGTGATCTGCCTGCCTTGGCCTCCCAAAGTGCTGGGATTACAGGCATGAGCCACTGCGCCCGACCCTTTATTATCTTTTTTTTTTTTTTTTGAAATGGAGTCTCGCACTGTCTCCCAGGCTGGAGTGCAGTGGATCTGTCTCAGCTCACTGCAACCTCTGCCTACCAGGTTCAAGTGATTCTCCTGCCTCAGCCCCCCAAGTAGCTGGGACTACAGGCACGCACCACCACTCTTGGATAATTTTTGTAGTTTTTAGTAGAGAAGGGGTTTCATCATATTGGGCAGGCTGGTCTCGAACTCCTGACCTCGTGATCTGCCCACCTCGGCTTCCAAAAGTGCTGGGATTACAGGCATGAGCCACAGCGTCCAGCCCTTTATATCACTTTTAAAATCAATATTCAATTTGATTCATCTATATACTCATTCACTTTGTTGCTGTTTATTCCTGCCTTCATCTCCCAATGAAATCATACTGTCTCTGAGATAGTTTTCCTTCTTCTTGAAGACAACAGTGAATTTTCTTTAATAAACTGCTGGTGATGAACCTCTCAGGTTTTGTCTGAGTACCTGGTAGTATTCTGTCTTCATCCTTAAAAGAAAATATTCACTGGCAATACAATTGTAGATTTGTAGTCATTATTATTTTAGTATTTCAAAGATGCAAATCCTTTCTCTTATAACTTGCACTGTTTCTGTTGAGAAGTCCATCTGATATTTGCTCTTTTGTAAATTTTTTTCTCCCCCTCTAATTGCTTTTAAAATTGTTTTCCTTGTTTCTATTTTTCTGCATTTTTATTATAATGTGTCTAGGCGTGATTTACTTTTTATTTATCTGGCTTGGTGCTCACTAAACTTTATGACTCATCTGTAAATTGATTTCTTTCACCAGGTATGGAAAATTCTCAGTCATTATGTTTTCAAATATTGCTTCTGTTTCACTCTTTTTCTCCTCTTTTTCCAATGCTTAATGTATGTTAAATGTTCTCACTCAATTATCCATATTTTCATACCTTTATTTTTCTTCCTCTGTACTTCATGTCTCATTTTGAATATTTTCTTCTTGTCTATCTTCTAGTTTATTAATTCTCTCTTCAGCTTTGTTTTTTTAAACTGCTGTTAAAGTCACCCATTTAGGTTTTCTTTAAAATTTAGTTATTCTATTTTTCATTATTTTTTAAAATTGAGGTCTTTAAAATGTTTTCCAGTTGTCTGCCAAGTTTTTCAATATTGTCTTTATCATCCTTGAGCATAATTATTTTAAAGCCTATATCTTTTCATTTCAGTATTTGAAGCACATGCTTATCTTTTTCTATTATGTAATATATCTGCTGAGTTTTGCTTATGTTGTTTTATTTCCTATGCCTTGTTCATTTTTGATTTTGTGCTGGACACTATGTTTGAAAAGTTGTTGTAGAAGTAATTAGAGGACTAGGATGATGTTATCTTTATTCAGAAAATATTTTTATTTGTGTCTCTCAGGTGCTTGAAGACATTAGCAATGGAGGATCACTTTAACTCAGTATTTCAGACCCAAGATTTTTCTGTGCTACCAGATGACTCAAAACCAATTACAGTCTGTTCATGGGATCTTTCACTTCCAATTCAGTTTCTCCTTCAGACACATTTTTGGTTTCTGTCTTAAAGGATGAGGGAGGTGCTTAATGGTGCCCCTGCTCTCAATGGGCCCTGGGCTCCGGTTTCTGTATCCTAATCAAAAATTCTCTTACCCACATCTAATATGTTCTGTAACTTGTTCCATGCATTTTATTTTTAACGATTTTTTTTTTTTACTTCTAAAGTTCTGGTTATTTTTTCCACATCTGTCTAGTCGTTTTTGATGGTCTCAGGTTGCCTGTTCATGTTTATGATTCTATGTTGCATTTCTTTAAATATTTACTACATTGGTTTTATATGCTCTGTCCTTGATCATTCTAATATTAGAGGCTTTTGGAAGTCTAAATCTGCTGTTTGTTTCTATTGCCCTAATCTCCGATGGTCTGTTCTCTTTTTACTTGTTGATCTTTGAATGTGAGCTCATATTTGGTTGGTCTTAATTTGTGGAGCCTAAACTGAGGACGTTTTCCACTAGAGAGGATTTGTGTTTGCTTCTGTAACAAGCCAAGAGACCCTGATGACTGGGACCACTGTCATCCCGCGTGATTTAGCTTGCACACCTTCTCTAGGCATTGTCTTTAAGTCTCAGTTCAGTGTCATTGGTCAGTGTGCTCCTGGGCAACTTCCTTGATTTTCTTTGAGCCCAGTAACACTGCAGATCAAGCCTGGTCAGGGTCTAGCTTCTTGTAGGCAAATGGGGAGCCCTTCAGAGTGTCCAGTCCACCCTGCTTTCGGAAGCATTAGTCTATTCTTGCTGAGCGTGAGTTTGGCTTCCTCAGTGCTTCTTCCCCGCATCGCGCATTATATTAGTCTCCGTGGAGTTCTTCCTGTTGCAGCTCTCCAACATGCTGCCTCCCCTCATGCTTCTGATGCTGGGTCATGTGCCCCTGTGATAGCCGTGTAGGGTCCAGTGTGTTTCCCCCATCCAGCCGCTCTTCCTCTCAAGCCTCCAAGCACAATGAGCTGTATGGCTGGGTGGTGTCCTAGGTGCAGGGAGCAGGTGGGTGGGCTTGCTGGAGACCTCCCTGTATGCGCATGGCCAGGAATAACAGTCCATGAACAAGCTGGGGTCTCGTGGAAGCCCCTAGTGGCAAAGGTCTCACTTTCCTCACTGCACTGTCCTTTTCAAATGAATCCAGGAGCTGGTGTCTTGATGGGTCTGGCTTGCTCTGGACACAGGTCTCTATTGGGTCTCCACGTCCCGTGATGCCTCCCAGTGACCCTTCCCTGCCTCTTCCACAGCTGCTGCCATCTCAGGAGCTTCTGTGTCTCAGCTGAGATGCTTGGCAGAGGCACGTAAGGGAGGCATGGCCATGGAAGCTGGGGCGCTGGGACGGCCATCTCGTTTCATCTGCACTGGCTCCAGTGGCCTCTTATAGAGGGGGCTGCTGCCTTCTCTGTCCGGCCCCTCTCTCATGTTTTCACTCATTGGGGGCTTTGCCTGGGGAAGCAGAAGACACCAACAGCTATTTTCCTGCACCTGGCGCAGTTCACAAAGTCTTTTCGATGTAAGCCTCTCAGACTGTTCCCAGCCCACCCTGGATCCTACTCCCAGGCTGTTCTGCTCCAGGGCAAGAGGTTTCCAGGCCTGTGTTGAGAAGCCCAGCATGTACCCTGTGTTGGTGTGGAACCCTGGGGCAGATACCCTGACAGTCGTGTGCCCAGCCAGTCCCAACTGCATCATACAGCCTAGACTTTTCTCAAAGTCAAAAATTGGCTCATCGCAAACTCTTCTTTGTTTCCAGGTGTTGCTGTACATTATGCTTTGGTTTGCCTTTTTATTTGGTTATTTCAGTGGGGTTTATAACATGCAAGTAAACATGGCACAAGACGTTTGAGACCTGGTATAGCTTTTTTTTTTTTTTTGAGATGGAGTCTCGCTCTGTCTCCTAGGCTGGAGAATAGTGGCACAATCTCGCCTTTTTTGATCAGAAAAACAAAGAACAAACAAATAACCCTTTGGTCACTGAACAAGAGCTGAGAAATGGAATGCAGACACTCATTTGATTCTGTGAGCAAAGAAAGGGACTGGAAAACCACCCTGAAGACCTGGGTCCCTCCCTGGAGCCTCTGTTTACCTGTCTCTCACCTGCAGGGGTGCACAGAGGAGCGAAATGTACTTAAAAACAGGCAAAACCCACACAGGCTGGTTTCCAATCCTAGCTGCTACTGCCACGGAGGCAATTCATAATGGGACACAGGGGAAAAATAACAGAGAGAAAATTTCACATGAAGACAGTGGGGGAGTCCTGCAGGGGTCGGTCAGCTCAGACTGTGCCATCCCTCCCAGCTGGGGCCATCCACAGGCTCTGAGAGTGGCTCTCGCAGGCTGTGTGTGTTCTGGGAATGGCAGGGGCCAGGGCTGCCTCCAGAACTCCCTGCACAGCCTGGATTTATGTAACAGCAATGAAGAACGGAGGTGCATGAACAGACTTCAGGTGGATGAAGTCTTCTACCCCCAGCTGCCCATTCACCAGGGAGTGGAAGGTGTGGGGTGGAAGGAGACGGCTACACAGAGCCCCAGGTGGGGACTAGTTGCCCACGGTCATCTCTGGGTCACCTGGGCAGGGGCTCACTGTGTTGGAGGCACAAGAGGAGTCCTCTATTTTCATGTTTCTCAAACTCAAATGTGCACACACATTTTTTTTTCCGTGTCCCATTATGAAATGCCTGCGTGGCAGTAGCAGCTAGGATTGGAAACCAGCCTGTGTGGGTTTTGCCTGTTTTTAAGTATATTTCACCCCTCTGTGCACCCCTGCAGTTGAGAAACAGGTAAACAGAGGCTCCAGATAGCCCCAGATATCCTGGGAATCTTATCAAAATGCACCTTCCAATTCAGTGGATCTAGGATGCGGGTCTGGGTTGGGGCCTAAGAATGTGCATTTCTGACCAGCTCCCAGGTGATGCCGAGGCTGCTGGGCTAGGACAACACTTTGAGCAACGTGATCCCAATGGAACTCCCTTGTTGATTTGGTGAAGCCCCAGATAGAGCCAGGGTCCCTCGGTGTGGTGCCCAGACCCCAGCATCAGGTGGGAATTCTCTGACTCTGCTCCAGACCTGCCGTGTCAGAAATGGACATGGAGGGGCCTGGGCATTTGTGCTTTAACAAAGCTGGCCAGGTGATTCTGACAGATGCTCCAGTGTGGGAGCCACTCAGGCTTTGCTTAAGGGGAGTGGCGTGACCCAGGAAAACCCAGCCGCCACCTGTGTTCTGGCCTAGCATCTGGGGAGAATCTTTGTAGGGACTGCCCCTCAAACAGGGCTTACCTTCCAAGGTAGAGAAGCGTTTTCATGGAACTTCCCTGGACTTTGGCTTCACAGCTGCAGTTGATGGAGTGTGACTTGATGGCTTAAAACAACACTAATGTATCCTCTCACATTTCAAGAGGCCAGAAGACTGAGATCGAGGTGTCGGCAGGGTTGATTCCTTCTGGAGGTTCCGAGGGAGAAACCGTGACAGGCCTCTCTCCTTGCTCCTGGTGGCGGCTGGCTGCTGTTGACTTTCTTTGGATTATAGACGCATCGCTGCGCTCTCTGCCTTCCTCTCCACCAGGCCTTTCCTGTCGGTGTGCCCTTTCCCTGGACAGTGAGGACGCCCCAAAGTCCATTAAGGCCACTCTCATTGGATTTGGGGCCCACCCTAATCCTGTATGATCTCATCTCATCCTCACCTTAACTACATCTGCAAGATCCTATTTCAAATAGGATCACTGTCTTAGTCTATTTTCTGCCACTTGTAAGAGAATGCCCGAAACTGGGCAGTTTACAAAGAAAAGGAATTTACTTCTTATAGTGATAGAGGCTGAGAAGCCCAAGGTCGTGGGGCTGCCTCTGGTGAGAGCCCTCTTGCTGGTAGGCTGGCTCTCTGCAGAGTCCCAACGTGGCTCAGGGCATCCCATGGTGAAAGGACTGAACGTGCTGGCTCAGTTCTCTCTTCCTCTTCTTATGAAGCTCCCTGTCCCACTCCCAGGATAATGCATTAATCCATCAACCCAGTTGTTCATTAACTCATCATTCCTTGAATGGATTAATGCATTCATGAGGGCAGAGCGCTCATGACCTAATCACCTCCAAAAGCTCCCCCTGCCCCAATACTGACACACTGGGGATTCAGTTTCAACATGGGTTTCAGAGGAGACAAACATTCAAACCATAGCAGTCCCGCTCTGAGGTTCCAAGTGGATGTTAATTTTGGGAGATGCTATTGAACCCAGACATGCTCCAAATTAGTTAGAAAGTAGACCAAGGGCAGGGCTCAACCAGAAAAATGGGCACCTCTGCCAAGCCCTGGATACATTTCTGGTGATCATTGGTCATTTTCTGGGCCTCCCTGCATCTGAAAGCTCCCACAGGTTTGGAGAACCCTCTTTTGAGAGGCCCCATCTGCCTCCCACCAGAGGGCTGGAGACGCTGGGCATCTGCTGTCCAGCCTCCCTCACCCACCCTGGGGTACAGGCCCTTGCTTAGGTCCAGACAAGCAGGTTTGCCCAGCCCAGGCTTCAGGCTGGACTTCAGCAAGGTTGGATGTCCTGGGAGGATGGTGGTGGCAGTGGCCATGGCTCCTCCAGGTTCCGGAGGGCAGTGTTCCGAGTTCAGCATAGTGACAGCCGAGAGAGGGGTGAGCTGGGTGTCTGTACCCAGGCAGCTCCGGGGCATTCGGTGATTCAGTGACCCTCTGGCTGTGCATCTGCTGTGGCTGGTTGTGGGCCCCTGAGGACTCAGAGAAAAAACTACCACTGAGGACAGGAAACTTCAAGAGCACCACAGGTCAGAAGAGCAGGTGCATCCCAAAACCTGTGAAATCATGCTGCTTCCTTTTATTTATTTATTTTTTTATTAGCATTTGCTTTGAATTCTAATTTGGGAAGGAGACGTCTGTTCTGTGGCTAAGAGTTCATTTCTACAACAGATCTAGTTAGGTGCCACTGCGTATCTTAAAGTAACACAGTGGACAGGAAATAACGGGAAGGTGTAGGTACTGCTGGCTTGGTTCAGTCAATCCGGCTTAGGGTGAACCGTGCTGTGGCCAGCCAAGGGGGAACAGCTGTCAGCGGAAGCAGAGACAGAAGGTGGCAGAGGCATCTCGTTCGCTGGTCACTAGGGGAAGCTGGCCGGTTCACACACAGTTACCGTGACAACAGAGTCATCCCCACTGACAAGACGTGGTGCTGTGATTACCCACCATATGCACTAGTCTTGGATTTGATTGGCTTTGACAGTTGTTATGAGCTGAATTGTGTCTTCCCAAAATTCATATGTTGAGATTCTAACTTCCAGTAGCTCAGAAAATGACAGTATATGGAGACAGGAGACTTACAGAGGTAATTAAGTGACCATGAGGTCATTGGGGTGGTCCCTAATCCAGTATGACTAGTGTCCCAAGGAAACAGGGGAAATGAGGACACACTGGCAGAGATGCATAGAGGGAAGACCAGTCGAAGACAGGGAGAAGACGAACATCAACAAGCCAAAAAGAGACTTCAGAAGGAACCAGCCCTGCTGACATCTTGATCTCTGACCTCCAGCCTCCAGAATGGTAGAAGTGTGAGAAAATCAATTTCTGTTACTGAAGCCACCCCGGCTGTGGCATTTTCTTTCGGCAGCCATGGAAAACAATTACAATGATTTCTACGAATCCTAAGTCACCATCATGAAATAATTTTCCACTGTTATGGACTTTTTTTTTTTTTTTTGAGATAGAGTCTCCCTCTTTTGCCCAGGCTGGAGTGCAATGGCATGATCTTGGCTCACTGCAACCTCTGCCTCCTGGGTTCAAGCAATTCTCCTGTTTCAGCTTCCCGAGTAGCTGGGATTACAGGCATGTGTCACCACACCCAGCTAATTTTTGTATTTTTAGTAGAGACGGGGTTTCACCATGTGGGCCAGACTGGTCTCAAACTCCTGACTTGTGATGTACCCACCTTGGCCTCCCAAAGTGCTGGGATTACAGGCATGAGCCACTGCGCCCGGCTCACTGTTACGGATATTTAACAAAATATGTGTAGGGAATAAAGGCAATTTTTAGAGAGGAGTTCCAAAACCATTTTCAGAAGAGACATCACTTAAATAATTCTCCTTACCAAGCTCACTGCTTTGCAGGGTAATGTGTGTTTAATAGCAACATTGGTTGCCAGCCTCTCTTGTGTGCCATGTGCTGGGATGTACCTCATTCATTCAGGCACGGTCCATGCTGCAAACTCATGGAAGCAAGTGCTTCCTGTTTTCATTGTCACATAGATCCGTGAGACTCGGGATGTTTGCAGACAGTCTCATTGCATCATACCATTCCTATTTTCTAGATGACAAAATTCCATATGGATTTTCTCTGGGAATGTTATTATCATCTTTGGATTCTCAAAGGTGTCCACGGCTAGGATTATTTTCGTCAATGTCATTGATATTGGCATGAATAACTACATGTCTTTGTAATTTTGGAAACTACTTCTTATCTGCAGAAAAAACAGGAGGTAATTTTCAAAGGGCCAAATGTGCCTTCCCACAGGCCCCTGCTGGCCTCACGATCGCTTCTGCTTCTGTCCCATTAGCTGGAGATAGTAATCGAAAGATTATCATCCCCAAAGCTTGGGGAGGAGCTGGGGAATATCGATCCATTTTCCATTCCCTGAATTTACCAGTTGCTTTTAATCTTAGCAAGCAGAAGACAAGGAGAAATATTGCATCTGTGCTTCCCAAGTTAACCGAAGAATAAAGTGTACACTTCTTCTTGTTGGCTTTTTTATTGCTTGAGTAAAGGTCACAGTTCAGTCACTCGAATCAAGTGATTTCACCGTCGGAGACTCATTTATAACAGGAACATGCTCCCATTTTCTTGCAAAATTTCCGAATGATACCAATCGTTCCTGGCACTCTTCCCCAGGACGCATTCCCTGGTTACATTTGTGGTTTCAGGGGTATTTTTCAGAATCCCGCTGTGGACTTCCCACCATGAGACCAAGGGGCTGGCTGCTCCTGCTGTGAGTGACGTGCTTGGATGATGGCTGTGGGGCAACTTTTTAGGACAGGCCGGCTTCCACTGGGCCTTGAGTGCTGAGTCACCAGCTGCGTGTGGTAGAGTGATGGCTGCCCTGCCATTCCGGGGACTCCAAAGAGAATGCACCCTCTTACCTCTTGCTTTCCTACATTTCTGCAGCTTTCCTCCTTACTTTCATTAGCAGGAGTCTGTGAACATCCCCGTTGTCCTTTTTGGAGACACAGAGAGAGAATGGACAGGTGCCGGGGAGGGCTGGGGCCCACCCAGGTCAGGCGGCCTCCCACCTGGGGTTCATGGGGTCTGCAGTGACCCGAGGGCTCAGGGACATGTCCTGGAGCCGGCCACCCTCCCTCTTCACTCTGGGATGGTATGTCCACAGCTAAGCCCCTTCCCCACTGACCTACTGACTGCCTTCCTGGACGGCACCTGGAGGAAGGGAACCAACTCCAGAGCATGGAGGGCCTTGGTCTGGAAGAAACTGAGGTCACGAGGACAGCAAAGGGAGGCTCATCGGGCTGTGATTTTTTGTCCAGGGAGGAATCAAGGGGAGCTGGGAGCCACAAACTGAAAAGTCCTTGGGAATTATGGAAGCTGGCCCTGGGTTCTGAGCCCTGGGGATGGCCCTGGGGGTGCCCCGTCTCAAGGAACTTGTGGGCAGCCCCCTGAGCTCCTGACAGAGCCAGCAGGGAGCAGCTGGGTGAGCCGAGGTTGCTCTGCCCACTCACTGGTCTTGTCCTGGCCCAGGGAACTCCGGAACCGGGGTCCTCATCTGGCGTGAAGAGCAGGAACATCTCCATTTCATTTTCTGGGTTTTTCCCTCTCACCAGGACTCAGGTGTTTCCCTCACAACTTTGCACCATCACCCAGACTCATTACCCATTGAGGGAAATTGAGGCAGAAGAGGGGGTGGGGTGGGTGGGCTTCGTGGTGCCCCCTCGGAGTCGGGGAAGATCACAATGTGGCCACTGGGCCCACTCTGTGACCTTGGGCAGATCCCACATGCTGCTGGTCAATGTGGCAGGGGGTGGGGGGTGCAGAGCTGCTGTGCTACACTTGCAGGAGCCCTGAGGAAACTGAGGCACAGCAAGGGGTGTGCCTTTCTCAGTGTCATATGACAAGGAAGTGGCCGGACTGGGCTGAAAGTGCAGGTTTTCTGATGCCTGCCACATCAGTCCTCACACGCGTTCCCCTCCTAGAGCAGGACACAAGCTCATTAGGGAGGGTTTGTACTTTCGGGAAGCTGGAATGTGGGGCTGCCCGGTGCAGAGCTGAGCAGCCCAGGGGTCACGATGGAGAGGTCAGCAGCGCTGCCATCACTGGGTGGCATCTCAGGCGGCTGGGTCAGCCAGGGGAGGGTGGCAGGGTGTTCCCCGAGGGCTCTCCTTGTCCCTCGGGCCCTCTGCAGGCTCTTCTCAGGGTCCAGGAGAAGGGGCTCAGGGACGTCCTTTTGTGTCCTGCCAGCCTGGGTCTGAGGCTCACCGTGGGGTGTAATTAATATTCCTGCTCTGCACCCAGCACGGCTCCTGACAGCTGATGGGAAACACCAGGTTGCCTTCATTCAGCTGTGCCCATGGACAGGGGTGACGCTGAGAAGCTGCTACTAGAGGTGGTGGTGGCTCTTCCTGCTCCTCACTCGGATGCCCCAAGGGGCTGTTGCTTCCTGAAGTCCCCCTGGTGTTCTCTCAGGCACCCTTTCAACCCGGCTGGAGGAGGTCGTAGAGGGGGCTCCACCTGCCTGACTGCTGTTGCCCTGTTAGGGGGTTGCCATCGGCATGGCGCCCCTCCAGGAGCCAAGAACAAGAGCCACCCCTAAGGCTTCATTCTGCCACATGTGTTCGTTTTAAATCACCTTCCACCGTGAGTGTGTGTCTGATTCCCACTCTAAGTGCTGTTGACAGATGTGTTAATTCATGTATTTAAACAGATATTAAGCAACTGGCAGAAGATTCAGCTAAAAATAGATCATCTTTCTAAATAGGCTGCTTAACACCGGGCTAGTGCTCATGGCTATGACACAGAACTCTGTGCAGCCATTGGCAGCATGAGGCCACTTTAGCGAGGCCAGGAGGCCTCAGGTGCAGGCAGCAGGAGGGCACGCCCTCCCTGGGGAACATCAAAGTACCCGGGCCACCGGGAGAGAACGGGACATGGAGCTGGGGCAGTGGCTGGCGTGCCCTCCAGACTTGGCTGGAGCCTCTGCTCCCTGCGGTCCTAGGGGGTTATGCTGGTCATTGCCTGCCCTTTTGGCTCCTTGCTTTGCCATTTGCAAAATGAGGGGTCCGGACTGAGCGGTCCCCACAGCGCCTCTGGAATGAATCCCAGGAAAGCAGGGTGTGGTGCGGTGAGGGCCGGGGCCCCTGGAGGGGTGGAGCTGGTCCATGCATGTCATGTGCTGAGGAAGGGCCTGGAGTGGGTCCTGGCTGGGATGGAGCCCCGGCTGTCCCTGGAAGGTTGTAGCTCACTTCCTGGGGAGCACAGCTCGCCCCAGAGGAGAGGGAATGTTGGGTGTTTGGACCCTCCTCTCCTGGGATGGAGAAGCACTGGACTGAGCTGAGTTCTCAGGGTGACACCACCACCTCTGGCAGCCCCGTGGTCCCTGCCGCTTGGCCACTTGGCCAGGAGGCTGTGCTTGGCAGAAGTAGGACAGCAGAGACACAGGGGGCTCTGGCCTAGATCCGGTGGGCAGCAGCCACACCCCATCTTACAAGGGGGGTCCCATCATTATCTTCTACAGATGATGAGCCTGGAGCCCAGGCCGGGAGGAACTTGCCTCAAGCCCCCAGCTGAAAGCGTTGGAGGTGGGTTTGACTCAGGCCTTGGGGACTGAGCCCAGGGGCCCCACACTCAGTGGCCTCAGAGTGGGGGTCGGAACTGCGTCTCTCAGGTGGTCAGGTCAGGCAGCATGGTGGAGCAACACAGAGGCCAGGATGGAGACCGTGGGGCATGGGGGCTGTGCCATGACCGGGGGGAGCA
Source organism: Homo sapiens (assembly GCF_000001405.40). Taxonomy (NCBI): domain Eukaryota; kingdom Metazoa; phylum Chordata; class Mammalia; order Primates; family Hominidae; genus Homo; species Homo sapiens. Next base: position 239,464,687 of record NC_000002.12, read on the forward strand.
CGAGGCTGCTGAACTGGGGGTGGCAGTGGTGGGGAGCCGAGAGTAGGGAAGGAGGAAAAGAGGTGGCCTTGGCCCAGAGCCTAGAAGTGAGGGGAGGAGCCTGGCGGAGGAGCTCATCTGCCAGTTGGAGACCTCCCTTGCGGAGCTGCGGCCCACCTGGCCGCCTGTCTGGTGAGTGCATGGCAGAGGCTGGGAGGTGTGGGGCTGTCTTGCTCCAAGGTGTCCGCGGACAGCTGAGAGGAGGAAGTGAGGAGGGTGCAGCCTCCTGTGGACAGGAGACACCCGTCACCGGTGCCTGCCACTGTCTGGGGGCGGAGGACAATGGGGCAAGGACACAGTGGGGGATGCAGGGAGGAGACCAATCAGTCAGGACCCCGAGAACTGGCACAGGGAGAAGGGAAGGGGGCAGTGTCCGTGTCCCCTGCAGCTCCCCTGTCTTCCTGGACATCTGTCCCACCGTGCCCCCTGACCCCACAGGGCCGCCTCACAGGCCTCACTCAAATCCTGAGGCTCCTCTGACATCAGGCCTCCCAGGACGTTTCTCTCCTCCTCTCCTATGGCGTTAGGGCACCTGCTAATGAGCCCCGACGGGCTTGCTCACTCTCATCCAGCCGGGAGGTGGGGGACATGGGTGCCAAGCAGCGCGGGTGGATGACGTGTGGCTGGCAGCAGCTGGATCCTTCCCCGGCTTGCTCTGTGCCCTTCCCATGGAGCTGGGCCCTCCCTGGTGCCAGGGCTATGAGTCACCAGGTCTGAGGGCAGCAAGAGGCCCCTCCTTCCCTTCAGCCAAACCCAGCAGGATAAACACTATTTTAGAGACAGGGTCCCGCTCTGCTCCCCAGGATGGAGTGCATTGGCTCCATCATGGCTCACTGTAGGCTTGAACTGGGCTCAAGTGATCCTCCTGCCTCAGCCTCCTGAGTAACTAGGTTCACAGGTGTGCTGCCGCGATAAATTTTTTTTAAGCGGCCCATGAAGTTACTTAAATAGGCAGACAGCTGATTCTCAACGCTGAGTGCTTCCTGTGGCTCAGCGCCAAGTGCTTTGCACACACATCACGAGGAATCTCATGACCCGTGGTGTAGACAGTGTGCATCCCCGTCCCATAGATGAGGAAGCTGAGCCTGCCCCAACACAGCCTTCAGCCAGTGGGCTTGGAGCCGTCCCCGAGGACAGCGCTTGCTTCTCAGACTGATGCACGGGAATCCCTGGGGCGGGGCCTCGGTTCTGCGTTTCTAACAGGCTCGTGGGTGACACCTGTGCTGCCAGGCATCAGGAGCCACGGCTGGAGTAGAAGGCTGTGCTCTGCACCTCTGTGTGCTGTGGCCAGGGAGGTCACAGGCTCTGGGGGTGGAGGTGATGGACGCAGGCAGAGAATACCCAGGGTCCCTGGGAAGGTCCCAGGCAGACACCTGCTGGGTAGCTGGTGGGCACCTGGTAGGCACCTGGCTGGCCCATCTACAGACCTTATTCCTCCCTCTATCTCCACCCAAACCAGCCCAGAGCCTCTGGGAGGCATGAGGAGCTCCTGGCTGGGGGCAGGAGAGGCGCTTATTTCTTGTCTCTGCTTGCTCAACAAGACACGTGGAGTTAATTAAGACCAAAGTCCTAGCGTTCTGTGCTTGTCTGCAAAGCTTTTTAAAAGCCCACACAAGGTGACAGGTTGGAGGCCTCAGGCCCCTTTAATTAGTCTTTTGTGGCCAATTTCCACTTGGTTCCATAGTGCTTGAGGTCTCTCTTCCTGCCTGAAGCTTCCTTGGCCCCAAGCAGCGGGCCCCTCATTATCAGGGGAGCAGCTAATCAACTGGGCCTGGAGCGGGAGGAGGCTGGCGGGAGAAGGCTGGCGGGCAGGAGGCTGGTGGTCCTGGTTTCCATTTGGGGACATTGCATGACACATGGCTTTTCCTGACTAGTGGACGCCCCCCAACCCTGGCTCTGGCTAGCAATCACTTCTGGTCCTACAGCAGGCGTCCCTGGGGGTCACTGTCTCACCCATCACTTCTCCTTCACTGGTAAATGTCAAGATGCCGATTGTGTGGAGTGGGGATCAGCTTGGTACCAAAGGAGCTCACAGAGAAAAGGGAAGGTGACCCCCTGGTGCTGCCCAGGACGAGCTGGCCTGCGGCCCCTGGCCTACTCTGGGGGGCGGGGCGGGGAGTGTAAGCGTGTCTCTCCTGCCGAGGCTGCCCCACAGCTGCTCCCTGACAGCCACGTCTGGAAGCTGCCTTGCAGAACAAGGGCCTGGTAAACCCGGGCAGACCCTAGGGATCCAGGGTGAGGGGTGGCATTGCCTGGGGTGGACAAGGTGGGTCCCTCTGAGAGGGGACATCGGAGCTGAGACAGTGAAATGGGAGATGGGGCTGTGCACATCCATGGGAAAAAAATGTCCCAAACAGACAAAGCCTGGGCCAGGCCAGGAGGCAGGTGATGCTTGGTGTGTCAGGGCGTGGGGGGAAGCTGGATGGAGCAGAGGAAGGTAAAGCCGGAGGGGCAGGTGGGAGCTGGGCCGCAGGCTTTCCTGGGGACGGTGAGGACCGTGGATTCTTCCTAAGGAGTGGGGGGCCCTAGGTGTGGGGGTCTCATAGGTGGGACATGATTTGATTGATGTGTTAAAATGTCTACTTATGCTGCCATGGGAAGTCTAGGCTGTGTGTGTGGTGTTTGAGTTTATGTGTGTGTGTGCATGCATGCGTGTGTTTGCATGTACTGTGTGGTGTGTATGTATCCTATGTGGCACATGTGTGTGCATGCGTGGTTGGAGCCACCCTCAGCCTGTGTGTGGTGTAGTGTGGCATGCACATGCATGTGTGATTTGTGGTGTGTGTGCATAGTGCGGTGTGATATATGTGTGTGCATGTGTGGTGTGTGGTACGTGTGTGCATGTTGATATGTGTGTCTCCATGTGTGGTGTGTGTTTTTGGTGTGGTGTGTGTGATGTGTGGTGTGCATGTGTGTGATGTGTGGCATGTGTGTGCATGGTGTGGTGTGATATGTGCAATGTATGTGTGCAAGTGTGGTGTGTGACATGGGGTGGCGTGTGTGTATAGTGTGGTGTGATGTGTGTGTTGTGCATGTGTGTGTGTATAGTGTGCTGTGATGTGTGTGTTGTGTACGTGTGTGTAGTGTGGTGCATGTGTGTGTGTGTGGCATGGTGTGGCATGTGTGTGTATAGTGTGGTGTGATGTGTGTGTTGTGTACGTGTGTGTAGTGTGGTGCATGTGTGTATGTGTGTGTGGCATGTGTGTGTATAGTGTGGTGTGATGTGTCTGTTGTGCATGCGTGTGTGGTGTGGTGCGTGTGTATGTGTGTGTCGCATGGTGTGGCATGTGTGTGTATAGTGTGGTGTGATGTGTGTGTTGTGTACGTGTGTGTGGTGTGCGTGTGTGTATGTGTGTGTGGCATGGTGTGGCATGTGTGTGTGTGGTGGGGTTCAGCGGGGAGGCTGCTGCTCTGGTCCTGATGAGAGAGGAAGAGGCTCCGGGGAGGAGGTGGTGGTGGAGGTGCTGAGGAGGTTCTGTTCTGAAAAGGTTGTGAAGTTAGATTGGAAAACATGTGTTCACAGGTCAGGTGTGAGGTAGACAGAAAGAGAGAGGTCAGCATTGGCACCCAGATTCCATGTCTGAGCCAATGGATGAACGGTGGCTCCGTCTCCTGAGCGGAGAAGACTCAGGGGAGAAGCAGCCTGAGATGGAAAGTTGAGTCTGTTTTTCGACCTGTTCCTGGTTTGGGGTCCCTGGGAAGGGTCCTGAGGTGGAGAGCTGTAGAGAACAGAGGGGTTGCTCTCGGGGCACACCTGCAGGGGAGCACGGAAAGCGTTGTTTACAGAGGGGGCTGTCGAACCATGATGTGGTTGCACTGAGCCTCAGCCATTCCCATGGAGGCTCAGGAGCTGGGAGAGCTCTTGGCGTCATCCTGCATGGGGTGGGGAGGGAACTCCTGCTGTCATCCGCCAGTGGAGGCTGCAGAGGGGCCTCAGCAGTGCAGCAGTGGTGGCTGGGAAATGAGCACCTTGGTCCTATGTGGGGACATTGGGGTGCACCCCATGCTCCTGGTGGCCCACCCCACCCCCAGCTTAGGCCACTGCCTCCTATGGTGAGTCCACCCCACCTGGGAAGGTCTGCCCTGGCATCGGCATGATGTCTCCTCCTGGAGAAACTCAGCAGACAAAGGTTAGTGGGGTGAGCTTCAGCCCCTGTGTTGGCCGTATCTGTCCACTGACCATCAAGACTGGTCAGGGGAGAACCAGGACATGCCCCAGCGGGTTGGCTGGGCTCCCACCTCCTCCTGGGGACCTGGGCCAACCCTACCAGGTGGGCACTCCCCTCCTTGCTGCTGGACCTCTGGCGGGAGCAGCCTCTTCTGGAACCAGGACATCTAGACCCGCTTGACCTAAATTCACTGGGTGGGAAGTGCACAGTCTAGTGTGATGGTCACTGGCAGTGATGAGGGCAGGGGCAGAGCCCCAGAAGGCCAACAAGGAATGGTGCCTTCTTCTCTGGTGGGAGGACGAGATTCAGTCACTTGTCCTTTACTTTGTGGGGGATGTGCTGCATGCCTTGGATCACTGGGTCCCGAAAAGCTAACCTGATGCTGCCAGCCTCGAAACATTTTGAGAGTTTCCCTCTCATCCTCCGGATAGGAGGGTGTCCTCTAGAGAAGTGATCCCCAGGGACCACTGGCACCAGGGACCGGTTTCATGGAGGACAACTTTTCCATGGACTGGGGCGGGTGGTTGGGGGGGGATATTTTGGGATGAAACTGTTCCACCTCAGATCATCAGGCATTAGATTCTCATAAGAGGCAGGCAACCTAGATCCCGAGCATGTGCAGTTCACAGGAGGGTTTGTGCTTCTGTGAGGCTCTAATGCTGCTGATCTTGTAGGAGACAGATCTCAGGTGGTCATGCTTGCTCACCTCCTACTATGCAGCCTGGTTCCTAACAGGCCACAGACTGGTGCCATTCCCTGGCCCAGGGGTTGGGGACCCCTTCTCTAGAGCACTTTTGTCGTACCAGAGGCTCCGATGTGCTGGACACTCTTTGTTTTATTCATCAGGTCTTCCTGTCGTGACGCCGTCCATGTGGTGGGCACTGTAAGCTCCTGCGGTGTGTGGCATCCTCCATTTGTTGGGTGCTGCTGCTGGAGGGCTTCCCGTCGCCTGTGCCTGGATGTTATCCTGGATGAGGGCAAGTCCCAGAAGGAACCCAGATGTGGGCTGTTAGCAGCCGACACTGCCAGCAGCTGGGATGACAGTTGTCTTGATTTTAAAGGGGAAGTTGGGATATGGAGGGTATGCAACCCAGCAGCCACTGTACACATGTGAAGTTTGGGTTGCATATTTGACATTTGGGTGGTGCTGTGGTTTGAATGTGTACCCTCTAGAATTCAGGTGTTGAAACTTAATGGCCAATGGGATGTGTTAAGAGGTGGGTCTTTAAGAGGCCACGAGGCAATGAGGGCTGCCCCTCTTGTGAGTGAGACTGAGGCCCTTATGAGAGAGCTTTGTTCGGCATTCATCCCTCACCTGCCTTTCCACCTTCTGCCATATGGGTACACAGCGTTCCTCCCCCGGAGGATGAAGCGTTCAGGGCACCATCTTGGGAGCAGAGACCGGGCCCTCTCCAGACAATGAACCTGCTAGTGCCTTGATCTTGGACTTCCAGCCTCTTTCTGCTCTTTATGAATTATCCAGTTGGTGACATTTTGTGACAGTCGCACAGAGTCCGATGGGTGGACTTAATCTGTGGATTTGAGACTTAATCTTGTTTGACAGCTGGTCAAGCGAGCCCTGTGGAGTAAGTCTGTAAGAAAGACGAGGCATGGAAATGGCAATGCACATGTCGTTTGTGCAAAGACAGCATCTAGGCCATGGGACTGGGACTCAGAGACCACCCAGTGGGCAAGTGCAGCTAGGAACAGGGTCTTGTGTAGCATCCTGGAAGGGGAGGAGGATCCAGTCCCAGAGGCCACAAGGAGCAGCCAAGAGGTGAACTGGGACCCCCAGGGAGCACAGAGCTGGGAACTGAGTGGAGGAAGTTGGCTGTGCGCAGGGGTGCTCGTGCATGGTGAGTGCTCCCAGAAGGCCAAGGGAGGTGACAGCATTGGCTTTGCATTTGCCAATTAGGGTTGGGGTGGGGTCATTTGCTGACACGTGTTTCCCCCACCCCCATGACCCATGATGTCCTCCCGAATTGGAAGAAATGAAGGCCTGGCCCTCTGGTCTGTTTTGACCTTGACTGTTTTGGGGGCTCCAGGAGGTAGCCTAGCTTCTGCTGCAGACAGGTGGGTGGAAGACAGGGAGGGAGATTCTCTCCATGCCTGGAGGGTTTCCTCACAGCCTGTGTGGTAGGGAGCGAGGCAGCCATGCTTCTGAGACCTGTCAGCTGGTCTCCTGCCACCCACCCTCCTGCCCTCCTGGGCCAGCTCCTACTGTAGCCTCACCCCTACCCACAACACCCAGGATAGAATGGCTTCCTCAGGACCTCTGGGAGGTCACAGGCACCAAACCCCAGGCCAGCTAATGACCAATCCTGGGTGGGGCTGAGACCTTCCACCACGGAGCCTCACCTTCCTGATGAGCGTGAGCAAGGCGTGTCCAATCGCTGGTGCCATGTCTTCAGGTGCATTAGTCAGGGATCTCCAGAGAAAGAGAACCAGAAGATTTTTTTGCAGGTGCACACATGCACACACTTGCACACACACACATATGGAGAGAGAGAAAGGGAGAGATGTATTATGGGATGTGTTCCCACAATCATGGAGTCCAAGAAGTCCCATCAGCTGCTGCCTGCAGCTAGAAACCCAGGACTGCCAGTGGTGCAGCTCAGTCCACATCTGAAGGCCTGAGAGCCAGGAGTGCTGCTGTCCAAGGGTAGGAGAAGACAGGTGTCCCAGCTCAAACGGGAGGCAGGTTTACCCTTCTCTGCCTTTTTGTTCTATCTGGGCCCTCAACGGATGGTTGCTGCCCACCTATGCTGGGGAGGGCAGGTCTTCTTTACTCTGTCCACCAATCCAAATGCTAACCTCTCCCAGAAACACCTCACAGACACACCCAGAAATAAGATGTTCCGAGCTATCTGGGCGTCCCTTAGCCCAGTCAAGTTGACACAGAATTAGCTGTGGCATTAGAGTACCCATCATCCTGTCGGTCACAAGATATTGGGACATAAGAAATAACTCCTCCCTTCCTCTATTATTCTGAAGACCTAAGAGTTTTCAGCAGCAGAGTGGAAGGTTCGAACTGCCTGACTCAAGATTATTTTACTCTGGGAAAAAGAGGGTCTTCCTTATGACATTCTGTTGGGTGGTCTGGAATGTATTCTCTGGTCCCAAGGGATCACCAAATTATAAAAGTATGGTTGCACGCAAGCAGTTGGCTGGTCCTTTACAGTCTATGAGGTGCTTCTGCATATAGCACCTGGCGCATTCTTGCAGATAATCCACTGTGTACTCTTTCCCTTTTTTTTTTTTTTTTTGCTCTGTTTCTTTTTCTGCCCCACACCTGCGACACTGAGGTTTGAAAGGGCATCCTCCTCTTTCCCAGGAGCCCTCACAGTTTTCCGACCTGGTGTCCTCTATCTGTGCCGACCAACTGTTTTCCATTCAACACTTTGAAATTAAAATGAGTTTGTAGGGTTGTTTAAGCCATAGATGCATCAAGTGTAAGCCGTGTTTACATGGTAACTGGTGACCACTTAATTACATAGTAATTACAGCATAGCGGCAGGAGATCACACAGTAAGTGCTGTGTCATTAGCCCTGATTACTCCTGTCTTCCTGAGCGCAGGGAGGCTGCAGGGTAATTGCTTTTGGATCTTCCAAATGCGGGTGAGACAAATCCACAGCAGCCTGTAATTATCAAGCATGTATGTGGTGTGTATCGAGTAAGCAAATGTGGGTGTTGCCATGCAGAGTGAGCAAGATCAGAGTCCCGCTGGGGAGGCTCGGCCCCCTCAGCTCACAGCCCCGAGGGCAGCTGTCTCCACCATCCCCAAATTCATATGGCTCCTTTGCATCTTCAGGTCCAAAGAAGAGTTAAAGAACACAGTACCAGGATTGAGAAGCCCACATCTGATGTAGTCGTGTTTGTTGACGCCTACTGTGCGTGTGAATAGGCTGTATCCAGCAGGGAAAGAGGGAGAGAGAGAGAGAGGAGAAAGCATAGTCTATGTCCTTGAGGAGGCCCTGGGTTCCTGGAGGAGGTTGGTGTGTGAAAAAAACGCTTACAACGCAATGTGAAAAGTACAATAAAAGAGGCACAAACGTAAATCTCTGAGATCCCAGAGGATGAAGAGGGACCCTGCTTAGGGGAGTCACTTAGAACTTTCTGGAGGTAGCAATTGCACAGCGTCTTGAAGGATGAATAGGAGTTCGGTAAGAGGAAGAAGGGGTGAGAAGGACATGCTGGGTGGAGTTTCAGCTTCTTTTTCTGGAACCCTGAGTCCTGCAGCTCTCTCTTCGGTTCTGTGAGATCTTGAATGTGGTTTTCAGTGGTTGAAGGCAAAGAATTTCCTCTTGGGTCGAAGATGCTCTGAGTGTGGATTCTGTCAATCACCTGCAACTGAAATAGTCCCCATGAACATGCTGAGTTCAGGGCACTGTGAGAGGCGCACAGCAACTGGAGCCTGGGCACGGAGGGGACATGTTGTGCCTGGGTATTGAGGGAGAAAGTGAGGGTATCCAGACTACAGGATGACAAGGACAACTTAAAGTGGGGGTTACAGGACTGCTCAGTGCTAAAGACATTCTGAGACAGGCCAAGACATTCCCAACGTGCTGTGGGGTGAGCCCCTCACACCATTGGGCATTGTGCGCTTGGGTTCTCTTGCCTGTGCTTGGGAGCTCCAGGATACCCCCTTGATCATTATTAGAAGGACAAACCACACTGGGGACCAGGAGGTGCCCGATCTACACCCCAACTTCACCCCGGGGAGGGGCAGAAGGGCAGGCTCGGCGTCTCCTGGAACTGAACCTGGAGCATGGACTGCACAGCACACAGCCATGGACACTGGAAAGGGAGATCACATAGGACTTGGGGGTCTTGGGAAAAATGGGAAAGTACCCTAATGGCAATGGGAACACTTAAAAGGATTTGAAGCAGGGGAAGGGCATATCTTTTCAGAGCTGTCTCTGGCTGGTATGTAGGTTCCAAGGAGAGGACATTGGAGTGAAAGATCAGCTAGTAGGTCCCTGCAGGGTGGCGGGATGTAGGGCAGGCAGTGGCTGTCCTGTGGTGGCAGTGAGAAGGAGAGGTGTAGGCTCTTCTTTCGTGCTTTTCTTCCTCCCTCCTTTCTGTCTCTGTGGTCACTCCTCTGTCTCCCTTGTGAGCTCATCTTCTTCTGGCCTGCTACCGGATGCTAGGGTTCAGCCAGGCACAGCCCTGGGTCTCTTCCTTTCTCTCTCTATTGGCTCGCTCTGGGTAAGTGTATCTACACCCCCTGCCTCCAGTGCCACCTGCATGCTTATGGCTCCACATTTATTCTTCTGCCCAGATTCTTCTCTGAGCTTCCACTCTCTTGCCCACCTGCCCACTCAACGTCTCTTTGTGAATTTTTTAAAGGCACTTCAAGTCCTCTTCAAAGATTTCCTCCTTTAAATCATTGAAATGTTACTTGATGTCACCTCTAAAAGGCCATGAACAGTTTGGCCCTTGCCTGACTTTCTGACTTTCCAACAAAATTTCTTACCCTAGTCCCTCCTTTTCTGGGCACAGCAGCCACTTTTGTCTTCTTTCATCTCCTGGAATATGTTCATTCTCCTCATGACCACAGGGTATTTGCATATGCTGCTCTGTCTAGAAAGCTCTTTCCTCCTCTCTTAATTTCTTCTGTTTAGCTCTTCTTCCTCGTTCAGATCTTGGCCCAGGCACCGTTTCTTAGAGGACACTCATATGACTCCCCGGTCCAGGTCAGATTCCTTTGTTAGGTGCCTCTTATCACTGGGTTCCTTTTCTAGTTTGTAATTATACACCAGTCTGTGTGATCATTTGGTTACTATTTATCATGTTGTCTGGATCATATGCTTCAGGGGCCATATTTGTTTTTGCTAATCATGGAATCTTCATGGTTTCCCTGGTGTCTGGCACATAGTAGTCACTCAATAAATATTTGCCAGGTGAATTTGATAGGACTTGTGATGAATTGAGGGAGGAGAGATGGAGAACTGCTCATCTTCCATTCATTCATTAGCAAATATTCATGGAGTGCCTGCTCCGTCCCAAGCCTGTTGGAACAATCCTACCCACTTGGGGCTTACCTTGCAGAAGGGGATCCTTGGCTTCTGGCTGGAGCAGTCAACCTACCTGATGTGGCCTCTGACCCTTAGTCTAACTGCGATGGTCAATGCTGATTACCACTCAAGGAGGGTTAAAGTAATGTTAATGTTCTGACTGGCCAAGAAGTGGTCCAGAAACCCAGCTTTCGGAACTTTGAAGATACATTTCTTGGGGCCACTCAAATGTGACACTGTGCAGCCCCTTCTGGACCAGAACTTAGCCCTGCTAGTTCTGGGGAGAACACTCAGAAGGGTCAGAAGAGCGTGTGGGTTCTGGGTTCTGGGCAGAGGCCTCCAGAGTATGGCAGGCTCTGCATGGAACAGGCACCTCGCCTGGGAGTCACTGTGGGCCAGGCCAGCAGAGCTGATGGGCCTTTCTGTGTCTGGGTGGGATTTCAGGGAGCAGCCTTGGGCCACGCAGGCTTCCATGGGGACATCTGCCAAGGGGACAGAGGTTGAGGTCCTCTGTTGGCATACCCAGAGCTTGCCCACTCCCCTGGGCTTCCCTTGGTAGAGGACTGGCAGGGAGGCAGCAGGTGGAGGGCTGCCTGGTTACCACTTCCCAGTTCTCACCCATGTTCTCCTTGTGAGTGACTGTTCTGGGGTGCACACACCTGTGTGAGGGCCCAGGGCGGCGTCTCCATCCTGGCCTGGAAAGCCCTCTGGGGTGTGTGTTGGCAGTCAAGGCTGTTGGTAGCAAGGTCTGGGCCCCAGGGCTGTGGAGAGGCAGGCTGCAGCTTCTCACTTGGGGATGGCCTGGGGAGGCAGTGGCAGCCGTTTCAGTTTGGAGGATGTCCCAAGGGTGGGGGGCTTCTCTGTCCTCCCCTCATGCACCAGTAAATGCGACAAAATCCCTCCGGGGCATCTGCCTTCCTGGAGCGAAGTGGGCTTCTGCTCTGTGGCAGCAAGGGCCTCCCTCACTGAGCACCAGGTCGGTTCCAGCAGGGCTTTGGCCCCAGGAATCCTTCCACGGAGGACCTGAAGGCAGCCCGGTATGGCCCCCTCCCTGGCAGCCAGAGAGTGGAGTGCGTGGCTCACTGGGCTCTGGATTTATGTAACTTGGAGCTGAGCCTCATGGGTCCTCCTTCCTGGTATATGTGGGAAATGGCTCTGGATTTTTCTGGTGATGGCCAAGAGAGAGAGCTTGAGACAGGCAGGGGCAGGTGTGCTGAGGGATGCTGCAGGCCAAGAGCCTCGCCTGGCCTTCGAACCACATCAGAGTGTAGACCTCCCTGGACATGGCACGGAGACTCGAGGGCGCCGTCCATGTGTCTGTGTGGCCCTAGCAATGGACTTGGCGGGGGGAAGCAATTCACACAAAACACCATGCGCCCCTCTCACTGGGCTGGAGTAGGGTAAACTGCAGTGCTCCCCACACAGACTGTTCCCACTGAGATTCCCAGCATCAGAGGAGCTGGAAGGAGGGATCCAGCTGCGGGCTTCAAGGACCCTGGAGGGCTGAGGTGAAGAGGACAAGGTTGACAGCCCAACGTTAGCAGGGACATGGCCCAAGGTCAGCAGGGAGACAGCCCTGGGTCAGCTGGGGGATAGCCCAAGGTCAGCAGGGAGATGGTCCAAGGTCAGCAGGGAGACGGCCCAAGGTCAGCTGGCGGACAGCCCAAGGTCAGCAGGGAGATGGTCCAAGGTCAGCTGGGGAACAGCCCAAGGTCAGCAGGGAGACGGCCCAAGGTCAGCTGGCGGACAGCCCAAGGTCAGCAGGGAGATGGTCCAAGGTCAGCTGGGGAACAGCCCAAGGTCAGCAGGGAGATGGTCCATGGTCAGCTGGGGGACAGCCCAAGGTCAGCAGGGAGATGGTCCAAGGTCAGCTGGCGGACAGCCCAAGGTCAGCAGGGAGATGGTCCAAGGTCAGCTGGGGGACAGCCCAAGGTCAGCAGGGAGATGGTCCAAGGTCAGCTGGCGGACAGCCCAAGGTCAGCAGGGAGATGGTCCAGGGTCAGCTGGGGGACAGCGCGAGGTCAGCTGGGACACAGCCGGTGGTCAGCAAGGAGCAACAGTGATGTGGGAGAGGTCCAGGAGCAGAGAGTGAGGGGCCTGTGCCTTTAGCCAGTACAGCAGGAATCCGTGGTGGGTCCTGGTGGTTGTTGGGGGGACTCCGTGAGGGAGGCGGTGTTGGAGATGGACTGAAGTGAGGCGGGGCATGGCCCATGGAGGGATAAGGGAGGCAGAAGGGGCCGTGTAGGGAGCACCTAGGCTGTGGGGTATGCAGAAGGGGCGCTTGGTGAAAAGGCTGCTGGGAGGGTTGGCAGCTGTTGGGGGAGGTTCTTGCTGCAGAGCTGGGGTTTGGTTTGGAAGGCAACAGGGAGCCACTGAGGGCTCTAGAGCTGCAGCGGCGTGACTGCACTGTGCATTAGGAAAGTCAGTCTGGAACCTGAGGACTGCACACACAGCTCTTCTCTCTCAGCACTGCACGCCGTGCACGAGCCGGGCGGTGTCCCCGTGTGCACAGGCCCGCTTCTCGGGGCTGCTGCTGATCCAGTTTAAACAGGTCTACTGAAATAGGTCACTCTCGAAAGCAAGCGGACTTAATTGTTACAAGGCAAAAATGGAAACGAGGTGAATCTCTGAAGAATCAATCATTTATTAATAATTCCTCCGTTTTCAGATTGAAAAATACTTAGATTACCTTTTGCCTCAGTTTAGGAAGGGGAACGTTGCATTTCCGGCACAGGGTGGCGAGAGGCTGACGGTCCACACGGGAAGTCTGTGCCCACCCCCACCCCACCCCTACCGCACCTCCGTGATCTTGCTTGTGACCCGTCCCCTTCCCAAGGTCAGGACGGAGGTGGGGCTGGGCTCCAGCCTGCATGGGGGCCTGGAGGGCCGGGCCGTGCGTTGTCTTGTGGAAGCAGCTGTGCGGCGCTGTGGAAAACGTGACAGTTTCTCCAAGAGTTTCACATGCAATCACCATGAGGCCCAGCAAGCCCACGCCTAGGCAGACACCAAGGAAGCGAAAACAGACTCTGCTCATGACTGTTCGTAACAGCACTGAGCGCAACAGCCAGAATTCAGGAACAACCCAAATATCCATCGACAGAAATGAGTAAACACATTGTGGCTCAGCCACGCGATGGGACGTGATTCCGCCACGGAAAGAATGCAGTGCTCAGTGAAGCCCCGTCTCCACTAAAAATACAAAAAATTAGCCGGGCGTGGTGGCGGGCGCCTGTAATCCCAGCACTTTGGGAGGCTGAGGCAGGTGGATCACGAGGTCAGCAGATGGAGACCATCCTGGCCAACACGGTGAAAACCTGTCTCTACTAAAAATACAAAAATATAGCCAGGCGTGGTGGCGGGTGCCTGTAGTCCCAGCTACTTGGGAGGCTGAGGCAGGAGAATGGCGTGAACCCAGGAGGTGGAGCTTGCAGTGAGCGGAGATTGCACCACTGCACTCCAGCCTGGGTGACAGAGCGAGACTCCGTACCCCCTCACCAAAAAAAAAAAAAAAAAAAGAATGCAGTGCTGATTCCTCCTGCAACGTGGATGAACCCTGAAGATGCTCTGGCGAGTGATGAAGCCAGTCCCCAAAGGCCACATACTGTAGGATTCCATTTATATGAAATTTCCAGGACAGGCAAACCCACAGAGGCAGGAAGTGGATCAGAGGCTGCCTCAGGCTGAGTGGAAGGGAAAATGGGGTGTAGAACTTAACAACTTTCCTTTTGGGGTGGTAAAAGTGTTTTGGGCTGGGTGTGGTGGCTCACCCCTGTAATCTCAGTACTTCAAGAGGCTGAGGCAGGAGGGATGCTTGAGCCTAGGAGTTTGAGACCAGCCTGGGCAGCACAGCCAGACCCTGTCTCTACAAAAAATAAAAAATAAAAAATTAGCCAGGCGTGATGGCACACACCTGTGGTCCCAGCTACTCTGGAGGCTAAGGTGGGAGGATTGCTTGAACCCGGGAGGTCGAAGCTGAAGTGAACTATGATTGCACCACTGCACTCCAGCCCTGGTGACAGAGTGAGACCCTGTCTCAAATAAATGTTTTGGAATAGAGAGAGGTGGTGGTTACAAAGCATTGTGACTCTCCTAAATGTCACTGAATTGTATATTTAAAATGGTCATTTTTCTGTTGTATGAGTTTTACCTCAATCAAAAAAACCAGAGCCTGGCTGGGCGCGGTGGCTCACGCCTGTAATCCCAGCATTTTGGGAGGCCAAGGCGTGCAGATCATGAGGTCAGGAGATTGAGACCATCCTGGCTAACACGGTGAAACCCCATCTCTACTAAAAATACAGAAAATTAGCCGGGCATGGTGGCAGGCACCTGTAGTCCCAGCTACTCGGGAGGCTGAGGTAGGAGAATGGCTTGAATCCGGGAGGCGGAGCTTGCAGTGAGCGGAGATGGCACCACTGTACTCCAGCCTGGGTGACAGAGCGAGACTCCATCTCAAACAAACAAACAAACAAACAACAAAACAGAGCCTGTAACCGTGGCACCTTGCAGAGGTTTTGGAGCCTGCACGGGGTGGGGGCACAGGCAGGTCCACGCCCAGGCATGGTGCCCACCTGGGACAGGCTTGGGGGCTAGCTGGGGGAGAGAGCCCCCGTGGCAGGGCTGTAGGAACACTGAGTAGGGGTCCACACTGGGAGGCTGTGCTGGGGTCCCTCTCAGTCACCACAGGGTCCCCCACAGGGCCTGTGTGTCCCTCTCCTGCTCTCTGTCTCCGGATGGGGCCACTCCTGGGAGCTGGGGTTGAATTTCTCCATCTTCAGCATGGGGCCTGACTCAGGGTGCATGAGGAGGTTGGGGATCTTGCAAGGTGGGGAATCTATGTCTTGGAGGTCTCCATATTGCAGGCGCCCTGCTCCCTACACAAGGACAGTGCAGAGCTGTCTAGGGACACAACCGTTGTCCTCTCTGCTAGTGGCCCAGGGTTGCCTCGTGGAGGAAGAAGACCAGGCCCAGAGGGAGCTTCGGAGCTGGGCGCACACCACCCACGTCCCCTGGGGCCCTTGAGGGACTGTGCTCCACACCCCTCTTCTTGAAACTTAAAAATAATTCTGAAGTAGGTATTACATGCCAGGCGATATATTTAACATGTAGGTAATGACACCTAATAGGAGGAAGAAACTCTAGGAGCCTGGAACCAACCTAAGAACTAGCAGGGCATTCTGCAGTCGTTCCAGGCACCGTGGCAACGTGTTAGACACACAGGTTCTTGGCCCTCCAACCCCCAGGCCCGTGAAGCAGAGGCTCTGGGGACACCCGTGACCTCCTGTCCATCCGATGTGCACCCAGGCACCAGGCCCTTTGAGGGAGGGCAGCCCCTCCATCTCCCCCCGGGTCTCGGCATGGGAGCTCCTGTGGGGAGGGCTCCCGGCTCGGCCCCAAGCTCTCCTGTTCAGTGCTACAGGGCTTCCTGAGGGTTGGGGCCATCACCTCCCATGGTGCCCAGGACCATGCTCTCCTTAGACCTGGGTGGTGGAGAAGGGAGCGCCGGCAGCCTCCAGCCTTAGGCAGCCTCCTCTAGTTGCCCCCACATGCCGCATGGTACAAGCACCTCCTAGAAAGGTTTGCAGCCCTGAGCCAGCTACTCCTCACATAGCCACCATCATGGTGGTCAGGAGGAGTGAGACTGAGCCTGGCCCTTGGGCCCCAGCCCCATGCTATGAATCCCCCCATCTCAGAATGGCCCCTCAAACGATGCAGGTGCATGCACGCCAAGCCTCCACTCCCATTCTTCCTGCCTCTAGCCCCCACCTTTGCTCCATCGACCATTTTCAAAAGTGATCCTGCACCTGCCCATTCCTGCCCACTCCACACCCGCCACCTTAGTTACTTCCAGCCCTGGGCCCTCTCCTCCAGAGAACTGGGGGTGCCTCTGGCTTTTCTTCTCTCCGGATCCCACTGTTTGCTTAGTTGCTAGAGTGTTCTTTAAATTTATTTATTTATTTATGAGTCTCGCTCTGTCATCCAGGCTGGAGTGCAGTGGCGTGATCTTGGCTCACTGCAACCTCCGCCTCCCAGGTTCAAGTGATTCTCCTGCCTCAGCCTCCCAAGTAGTTGGGATTACAGGCACATGCCACCATGCCCAACTAATTTTTATATTTTTAGTAGAGACGGGGTTTCACCATGTTGGTCAGGCTGGTCTCGAACTCCTGACCTCAGGTGATAGGCCCACCTGGCGGATGTATGTATACGTGGCTAAATGTATATAGCATAAAGTGTCCCATTTTAACCATTTCTGAGTGTACAGTTCAGTGGCACTAAGCACATTCACTCTGTTGTGAAACCATCACCGCCATCCATCTCCTGAATTGTTCATCTTCCCAAACTGAGACTCTGTCCCAATCAAACATGAATTCTCCATCCCCTGCCCCGGCAGCCCCTCTTCTACTTTCCACCTCGGTGAATCTGACCACTCCAGGGATCTCCTATGCGTGGAATGGCGCAGTGTTTGCATTTTGTGCCTGGCTTATTTCACTTAGCACGATGGCCTCAAGATCCATCCGTGCTGTAGCATGGGTCAGAGTTTCCTCTCGCCTCGAGACTGAGCATGATTCCATCCATGGCTGGGCGGCCTCTGTGGATCCATCCATCTGTCCGTGGATGGGGGCTGCTTCCCGTCTTTGCTTCTTGTGAGCAAAGCTGCTGTGAACATGGGGGAACCCATATCCGCTTGGGTTGCTCTTCTCAGTTCTTTTGAGTAGATATGCAGAAGGGCAATTGCTGGATCAAATGGTAATTCCATGTTTAATTTTTTGAGGAACGTCCCTGCTGTTTTCCATAGATATTTTTTTGTAGATCCCAAATCCAATCACATGACTCCCCAGTTCAAATGCCAAGGCCTCTGGTTGGGTCCCAGCTGGATTTTCACCCTCTCATTCCTGCTCATGCCACTCTGGGCATCTTGTCGCCCTCATTCCTGTCTCAGCCCTGAGGATCCACAGCTGGCTCTGCCTGCAGGGCTCTGAGCTCCTGCTCCTCCTGCTCTGTCCAGAGCCACGCCCCGCTGCTCTTCTCCTTCCCTGCTGCTCCGCGCTCTTCCCTCACAGCACGATGGTTCCCTGGCACCGTGTGTCCACCAGTTCCCATTTCTCTCCTGTCCTAGGGCAGATTTGCCCAGAGGGACATGACCTGTTCATGGTTGCCTTTGCTTTGCAGGCCTGGAAGTGGGCACAGACATTTGTCAAAGAAAAGAAAGAATGGGCAAAGATAGCTGAAGAAATTACGTGCTATGAAGACAAGCGTAATATGAGTAAAATTTCTTTCTAAACAGAGTGGTCATTTTGATCTGTGATTACATTTTTAGAAATTGCTGTTTGAAAGACAGTTCTGTAATTGGAATCGTGACTTAGGGACTCTGAGGACCCCTCAGGAGATCTGTGTTAGACAAACAGGGTTTCTGTGGGCGGGAAGGACGCCCCCCCAATCCTGAGGCTGCAGCTCTTGGAATAGTGACTTAGAGACTCTGAGGGCCCCTCAGGAGATCTGTGTTAGACAACCAGGGTTCCCATGGGTGGGAAGAATTTCACCGGGAATCCCGATGCTGCAGGTCTGTCGAGGCCGGAGCCTGGGTGTGCTCAGGATGGGGCCCTCCTGCAGGGAACCATCTTCAGCACCATCCTGGGGGATGTCGTGATGTTTTGCATATCGATTTTTGGTAAGAATTTTTTCTGTGACTTCTCAATTTAGGGGAATCTCTTCTGAACATGAAGTTGAGGCTGGTGGGTGGTGAACTGCTTCCAATCAATTATAAATCTATTTTGAATCCATCAGATCACTACACTCCTGGGAACATGCCTTCTCCTGACCTGCCTGATTAATCTTGTGTTTTCAACGGATTTGTCTCAGTAAAATGCACATTACAGTGATTATCTGAACTTTGTCCTATTGATATAAATACTTAGTGTTTGTGCCAAGTCGTAACCATGGTGAGTATATGCAACATTAAGTAAACTTGTTTCCCTGACAATCTCTGTGTCAGTAGGCATATTGTTCATAGTGCATTAAAAAATAGCGTATGGATACTACTCAGACCCCACCACTCACGGTATGAGTCATTTTCTTAGCAACCGGAATGCAGCTGTGCCTTGCCTTCAGGTACACCGTGGAAGGAGGAAGGGAAGGAGCGCTGGCCAGGCAGATGGAGAGACGCACAGTTACCACCTCCGCCCAGGCTACTTCCGGGCGTGCCACAGGGGCCCGGCCCTGCCTTCAGCATCTCCAGAGGTGGAGCTGACGGTGGGGTCCTCGTTGGACATCAGATTCCACACTGAGATGAGCCTGGGAAGCAGCCAGGGCCAGAGAAGACAGCACGAAGCACGCAGGCGTCAAGGCGACCTCCGGCATTCCCTGGGACCTATCGTGCGTCCGCCCGCAGACATTCCTCAACAGAGATCTGTGATTTAAAACACTACCTCGGTGGTTCGTGAGTGTCAGGATTCATGCTAAGCAGGCGCCCTCCTCGGGACACATGGATGGTGCGTTCTCTTGTACAGTAGGAGAGGCCCCTGGGCTCTGATCAATGTCAGAGGCGGGGTCTCCCCGTGGGGCTGTGGGGGCGGCCAAAGGCCAAGGCCCACTTCAGGTCCCTCCTCTCAGCAGCAGCCACTGTGTCCAGAGAAACTCACAGCTCGGGACTGAGCCTCGGGATGGTGGCCTGTGCTTGAGAGCCCCCTCCGGGTAGAGTCGTGGCTGCTCCATCCGAGGACCTCTGCGGTGGTGGGATGGACAAAAATGCCGGGAATTTAACCTGCAGTTCTGCTAGAAGATTTGATAGATGGGCTGCGGCCCCTTTAGCAGGCGTGGCAGCACTAGCATTTCCTGCCCATTCAATGAATAGTCCCCGTGCTGAGCATTTTACTTGTAAATAACCAAAGAATCACAAGAAGCATCAAGAAGGACAGCCCATAGAAGTATTAACCAGCAAGAAAAAGTTTTGGATCAAAAAAAGTTTTTTCTAAAATGGGGGAAAAAAAGCAATAAATTGGAACCCGCCACCCGCAACCCTCATCTCAAATGCTTCTCCAACAAGAATGGGTACTAGGCTTAATACCTTCGTGACAAAGTAATCTTTACAACAAACCCCTGCGACTCGAGTTTACCCCATAACAAACCTGCACGTGTGCCCCTGAACTTAAATAAAGGGCGCCTCCGGGGGTCATCTCCGTCATCATTAGACGGCACACCTGCCGGAATCGACCGTGCCCAAATCCCAGTGAATGAAACACATGATAAACTCAGACAATGAATACAGAACAAAAGGAGGAAAAATAAATGTAAATGGAGGAGCGAGATTCAGAAGCGGAACGGAGCCTGGAGAGTAAGAGAGCTAAGCTGCAAGCCACCGCAGCTCCTGCAGAAGAAGCGAGGCAGACGGCCCGGAAACCACGGTGCTGTCGTCGAGGGCGATTCTGGAACTGGAAAAATAACTAAGATTGGAAAAGGAGGGCTTGTGGAATCCTGAGTCAGCAGCAACTGAGGTGACAGGAGGCGTCCTTGGAAGGTGTTTCGCCACAGGGAGGATCTGTAGGAGCTGAGGGCAATGCACTGGTCCCTGAGCAGTCCCCAGCCAGCCACCAACCAACCCATGGTGCTTCCTAGACATTCCTGGAATGAAAGACCAAACACATCAGAAAGGTCTGGGGCTATCTGGTGAGACAAATAAAAGGAGAAGGTGGCAGAATGACATCTATGGGGAAAGTGGCTCCATGTCCACTGATGATGCCATCTAGACGCAGAGGCCATGGGAAGCGTTTCTCGCATGAATGCCCACCAGATACCCACATTCCTGAGCCGGGCACCACTGCCGATGAGGTAATGGGCACTGGCAAGCAAATCAACCCCCAAACTTAACCGAGCAGAGGCTGGTGAGGAGAGACAGCTTGGAGAGCCGCTGGTGTCGCGAAGGTCAGGTCACGCACGCTGGGGTGGTGAGGACAGCTTCGAAGCTTTAGACTTGCTTTTCACAAAAGGCTGGAGGAAAGACTTTTTTAAATGAGAAAGATACACGTATAAAGAGAATTAAGAAATTTTGCAGAATCCTTTGGTGTTTCCATCAGTGGAGTTACAAGCAGGATTTACTTTGTAGATTTGTGCAACAGTTACAAGGGCACGGGGACACTGGGGGAATGACTGAGAAGGCAGGACAGGACCAGGCCTAGCCATCGGTGAACAAGGCGACGCTGAGCCCTGCGTTAGGGGGAGGCAGCCCCAGAAAGGAGACATGGCGAGGAGGGGAGGGAGGGCTTGGTGGCCGAGGCTGCAGCTTGCTGACTGGCCCTGGCGCCTGGCCTGGCCCGAAGGCCCCATCTTCTCAGCCTTCTCAGCCACTGCTGGGAAAGGGCAGGGCAGGATGGGCCTGAGTAGGTGGAGGATGGAGCTGGGACAGGGCCTTATGGGATTCATCATGCTCTGTCTGTCACTACCTGAAATTCTCCATTGTATTAACCTGTTCTCATGCTGCTGATAAAGACATATCCAAGACTGGGTAATTTATAAAGAAAAATAGGTTTAATGGACTCACAGTTCCATGTGGCTGGGGAGACCTCACAATCATGGCGGAAGGGAAAGGCATGTCTTCCATGATGGCAGACACGAGAGAATGAGAACCAAGGGAAAGGGTAAACCCCACATAAAACCTTCAGATCTCATGAGACTTATTCACTACCATGAGAATGATATGGGGGAAACTGTCCCCATGATTCATTTATCTTCCACTGGGTCCCTCCCACAACATGTGGGAATTATGGGAGCTACTATTCAAGATGAGATTTGGTTGGGGACACAGCCAAACCATATCATCTGTCATATGAAGCAAGCTCTGTGCACAAAGCAGCCAGAAGGGTCCTGGAAGACACCAGAGAGAAGCTGGCTGAAGAGGATCCAGCTGGGCTGTGGTGTCAGCCAGGGACATGGGATCCTGGCAGGGGTGGTCCCTGTGGCTGGCTCCAGGACGGCATCAGGACCAGCACCACTGGGGCGAGGATTTGAGCAGCCTGTGGCATGGTCCCTGGGACTAGGCCCTGAAGACCAAGCCAAGGAGTGCCTCCTCCACATCTGTTTTATTCCTTTAATAAAGGGAAAGTCGCTGCTTGCCTGTTTCCAAATGAGAGAATGCTGGAGATTTATTTTCTACAGAAAGGTGTAAAGTGAATAGGAAGTATTATTTCAGAGAACTCGTACAAGGTAATTATTTATGAATGTATTACCCACCATCTGGTTTACCACGCTGGTTCATGGGGTAATGATTTTTATAATTACCTGTGTTTAGAAATACCTTCACGCAAAGAAGTAAACATGCCTCCTACTGAGAATAGCAACAGTCTTGCCTCTTCCATAATCAGTGAGCTTTTCTTCGGCCAGAGCCTAAGATTATTTTTGTTTTCTCAGGAGCAATGTGGGACAGAGAAGGCTCAGGGCTGGGGTTCAGCAGCCAGGGGGATTCAAGGCCAGTTTCTACGCTGGGCTCCTGAAGTGTCCTCAGCACCATACTTTCCGGGTACTGACCAGGGCCACCATGGGGGAGATCAGAGCAGACCCCACCAGCGTGCACAGAATTCCCTCCACTCTGCACCTGTGGGTCCAGTGGCCCCATGGCCCCTTGAGCCGGTTCTCGCCATGGCTGCCAGGGAGCTCCAGGCTCGAAGGCAGGCTGCCTGGTCCCCCACCACCCTCTCCCTACCTGCTCGGACCTCCTCCTGGTGTCTAGGGTGGTCTGGTCTGGAACCTTAGTTGACTGTCATCTATAGTGAAAGTCCCTAAGTGAGTGGGACTGAAATGTAGGCAGGAAAGGATGCAGATATGAGAGAAATGAAGCAAAAGCAGGTTGAGTTTGAAGATCTGTTCTTTATTCTGGAATGTTGTCTTTCTTACTTCTGCTGTTAAAGTGTTCTTTATAAATTGATGGGGGACTTCTGATTTAAAAATGGTCATTTCCTGCCCTCCCTCAAAAACCTGTGTTGGTTTTCCAAATTAGCCCTGTGTGTGCGTGGGGTGTGGGAGGAAGCCCTGGGCCCATGACGGGGCCAGGCCTGGGCCCACAGGCCCACCATGAAACCCTCAACTTCACAGCCACAGCAAGCCATACACCCAGGGCCGTGAACAGACATGGGGGTGAGGTGGGACCCCGGAGCCAATTCTAATCTTGGAGGGCGGTCCATGGTGGGTTTCATTTGAGATGCTGATGGCAACATCCAAGACAGGCCAGGACTGAGGACTTCACAGGGAACCAGAGGGCTCGGTGACTTTGAAGTCGAGCTGACCCCTAGGGCGGGAGCCAGCGAAGGGCTGAAAGGAGGGACACGGGACAGTAGAGGAGGGACAGGAGAGAAGAGCTGGGCGTGTTTACAGCCATGGCACTGGTGCCACAGCATGACACTTGTTTGGTAAAAACTGAGTGAGGCCAGGGCGGCAGGTTCCTGCAGGTGGCCACCCTGGAGGCGCTGCCAGGACATGGGCAGGCCCTGTGGCCCAGCCGTGGGGAGCCCGTGTGGCTGGGCGGGTCCCTTGGCTTCCCTGTGTCTCCATACCTTCGTCCCATTCTTTCCTCCCTGAAGTGGGGTTCGTGGCAGGGTCAGCCTCCTCGGGGAGCCCCCTGCTCATGTCTGAGTGCCTGGCTCAGGCACACACATGCATATACACACATGTGTGCGTGCCCACCCATGGGAGCAGGAGTGCACGTGTGCAAAGGGACCGCCACTTTGTCTGGAGATAATTTGCTTGACTCTAAAGAAAGATCAGGATCTTCAAAGCCGAGGCGTCAGGAGCAGGGCGAGCCTCAGGCCGTCGTGCCACTGGGCCAGGGGCCCACCCCTCTCCTCTTTCTCTTCCTGTCCCCCTCCCATGCATATTTAGCTGCTGCAAATAAATATTATAATATATGCTACAGATGCATCGTATAAATAATATAAACACATATTTCAGGGTTAAGCCTCTGACCCTGTTTGGTATTCTGTGTCTCCTACAACAGGGGAAGTCGTCTCCCCAGAATTTCAGGAAACGCCTTCTTGTTCTTAGTTGAAATCTGTATTTTCTAAGAGCAGTTTGTGCATGACCCAGCCGTGAATATGTGCCTTTAGTGCAAGTTTCTCAGCTTGTCCTTTGGCCACGATGCCCAGCTTTGTGCTGATAAACACGCGTTTTCTCCTGACCTGGGCTCACGCTTATGACCTGGCCTTTCTGACTGGCCGGCTCCTTCAGGACTCCACGGTGAAATCAGCACAAGTCAGCTCCAGGGCACCCACTGGGCTGGACACAGCAGCATTAGGGCTGTAGGCAGGTAATGCCCAGTACAGGGCGAATGCAGGGATATGGCACCTGCCTCTGTCTTGCAGCCCTGGATGGGAAATGCCAGGGCTTAGCAAGACCAGCTGAGGCAGAGAAGCGGCTGGCTGGGATTCAAGGCTGCCTTCCTTTGTCGAGTGAGTCTGCATTGCAGGATTACACGGAGTCAAACTCACAATGGGAGCACTTATGGAGCACTTGCTGTGTGCCAAGCAGTTTGTAAAGCGTGTTAAGCACTTCTACACCGGTGCACCTCAGGGCAGTCATGTGGAGCAGAGGCTGTTTTTACCCAGCTTTAGAGAAGAGCCGGGTTGAGTGGCCTGCACACCATCACGGGGTGGGGACTGCTTCATTTCACTGCAGACTTCTCTGCCCCAAGAGCCTGGGCTCTGGCAGCGTCAGTGCGTGTGGGTACCATATTTATAAATATATAAGCACTTCTCAGCTCAATCCATGCCGTAGCTTCTCAACCACAGCATGCTGAGCGAGTTTGCAGCCCCGCTCACTCTCTGGGGTCACAGAGGAGAGGCTTCGACTCTCAGCCCAGGGTTTCATGGCTGCTGATTCTGATGAAAGCCCAGTGAACAGAGAGCAAATCCCGTGGCTCATGAAAAAAAAAGCCAGTGGTTAAGTCAATGTACACCAAATCCACAAATCTGTGTGTGTGTAAGAGGAGGCACTTGCCTTCCGGTGCTCTTTCCCCGTTCGACTTCACTTTGAAAGTCACGGCAAAATCATGGTGACCTCAGGGTTGGCTTGACCAGGGAGCTCGGGCCAGGAGGAGCCACCCACTCTCCCATTCATCTGCTTGTCCTCCCAATCCATTCACACCTCTGTCCACACATCCAATCACCCACTGATAAAGGATTGGTCCGAAAAACCCTCTCTGAGACCTTATTGTGCGACAGGCATTGTCTGGATCTGAAGATCCGGAATGCCCCAGCCTCAGCCCCTCCCCATGAGGGACTCACTGTTTCCTGCAGAAATTGGACAAACACACAAATAACCCCAATATAATGAGATAAGAACACAGATGGCTTAGAGTTAGGTTTAGGGTTAGGCATAATTAAGGAAGCAGATGGGGAAATTCAAGTTAAAATTCAGTAAAATTTTAATTAAAAGATTATGTATTTTTACCCTAAGATCTTTTAAAGATGAGCTCAAATTTCAGGTCCCTGCCTCCCCCTCCTTGTCCCCAGCAAGCACACAGCTCTGAATTCAATCTGCTCTGAGCTGTGTGCACGTCCTCCATGCTGGGATCTGTGGTCTGGCTGCCCACACCCCACTCACACCCTGGAGAGTTTGACTCTATCACTCTGTCCCTTGTCATTGGCCCCAGCTGGACAGATACCCACACACAATTTGCCCTAAGAGGATGAGAAAACCAAAGGCAGGATGTGGAGGAGAAAGGAGAGCAGCTGGAGAGACAAGCGTGACTTGGACTTGCCCTGGTGCAGCAGAAGGGAGACGTGGCCTCTGGCTCCTGGCTGGTCCATGCCTGTCTCTAGGTGCTGGGCTGCACCCCTCCCGAATGTGCTGGGGTGTCTCTCTCTGCCATTGTTTCTGGTGATCTGCCCCAGGCCACAGCCTGGAGCTCTCTTTGCCTGGAGGGGGCTGAGCAGGGGGCTGTATACCAAGGTCCCTGAAATCCTTGGCCTTGGGGTTGTTTCTGATGCTCTGAGATACACCAAACTGATGAGAGCAGAAGATGGGAGCAGGGAGAGGCCCTGTGCTGCCCTGCCTGGGGCAGTGCTTCTCAGTGCCCAGCTTCCTGGGGGTGTTCGTCACACTGCCCTTTTCAAGTTTACTTGCTGTGGCTGCGGCTCTCTCTCCAGCAGGGGATGAATCTGTTTGCAGAATATTCGCTCCCCTCTGTGCCTGTCCTTGTATTTGGGCAAACTGTGTTCTTCAAAGCTCTTTTCCAAGTCTTGTATGACCCTTCATCAACCAGACTCCAGTGGGCTGGCCCTACTATCCTACTTGTCCATCTGTCCTCAAAAAGTCTAGGATCCTAGAAAAACATGCAAAAGGACACACTGTAGTCCACTGATGCATTATTTGATCAATTGATCCATTGATCCATCCATTGATCCATCCATCCATCCATCCATCCACCCACCCACCCATCAATCTATCCATCCATCCACTCATCCATCCATCCATCCACCCATCCACCCACCCATCCATCCATCTGTCCCATCCATCCGTCCATCCATCCATCCATCCACTCATCCACTCATCCATCCCTCTATCCATTCATCCATTCACTAAAACTTCCTTCAGCAAAGAATGGATTTATTCCCTCAAAAAAGTAGTAGGACGGTCTACCACAAAATATCTCTCCACTTCTTTAAATAAGAGGATTTTTAAAGATCAAGGACAACCATGTGAAACATTAGCTGCTTTTATTGGACATCTATCATGGGTCTCCATTATACTGAAACTTGATCTTTTTTTTCACATATTGCCCACAATTTTCTTGCAAAATTAATGGCTTAAAATTTTTTGAGATGAGAATACTGAGTTAGATAGGTGCTGGAAGGCTTGTACAAGGGGTGGCCCAGCTAACGAGAGGTGTGGTCAAGATAGGAACTGGGTTGGCTTTCCCCGGCTCCACTGCCTTCTGGAGAAGAAACCTCAATCAGAACCCACCTTGAAAAATGTATTTCAGGAGGATTAGCCAATGCTGTAAAGGTGGCGTTTGCTCTTACCTTTCAGTTCCTCATGCTAGTATTAGTGATAATGTAGTGATCTTGATGGTGGTGGGGGGTGTGGGCTGAGAATGCCCTTGACCTAAGGCTACTTCCTGGTGGGCACACAGGCTTCCAGGAAGCCCCTTAGGTGAGGTTTGTGAGACCCTCTCTTAGAGGAGACATGCTTCCATCGTAATGCAGGAGGAATCCTGGTTGGAAGTGAGTGATGGTTATTTTAACTGGGTGAGTCTTATTATCTGTGTTAGTTATCTATTGCTGTGTAACACAGTTCCACATGCCCAGTGGCTTGAAGCAGCACACATTTATGGTGGTTACCGTGGGCCAGCAATCCAGGCACAGGTTCGCTGTGTCTTCTGCCCCAGGGTCTCACAAAGCTGCCGTCAAGTTTTTGGCCCAGGCTGGGAATCTCATCTCAAGGCTCACCTGGGGAAGGATCCACTTCCACACTTCTGTGGTTATTAGCAGAATACAGTTCCTTGTCAACTGTTGGACTGGGGGCCTGTGTTTCTTGTTGGCATTTGTGATGTCAGCTTTATAACAGTGAAATTTTATATAAGTTACAGGTAGTTATGATGGTAGATATTAAATACTGTGGCAAGATCCACCACCTGAAGAACTTCCTGAAAGTGGGTGGCCAAGGACTGGTTGGAAACTTTATAGAACAGGGGTGAGCCTGGTGATGGGCAGAGAGTTTGGGAGGGAGACTTTTGGGGCTGGCTGCTGGGAGCCTGGAGCCCTTTCCTGGTCCCTTACCACCAGCCAAGTGAGGGGAGCTTCAGCAGGCATGTGTCCCCTACAACAGGGGGTCGGAGCGATGCCCCTGAGGAAATGAAGGCGGATAGAAGGCCATGCTGGAGGGAGGAACAGATCTGGTGCTGGGTGGGCAGTGGCTGCAGGGGCAGCATTTGTGGGTGGAGTGTGCCTGGTGCTGCCGGGACCACCGCCCATGTGTCCGTGGACCACGTGTGTGTGAGAGTGGAGGCGCGGCATATCCTAGGGCCTTCTGAGAAGCCTCCTTGGTGGGCGAACATCCCCGACAGCAAGAAGCTGGAGGTACCATGGGAACGCGAGGGTCTGGGGACAGAGAGCCTTGTGGAATAGAGATGCCAAAGAACCAGCCTGGAGCACCTGCTGCTCCAGACACATGCAATGTCTGTTTTTTGGCTGCAGTAACAAATGACCACAAACTGGGTGGCTTACAAGAATAGGAATGTGCTCTCAGCACACAGGCTTCCCCAACGCTGGAGGACACAAGTCCAAAATCAAGGTGCCAGCAGGTCTGTGCTCCCTCCGGAGCTCAGGGAAGGAGGCTTCCTGCCTCTTCCTGCTCCCAGTGGCTGCAGGGTCTCCACAGCTCGGGACTGCGTCCTCCCATCTCTGCCTCTGTCTCCCAGGGGCCCCTGCTCTCCCCCCTGTGTCTCCTCCTCTTCCTCTGTCTCCTATGGATACACCTGTCCTTGATTTAGGGCTCTCTTGGGTGAGCCTGGCTGGTTTCATATTGGGATCCTTCATTATATCTGTAAGCACCATTTTCCCCCCAAATAAGATCACACTCATAGGTTCTAGGGATTGGAACTGGACATTTCATTTTGGGGGCCGCAATTCAACTTATGACACCAACTTACAAGGGAGTCATTGGGAGACTTTCCTGCCATACCTCAGCTTCTCCTCCAACCCAGAGGGCCAGAAACCCAAGGCTGTGCAGGGGGGCGGAGGTGGCATAGGTGGAGAGAGAAGGTCAGCCCCAGCCCAACAGCCCTGATGAGGCCATCAGGGACTTTATGGGACCCTTTAGTATTGAATACCTGGCATGTTCATTTGATTTCACCACGCTTCTAAACATCCCTCCCACCTGAAATGATTTTCTTGGCTAATCTCACTTGTTTATTTTTTTTTGGACAAAATTCAGAATTATTTTGTTAAGTTTTCTCCAAAATGTGACTGGGATTTGTATTGAAACAGCACCAAACATCTACATTAATTCTGGGGGAATAGATATGTTTTCCACACTGAGTCTTTCTTTGCAGGAACAAAGAATAAATCTCTGTTTATGCAAATGTTCTTTCACTGCCTCAGTAAAGTCCGCAAGTAGTAATAGGCTCTGCGCTCTTCCTGTTAGGTTTGTTCCTAAATGTCTGCTGCTTCTCATTAATAGAATTTGTTTTAATTGTTCTAAGTAATAATTGCTTATATATAGGAACACTCATGGTTCCTGTTTTTAGTTTCTTAGTATATTAGTCTGTTTTCATGCTGTTATAAAGAAATACCTGAGGCTGGGTAATTTACAAAGAAAAGAGGTCTAATTGGCTCGTGACTCTGCAGGCTGTACAGGAAGCATAGCGGCTTCAGCTCAGCTTCTGGAGAGGCCTCAGGAAACTTACAGTTGTGGTGGAAGGCAAACGGGGAGTGAGGTGTCTCACATGGCCAGAGCAGAAGGAAGAGAGAGAAGGAGGAGCCGCACCCACTTTTAAACAATTAGATCCCACGATAACTCACCCACTCACCATCATGAGAACAGCACTGAGGGGATGGTGCAAACCACTCATTAGAACTCTGCCCCCATATCCCACCAGGCCCCACCTCTAACACTGGGGATTACAATTCGATGTGAGATTTGGTGGGGACACAGATCCAAATCATATCAGTTAGCATGTTTATTAGTTTTGAGAAGTTCTCAATTTACCACTTGGGTTTTTTAGGCTGACAGCAATATCACCTGGTTCTTATAGATGTGATCCTGGATTTGTTTCTAGCAGAGCCTGCATTGTGACTGGTAAGTGTAATTCCCCTTAATAAAGCATTATTGTTAGCGTTTACATGCCGTGTCGCCGTTTACAGCCGGTTTGTAGACAGAAATCCACAGGTAGATGGTTTCGATACTTCCTGTTGGTCCTTTTTTCGAATGACTTCTCTATTCTCAGCTTTTAAATGTTGACTGCCCTTTGGGCAGAATTGCTTATACCTCTAAAAAGTCTTCTGGGGAAGGGTTCCCGGTTCATATACTTAAAATCGGGCCTGTCTGGGAACGCCCTCCTGTGGCGTGGAACGTGGCTGTGACGAGAGCTTCCACCGGGGCCTTCTCCTTTCCGTTCTCAGCAGCACAGGCACCCTCGGCTCTTTGAGGCTTTATGTTATGGAAATTCAGCGATCCTGTGTTCACCTTCACCTAGTCCTTCTTCACCTTTGTGGGTTTCTTTTTGTTGATTATTTCTGCCCTTGTAGCTTCTCTTAAAAAACCTTCCGTTCCCCCTTGACTTTCTCATCCTGAGGAAATCTAGCCCATTGCAGTGTTTGTCCTGGGGACGCCCCGCTGGCTGCCTTTCTGTTCATTGCCTGTCTTCCTGCCTCTGCGAGTGACACCAGGGTCTCTCATCTCCCTCATTTGGAACCAAGTTACTCTTTCCGCGAAACGTTGGTTATAATTCCACCTTTCCTCTATTTCAGTACAGACATACCTGAACCTTTCTAGTGGAAGTTGCATGAATCAAGTGATGTCAGTTTTCTGTGTGGTACAGGCTTCCCTAGCTTAAAAAATATTTCCTTTGGACTCTGGAAAGGGGAGCTAACTACCTATACTTACCCTGCCATTTACATGAAAGCCACCAAGGGGAAGGTCTTGTTCGGTTTTGCTTTTTTAATAGATGATCTTTTAGAACATTTCTGTGTTTATAGAAGCACTGTGCAGGAAGTACAGAGAGTCCTTGTATTATTCCACCCCCCCCCACCCACCACCCTTCATACAATTTCCCTTATTATTCTCTTGCATTTGTGTGGTGTCTTCGTCATAGTTGATGAGGCCATGTGGACACCTTATCATTAACTAAAGTCCATAGTCTCCTTTAGGGTTGGTGCTTTATGTGGTACAGATCGATGGCTTTTGGCAAATGTACAATGTCATGTACCCACTATGACAACATCATATGGAAGCATTCCTCCACCCTAGTGCCCTGGGCTCCAGCTACTCATCCCTCCCACCTTGCCCTGAACCCGTGGCAACTACTGATCTCTTTACTGTTTCTGTAGTTTGTTTTTAAGATGGGAGAGAATGGATTGTATACATAGGATGAGGGGAAACAGCCAAAAGAGAAGAGAACCTGGAGATTTCAGGAGGGAAAGCGTGCTTGATGGGGTGAGGTTCCTGGGAAGGCAGGAGAAGATGGGCATGAGGAGCGCAGAGGTGGCTTTGTCCTGGAGACAGGCAGGCTCAGGGAAGCACGTTGAGTGGGAACTGCCTGCTGGTTCTATTATTTCAGTTGAGTTCCAGGGTCAGCTCCGGTCAGTATGGGGGCTGGTGAAATTGTCTCAGAGGGGAAGGAGAAGCAGCCAGAAGGGGACAGAGGATGAGTATGTAGATTCTTGGCTGGGCAGCAAGGAGCACTGGCTAAGGCTGGAAACTGGTTTGTACGCAGTAGCCACTAAAATCCAGGGCTGGGCTGGGGAGGCAGGACAAGGAGCAGAAGTTCACAGAGGCTGGTGGTCGGCGGGAACACAGGCCTGTGCAGGGCTGCAGAGAGTGAGAAAGGGTCTGCCTGGGGCATGGCTTCTCTTCCAAGGTGTCCAATGCCACCTCTTGTTTCATGAGTCCTGACCATACCTGGACAGCACACAAGAGTCAGGTGATGCCTCCAATTTGCAGAAAGCAAGACTGGTCTCCATTTCTCTCCGTTTGGGGAGCTGGGCTGGAGATCTTAAGGAACCAGAACAAACGTAAGCCACTCCTCTTCAAGCACTTTTGCCCTTGAAATACGTGCCCAGAACAAACATCTCTTTTCAAACAATTCTTTGAATTCTTTTTTTCTTGGGGGGGTGATTAACATTTTGTGTTTTCATAGAAGCCATATTCCATCAGAGTTATTCTGCAGCACTCTTTCAGAGCCAGGGCTATTTTTTAAAAAGCATTTGGCACTCTGAAGTGTTACATGTGGCTTAGTGAAAACAGCAATATGCAGAGATTCAAAAGATGTCACTCCGTGTTAGGGACAAAACGTGATCAGCTTTAATTATTCTCCAACACAAACACTGACTTCAGCGGTGGGGCTGTGGGAAGCAGGGGCCATCTTTTCAGGAGAGTCGTTCTTTGTACATAGCCTTCAGGACTTGACCTCTCAGTGACTTTTGAACTGCTTAACAACAGAGAGAGGGAGGGAAATAAAGCCGTCTCCTGGGCACGTGCTTCAATAAGAACAGCTGCTCAGAGCAAGCCAGTGGACTAGGCAGGACCCCCTAACTGCAGCCTTGTATCTGACAATGGCAGGAACACGTCTGCTTCCCCTGTGCTGGTGTCCACCCACAGACAGGAGCCTCGGTGGCCACACTGGCCCTCCCTCTGGCTTCCTTGAAGAAGCCCTCACACATCCGTGGTCTTATTGAATTGTTGCAACGGTCCTTGCAGAAAGAATTAGTATTACCACTACCCTAAAGATGGTAAACAGAAGTTCCCGTAGATTAAGTGTGGGAGGCAGGAGCTGAACCGAGGTTGTTCTCTCCGCAGAGACCATGTATGTGAGGCACGTTGGGCTCCTGTAACAACCATAAAGAAAAAACATGGTCATGCTCAGTGCCTGATCCAGGGAGGAGCTAGAACAATGGAAATCATTACAATTATGGGTTAAGATTGCTCACAGATGTACCAGTGGGCCAGGCAGGCAGCTCGTAATGTTCTTGTTGAAACCTGTGCGAGGAATAAGTGCCTGTCCTCCTAGGAAAAGGCTCACGGTTCTTCGACCACAGTAAAAAATTAACCAGAATCATTTAAATCCATTCCAGTTGATCAACAGCTTTCTGCCAATACACAAAATCCAGTCAATCAGTGATAGCCCCACTCTCCTGAAAGCCAGCCAATCAGGGACAGCCCCACCCTTCTGAAAGCCAGCCAATCAATGACTCCTCACCATTCTGAAAGCCAGCCAATCAGTGACAGCCCTGCCCCTCTGAAAGCCAGCCAATCAATGACATCCCTGCCCTTCTGAAAGCCAGCCTATCTGTCACAGCCCTGCCTTTCTGAAAGTCAGCCAGTGTCAGCCCCGGCCTTCAAAAAGCCAGCCAATCCGTTACAGTCTCACACTTCTGAAAGCTGCCAATCAGTGACAGCCCTGCCCTTCTAAAAGCCAGCCAATCAGTGACAGGCCTGCCTTTCTAAAAGCCAGCCAATCAATGACAGCCCTGCTCCTCTGAAAGCCAGCCAATGAATGACAGCCCTGCCCCTCTGAAAGCCAGCCAATCAGTGACTGCCCCACCCTTCTGAAAGACACCTCATCAAAATAGCCTCACTTTGGTACCTGGGATGCCACCGCTGAAGGTGGACCAGGTGTACCCTCTCTAAGACTGGCTCTTCCCTGGGGTGGAGGACCCCTGTCTCTCTGGCTTAGCAAACCGTCATTAGGGCTTCTGCCTGGGCAGAGCTGTTTCATGCCGAGGACTCACTCCAAGAAGCTCCTGCCTGGGGCAGGAAGCAGTTACTTGGCGGTGGCAGGTGTCCCTGTGTGTGATGGGACTGACCTCAGTGTGGGGTCTCTGAGCTGTGGCCCAAAGGAGGAGAGTCCACAGGGCCAGAGTACCGAGAGGCGAACTCCTGTCCGTGGGAACGCCTATCGTGGGCTCCCCTTCATGAATGTACAAGGCGAACAGTGTGTCCGGCCCTGCCCCTGCGTCCTGATGGCCAAGGTCAGGGCTCTTTCCCCGTCGGCATGGCCTCTCCCAGGCAGCGGTGAAATCACCCAGTGGAGGGTGGTGGGTCTCCTTCTGAACACCCTGCTTTGTGAGGACACCCATCAGGTCAGGTCTACTAACTTCAAGTCTGGGCAAAGGACAAAGCACAGGTGGTCAGGAGGACCCCATAAGAGCCAATACCAATCCAAACTGCCCTGAACGCACACCTGCTCTGCCTTGACAGTTTGTAGACAGCCTCCCCACACCCTCCGTTTCCACACAATTACTTTCTGCACATCAGTGCCCCTGAGAGGGTGGTCCAGTGACCGAGCGGGCACAGTGGCTGCAGGGAGAAGTGGCGGGGCCCAAGCCTTCACTGTCATTGTCGTGTAGCTCCCGTGGGGTGTTTGTGGTGGGAAACACAGTAAGAGACTCGAGTCTTGCTGAGAGTGAGGTCTTAGAAGTGTCCGACCTCTCCTGTGGCATCCCAGCAGAATTCCTACGGAGGTGCTGTACTTAAGGTCTTGAGTGGCCCCTGGACCGGCCTCCACACAAAAGATCTTGACATGGTCCGTCATATTCCCATTGCTTTTATCTTGACGACAGGCCCATGACATCTGTGCCACTAACCTGGAGCCTTCCCCTGTCTTCAGCTGCCTCCTCCCAGCACTCTTCCAGGGGATACCACCACCTGCCCTCCTACATCCCAAATCTGCAGTGAGGGTCCAACCAGGCAGTGAATTCCGAGTCTTCTGCAGCCAGCCCAGGGCAGGCTCAGCTCCTCTGACTTGGCCACATCCAACTTTCCCAGATCATAGTTCCACATGTGACGTAAATGTAAACAATTGGAGGACTTCGGGGAGCTGGCTCTGCTCGGGGCTCCCCTGAGTTGTGGTCCACAGAGACAGGGCAGCAGGTCACTTGGCTACTGATGATTGGTCCACACAAATGCAAATTTAAAGGGCAGCCTTCATTATTTCACTAAATGGTAATGATCAATGCGTTGATGGTGATGTTCAGTTCCGCGTGTGTTTGTGGAATATTTGCCATGCATGAGGCCTGCACTGGGTTCCGAGGACAATCTGGGCCGGACTGCAAAGGGAGGTGGGGCCACACCAGTTCGAGGACAATCTGGGCCAGACTGCAAAGGGAGGTGGGGCCACACCGGGTTCCGAGGACGATCTGGGCCGGACTGCAAAGGGAGGTGGAGCCACACCGGGTTATGAGGACAATCTGGGCCGGACTGCAACGGGAGGTGGAGCCACACCAGGTTATGAGGACAATCTGGGCCGGACTGCAAAGGGAGGTGGGGCCAGGTTCAAGGAAAATGAACGCCGAGTGGGACCGTGTCTTGCTCATGTTCAGGCTGGAAGATGTTTGTGCCTGTCAGGAAGGGAAACCTGAACTACACGGAGGGGGATGACACGGGGGCTCTGAGGGTTGAACCCCGGTGGCTGGACCACAGGAGAGCTTTAGGGAAAGTCAAGAAAGCAGAGGCAGGCCCTGCTCACCGCACAGCAGTGGTGTGGGCACGACGGCCCAGGGGCCATCTGCTCTGGCCTGTTTGCATGGGAATGCATGAGGACATAAACAGCCCGATTCCATGGGAACAACACAGGTGGAGGAGGTCGACATGGGGCCGTCCCCTTGTCCCCTTACATCTCCAGCTGGGTGAGCTGCTGGCCTGGCCGGCAGGGCAGTGGCTCCCGGCCTCTGACGTCCCCCGGCCATGGCTGAGGCTTCCCAGTTCTTGGGTTTACGTGGAAGGATCCTGAGTCTTTAGTTGCGTAGAGGACTTGGAGCTTAGAAGAATGGCAACTGGTGTGGTGCTTCGTTGGTCTTGGTTTCCACAGCTCTGATGTAATTCTTTGGAATTGGGTGGGAGTCAGCACAAATCCAATGGGGACGAGTGGTGGTTTGGCCCAGAGCCACCTGGCTCCACCGGCACTGCTCTCGGGCAGATTCAACAGCAAAGCGTCCGGGAGAAAGCCTGGCTTTTCATTATTCTGGTGACCCTGACTGAGTTTCCTTCCTTGGGTGAAGGTGAGGGGGTCTCAGCTTTCCCATCGGTGGCCCAAGGATGCTGGGGTTGGGAGCATGGGAGTTCTGTTCCAGCTGTGAAATGCTCCTTCTCCGCGTCTAAGGCCAAATGAGGCTCTGGGATAGCAGGAACCAACTCAGAGTGCACTGCAGGTTTAGAGCCAAGATCTGGATGAAGAAGAGTGGCTTGGACCCTCATTTCTTGGAAGGCACGAGGCAGCGGAGGCCAGCATCTCTCCAAGTGTTTGGGGTGGGGTGTTCTGAGCCTGGAGCCTCTTCCCAGCTTGGGTGGGTGGCAGAGAGTAGGATGAGAGGAAGGACCAGGGTGCTGTGCCGGTCCCCAAGGTTCTGTGGGCTAGGGACCTCTTGCTTCTCCCTTCTCTCCTTCTAGGGTTTCAGTCTTTGATCAGCCCACAGTGGGTTTCGGACTGCAAGCTGCCTGTGATGAGTTGCTGGCTACAGCCACGTGGAGCTGCGGGAGAAGGACCAAGGCTGAACAGCAGCCAGCACATTGGCCTTTTCAGCTTGATCTTAATTTGTCAGAAAATGCTCCCTTCTCACCCTCAGCATTTCATGAGATGCTGAAAACCTGATGCCCTAATGTAGTGGATTGCAATTATTCTAAATTAGGCAGAAAAGCACATTTCAGAGAGTTTCTCCCCATCTGTCTAACTTGAAGTTTCTGCTGTTTGTAATGAGTCATTTCTTCAGCACAGACTCCTGGACCGAGAGGAATTTTCTTATTTCATCTTTGCTTTTCCATTGTGTAGAAGCTTGAAGCCTCCCGCTCCTCTCCCAGGGCCAGAGCTTTGGCTCTGAGGACGGACTGAGCGTCCTCAAAGCCACAGGCTCATAAACAAGACCGAGGACGAGGAAGTCCTGAGATGGGCAGTCAGGGCAACAGAGGGCAGGAGGAGGTGGCTGATGTTGAGGCAGACGCAGGAGGTGCTGGCATCTCTGCTCCCAGTTCCCACCCTCGTGTCACACACCAGCTTTTACTAGTGACCACAGAGCCATGCTTCATGCTCTGCTTACAAGTGACAGAACTTGTTGCACCCAAAGGGAAACTTGGCAAGGTCCCTGCTGTCCTCTCTTCATCCTGGGGAGGCGTGGACTGAGGCACCTGCTCCGGTCACTCTGCTGGACGTGGTGGGCATGAGGCATGGCCTCAGGGACCCTTGGACTCCATTGCCTCCCCTGTCGGTGGGGGCTACTTTCAGGCTGTGGCTCAGGAGGTGGTTTAGGGTTAACTCTGCTCATGGACCTGGGATCGGGGAGGCACAGGGGGCCCAGCTCTGTGGGCATTTGCTGATAGTGTCTCAAAATGCTCTGTAAGGTCCACTAAGATTTGTCTTGAAGCCACGTTAAAGCATTTTTAAGGTGGAATTCACATAACATAAAGCGAACCCTTTTGCAGTGTCAATTTCAACAGCATTTAGTACATCCTCGGTGTTGTGCAACCACCATCTCTGTCAAGCTCCGAAACAGTTTCATCACCCCCAGAGAAAACCCCGTCCCCATTAAGCTGACTGGAAGCCACTTTTGACTTCCCTCTTGAACCTTCAGGCACAGAAAATGAAGAAATTCCCCTCAGTGGTGGTCAAGGGTGAGGGTGGGTCAGGGAGGGCTCTCAGGGGGCTTCCGAGCCTGGAGCCTCTTCCCAGCTTGGAGAAGTGCCCCGGGCGGCTCACAGCACCACTGACTACCTGGTTTGACACAGAGACTGCACGGGACAATGCTACAAGCGTGACTTGGAGTGTTCGTAGATTCTCCCTTCCTCTATTCAGCTGGTGGCTACGTGACCTTGAGCAAGTTACCTAACTTCGTGAAGAAGGAACTTCTAAGAATACTTCCCTGCAGGCTGAGGTGGGGCCCACATGGGCATCGCGGGTGAGAAGAACCTGCAGGCTCTCGGGAAATTGCCTTCTCCATCCTCCTTGAATGGCTCTGACTCCGGTTTGGAGGCGGGCAAGGAAGGCAGATAAAGAGGGAGTTCTGGGTTGGATTCTCTTTCTGTTTGGTGCCCTCCGGTGAGCTAAGGACAAGGAGACAGGATGGGACCAATGTTCTCCTGGACGTGGGACTGAGGCTGCTCCTCCAGTGTGGGGAGTGGGAGATTGGTGTTGTAACAGGGGGAGGGGCAAGGGAGGGAGAGGGGTAGGAGGGACAGCTGGAGAGAGAGAGGGCCTCAGGTCCTGGTGACACCAGACCCCATTGGAATGGCTGCTGCAACCTTCTTGGTCCGGGGTGGACTGGTCTGTGTCCCTGTTTATATGTCGTGCAAGCCTAGCCCTGCTCCACCCTCTGTGGGGAGGGCCCTTTGTGGCCACTGGGCCGATGGCTGCAGAGCCCCCCAGCTGCAGCCCTGCCCAGCTCCTTCTGCTCCAGCACTTCCACAGTGCGGCCACTGTAGGGTGCAGCCATTGAATGAATGAGTGCGGGCAAATCCGCATCGACAGCTTGCTGATTTGAACCGAAATCTGGGCTACAGGTGAGAGAGGCAAGAATCCAAGGAAAGGATGGAGACCAAGAGGCTTAGTGAGGTGGCCAGTGGGGGCGTCTGAGTTGGATGGAAGCCGCGTGACTGACCCAGTTCCTGAGGCTGCGGGGCAGGCTGGGCTCATGGGGAAGGATCTCATTGCTCATTCATGCCTTCAGGACCCTCTCCTGTGGCCTGAGCCTTCAGCAGCTCTGCCGTCTGCCAGATGCCAGACCCTGGTGTGTACCTTATCATGTCCTCAGGCCTCCGCGGTGCCCGTCTCTCCATCTCGTGGCCCAGGCCTCCGTGGTGCCCATCTCTCCAGCTCATGGCCCAGGCCTCCACAGTGCCTGTCTCTCCAGCCCATGGCCTAGGCCTCCACAGTGTCTGTCTCTCCATCTCGTGGCTCAGGCCTCTGTGGTGCCCATCTCTCCAGCTCATGGCCCAGGCCTCCGCTGTGCCTGTCTCTCCATCTCGTGGCTCAGGCCTCCACTGTGCCTATCTCTCCAGCCCATGGCCTAGGCCTCTGCAGTGCCTGTCTCTCCAGCTTGTGGCCCTGGATGCTGGTGGTGCACACCTGGCAGCGTGCCCGGCCCATGGGGAGCTCAGCAAACCCTTGCCAACAGGCGGTGGGTTCCCAAGGGATCCAGCGATCGGATGAGTAAATGAGAGCCTGCAGAAGCACTGCCACCCTTGCCTTTTCTTTTTGGGTCATCGAGGTGGCAGCCCATGTGTTGATTCTGCAAGCGTAGACACAGCTCTTGAATAATCACATGGAATCGCTTTACCCAGAGAGGCCCAGACACCTGTGGGAGGCCAATCCAGCTTCCCGCCAGAGGCCACTCAGAGGTGCTCATGTGCCCTCGGTTTGGGTGCCTTCCAGCATCCAGCCCACAGGAAGGGGAATTCTAAGTGCCTGCCGGTCACCCTGGTCTGCACTTACTGGCATCGCTCTGATTTGTTGCATGGGGTGGGGAGGAGCCAAAGACAGCATTGGAACAGGGGACGGACCAAGCCTCCACCCTGGTGGCCTTTCTCCTGTGTGGGAGGCAGGCTCCCTCTCCGTTTTCCTCCTTCCCGGAAGCTCTCGAGGGCAGGACTCATCTGCTCAGCTCACGGCGGCAGCTCTGATGCTGGAACAAGGCCTGGGTAGATGGATGGATGTTTTCCCAGTGGGGGTCTCTGAAGCCTACCTTATTCCATCAAGAGCAGGACCAGCCTAGATGGGCTATGTTGGCTGCAGGATGCACAGAGGACAGAGACTGCCCCAAAGGGAGAGGGAAGGCAGAGCCAGGACCAGCCTAGATGGGCTATGTTGGCTGCGGGATGCACGGAGGGCAGAGGCCGCCCCAAAGGGAGAGGGACCAGCCTAGATGAGCTCACCCGTGGTGGGAGGGTGGCGTCTGATGGGGGTGGGTGGAAATGGCTCATCTTGGCATCCATGCAGCAAACCCCACAGCCCAGGAACCCCAGAGGGGAAGGGACAGGTGTCCAGTGTCCACCGGGATGGCAGGAGTGGAGCTGGGGTGCCGGGCAGGGAGGTCCACAGAACTCCATGTGGGGCTTCATCCTCAGTCCCTGGGCCCCTTTGGTGCCCACCCCTGCTGGCCCCCTGACTGCACG
This sequence comes from Homo sapiens, assembly GCF_000001405.40. Classification (NCBI taxonomy): domain Eukaryota; kingdom Metazoa; phylum Chordata; class Mammalia; order Primates; family Hominidae; genus Homo; species Homo sapiens. The sequence goes on from NC_000002.12 coordinate 239,503,707, forward strand.
CAGCTCATTGAGGAAGGCAGGGTGGCAGACTCGTGGCGTGTGGTGCTAGAACAGGCCCCAGATACCCACAGAACACGCCTCAGAGAGGCTGCAGACCTGCCCACAGCCACACCGCCAGACAGCTGGCCCTCCACTCTAATCTTCTGACCCCACTATGCCCTCCTGCCCACACGGGCCTATGTCTTGGGTTTCTTTGATAGAGAAGAAAATTCTCCTAGGATACAAGAGCCTCAACATTTTAAAGATTTTCTGCATCTCAAAAGCGTAGGCTCCTTGCTGGGCAAGGTGAGCCTCTGTGAGTCCTCATAGGACCGAGCAAATCTGATTCACCCCAGAAAATCCAATATCGAAGCTGAGCTTTGGCCTGAGCGGGTTCCATTTCCTCCCCAGATCCTATTTAGGAAGTGTCTCCTGACAACCTCCAAAAGGTGCTAACATGCAACGTTCTGAAGGGTTATTGCTCAAAAACAAGATTTTCCTTGTGGTCAAGACTCTGCGAGCCTCGAACACGATGAATCCGCTCGAATGGGCTTGGGCTTTGCCCGGGTGGCGCACGCTCACACGCTGGAAGCACAGCTTTGACGATCTCCACACACGCACAGGCACACACGCCACAGATGATGCCGGCTCATTCTCAGGGGGTGTCTAAGTTCTGCTTTAAATATTTACCCCCTAATTGTACAAACAATAGGGGCATGAGCCTGGTACTCGATAAATGGGGACTTCCTTAAAAGGACGCCTGCTATCTTTGACATTTTACAACAAAGCTTTTACTGTTGAAGAGCGATTGCATATAGAAAAGCCTCTTCCTGGCGGTCACAGCAAGGTGAACTTTTGGGACACAGCCACAGACAGGGAGAAGGCCTCTGAGAAATCCAGACAGCGGTCCCAGAACTCGAGCATTCGGCCAGAAAAACGGCCACTCAGGGCAGTGCTGACCTGTGCTGCAAGGAAAGGTAAATTTTCCGCCTTCACAGATCTGTTTTCCTGTCTGTTATTTCTCCCTGGGAACCGCCAATTCTGTTCTTGTTTCTCAAGACGGCCTTAGTGGAAGCAGCACGAGGTCATGGCCTCTGCATTAACAGAGGCCACCTGCACAGAAGACGCCACGGTGGCAGGACCTTGGTGTCCTTAGAGCCCTAGACACCAGGCCAGAGCCTTCCGGGGGCCCCAGGCCGGTGGGGTGCCACTGAGTGTTTAGCAACCAGCTCTCCAGAAGAAAAAGGGCCTGGTTTTTACCTTGTGCCAATTTCTGTAGTGTAAACACTCCCACCACGGCAGGTTTCAAGCCACCCACGTGAGCTCACTTGGCGTGGAGTTGGAAAGAGACACCCGTGATCCATTCCTGCAGGCGGTGGGAGCTGGCACCGGCATGCCACAGCAGGCTGTGGGTTTGGAAACTCGAGGACTGTGTGCTCCTTTTGAAAAGAAGTCCTTACTTCTCCCAGGTGAGGCCTGTCACCCCAGTTATCAGTGATCTGAGAGAACTCGAGAGCATGTGTGTGTGAGTGTGTGTGTGTGAGAGAGAGAGAGAGAGCGAGAGAAAGAGAGAGAGAAAGACAGAGAGCTAGAGTCTGACACTGAGGTGTGAGGTGGTGGGGGCCTGCAGTGCTGGGAGCTAAGGTGGAGAGCTCACCTGCTCTGTGGGGTGTCCTGTTCTCCGGGGCCCTGGGCAGGCCTGTTGGACGGGGCTTAGCAACCACATTTTGTCCGTCATTTCCTGTGGGGATACTGCCCTGACTTCAGAGCCCTGTGGTCGGGGTGGGAGGAGACACCCGAGCTCTGTTCGTCCATCCATGAGAAGGACCCTGACCTGTCCATCTCCCGCACCGCCCCTCTGCCCCTCCACCCCTCAGGTCTGCTGGCAGGCAGAGTTTCCAGTCCTGATGTTTTTAGAGTCAGGATTAGCTCACTCTGCCCTCCTGCCAGAGACCCTCTCAGCTTTTTGGAAATCACTTTGGGCCAGAGAGATGAGATCATGCTACGTGTCTTCAGTTGCAGGTGGATGGATGACAAGGGGCCCCACAGCAGGAGTCCCATCAGGGTCGCTGTGTCCTCCCCATGCCCAGGGTGACCATGGGTCACCCACCCCAGATCGGAGGCTGGCACTGGCTCCCACCCCAGATCCAAGGCTGGCACTGGCTTCCCGGCACTGGCAGGGGGTGTCACCTGCACTGCCGGGTGCTTGGTGGGTGACGGGTCTGCTTGAGAGTTCATTTCTCTTTTCCTTTCCTCTCTCATTTCTCCAGAAAGGGGGTGTGTGTTTGGGGGTGCTTAGGACTTGATCTGGGCAGTGGACTCCATCCCTCGGTCCAGTAGGCAGTGGGGGGCGGGGGGCATCACGGCGGGGCTGCTGCCATCTGGCCAGGAGAAGCGGGGATCTGGGGACACACAGCTCCTCTCCTGCTCATAAAGGTTGTTGGGTTTGTTCCCTGAGCCACCAAGCAGAGGAGGAGAAAGACGCAAGGAAGACAGACATTGGCTCAATATGGCTCATGGAGAGCCCTTGATTGCAAAGGGGCCGTGGGAGAAGGTCTCGAGTTTCTGCCATTGAGGGGTGAGCAGAAGAGAGGCGGAGCTTGCAGGGCCCATGACTGTGGAGGGAAGGGCAGTCAGGTAAGGCGGTTCCTAACTCACCGCAGGGCAGATGCTGTGAGGACCCAGCTCGGGATGTTCCACAGCCATAGCCGTCCCCTGGTTTCTGGGGTCCCCGCCTCGTGGCCCCCCACAGTCCCAGACCTAGAGTGGCCCGCGCCTAGTTTTCCCCGGGATCTGGCTTAGTGTTCTGTCCTGCAACCCAAGTGTGCTGCAGCACGTCTTGAAAATCTTGAAAGGAAAGGTTTGAAAATCTTACAGGAAACGTCACGTGGACGAGGTGGACACAGCGCTCGTTCGCCCTCCTGCACGTCCGCTGAGCCGCAGGGACAGGCAACACGCTGTGGCGAGTCCTCAGACAGGCCCCGCCTCAGGCTCTGCCTTCATGATTTCCACTTGCCAGAGTGACATAATGACACTGGGGAATCCGGTCATTTTCTCCAAACTTCAAGTGAGGCGTCTTTATTAGCAGGTGCTAAACTGCCTCTCCAGATGCTGAATAGTAACAATGAGCTCCATTACCATCGCAACAGCTGTCATTTTTGAGGAAATGAAAAACATTAATAACTACTACCAAAAGCTAAAAAACAAAGCCAAACAGAAAACACAGCAGCCCCCAAAGGCTTGAAATTACCAATATGGGAGAAGAGCCTGCTAGGCCCAGACAGCCCAGGGGCCTCCTCCTGGAGGGCAGCACCTCCTCCCTGGGGAGAGCCACGGTCAGAGCGGCCTCCTCCCAGGACGAAGTGTTGGGCTTTGGGGCTCAGTGAGAGGGATGTGCCCAAGGGAGGGAACCGGATAGGGTGCCAGGAAACCCTTCAGAGCGCATGTCCTTATGAGCTGGAGACGAAGCTGAGCAAAGTGTCCACACACACGTGCACCCTCGCACACGCATACACATATGGGCAGCCCCACGCGGCGGCTACCCCCACGGTGCACGCTCACACTCTGTGTGTGAAGGCGCACCTGGGGTCTAGGCCACAGAGGCCGGCCGGGTGCCTGCAGACAAAAGGTGGCCGTGTTTGGCTGTGCAGGACATCGGCTGCTGACTTGGATGGAAACGTTTCAGGGAGCTGAGAGGATTTGGTGGCCCAAGTGCTTAGGTAAAAAAACAGATATATTAACCGGGCCAACCTCCCTCTCAGAGACCATGAGTGGAAGTGATTCTTGCCAAACAAAATGTCATTTCCAAGTAGTGATTTAATTTTCAAAAATTTAAATTAAAGTCAGCTTTACTAAAGTAATTTTGATTTAAAATGTCAACATTTATTATAGGTTGTATTTTGCCACAAATTTTAATAAATCATTAAAATTTTTAGAATAAAAAGTTTGAAAAATAAAAGTATATATGGTTTGGTTTTTATGTACTTGATTAAAATATTTCACTGAAAACACATGCAGGTGTGCACCTGTTCGCATGTATATGTGAGCACGTGCACACAGGTGAAGCAGTGACCACACAAACACGTGCACACACACATGCACCCACCGACTTGCACCCACCCATGGGGACACATGGGCCACGTGTGCACATACCAGCCTTCGGGCTGGAGGACGGCAGGATCAGGAGTGGGAGAGAGTGAGGAATCGGAGAGGCTGGGAGGAGGGGAGGTGTCGGAAGGCCAGGGCCTGTGCCGGCCTGTGCAGGGCTTCTGCTCCAGAGCCGGGGTCAGGGCTGGAGCAGGGAGGGCTTGGGTTGTGCAGCTCCAGGCAGCTGTAGGGTGCAGGATGGTGGGGAAGCGGCTGGGGAGTGAGCACGCCCCTCTTGCTGAGTCCCTTCAGAGGAGACGTGTGGGTAGGGGAAGGTCCCCCCTTTCTGCTTCCTCTTCTGCCCCTCCTTTGGCTGCTGCAGCGCCCTGTGGCGGTGGTGCCCTGGGACCCAGCCTCCCTTCTCTCTGCGAGTCTCCATGGCTGGTCACCTGCCCCTCGTGTGGAGCCAGGGCCCACTGGGTCATCTTTATTCCCTTGAACTCATTCTGGACGTGGCTCTGGGTGCAGGGTTTATGCAGTGAACCGACTTCATTGCGGTGGCCTTCCTTGCATCCTTTCTTTGGGAGAGGCAGACATCCTCCAGAAATAAAGCTCACACCCCAGCTTCATGCGGAATCTCCCCGAGAGCATGCTATTCAGAATAGCAGTATCAAGTTGGGGCTAAATGAGTCCAGCACTTCCAAATTAGCATTTTTTAGGAAAAAATGTGCCTCATGCCAGCTTGCAGATTCCATAAGTTTCCGTTTAATCTTAAACTAAATTTAAAGAGGATTTAATTAGCAATTCATTTCTTTCTCTTTATTTTTGTGTTTCTCTTGAAATGAGATTTGAAATGGAATCTTTTTTCTGTCCCAGGGCACAGTGTTAAGTCTGATTTCCAGCGGTGATAACAGAGGAAGCCTCCCTGGTGCACCTCTCTGTATGGACGTGTGTGTGGGTAAAACTGCGGCTTTCTTTCCTTAATGAACCAGCAGAGCCTCCTCCACTCCCTACCTTGGCCAACGCCCTGCACCCTCCTCACGCTCCAGCCTGGGGCAGCCGGTCCCTGCCCATCTTCCCACTCAGGGTGTTTCCTGATTCGCCGAGGGAAAGGGGTGCCTGTTGCCAGCTTGCTCTGTGGTCATCCCGACCCTCCCTGGCCTCTCCTGGGCTGAGGTGGGCAGGGGCCTTTCTCTGGTGTCCTCGGCCTCTCCCGGCTGCACCACGGGCAGGTGCCCTAACCCAGTCTGTGTTGATTTGGCCAACTAAAGCCACCCTTGATTTCGTCTCATGCTCAGGCTGTGTGAGCTCACCAGCTGCGGGGGTGGAGTCTTCACTTCGAGGATTCCCTGCAGGTTCAGTGTGACCCTTAACACAGGTGGGTCTCCGGAAGCAGCCACCCAGGAGCAGTCTCCCAATCTGACCTGAGGGTCTTCCACACTCCATGCAGGGGTGTATGTGTGCATGAGTGTGTGCACACGTGAGTGTGTGCACACGTCAGTGCGTAGGTGCCCACGTCAGCGCGTGGGTGCCCTCATGTATTAGTCCACTGTCACACCGCTATAAAGAACTACCTGAGACTGGGTAATTTATGAAGAAAAGAGGTTAAATTAACTCACAGTTTTGCAGGCTTAACAGGAAGCATGGCTAGAAGGCCTCAGGAAACTTACGACCATGGCGGAAGGCAATTGAAAGCAGGCATTTCTTACAGGGTGGAGCAGGAGACAGAAAGAGAGAAAGAGCAAAGGGGGAAGCCCCACACATGTTCACACAATCGGATCCGTGGAGAACTCACTCATCAGCACGAGAACAGCAAGGGAACTCCGCCCCCATGATCCAATCACCTCCCACCAGGCCCCTTTCCCGACACGTGGGGATTACAATTTGAGATGAGATTTGGCTGGGGACACAGAGACAAACCATATCACCTCGAGTATGCGTGCTCTGCGTGCATGTGTGAGGTGATATGGTGTGGCTCTGTGTACTTGTGCATATGAGTGTGTGCATGTGATGTGTGCATATGTATGTGCATGTGATGTGTGCATATGTATATGTGCGTGCACATGAGTGCATATGTAAATGCACTTGTATGTGTGCATGCATGATGTGCACATATGTGTGTGGGTGTGTGCACATGTATACATGTATGCTTACACATGCGTGCATATAAGAGTGCGTGCATGTGATGTATGCATATGTATGTGTGCATGCACATAAGTACATATGTAAATGCACGTGTACGTGTGCATGCATAATGTACACATATGTGTGTGGGTGTGTGCAAACGTGTACGTGTGTGTTCACACATGTGTGCATATATATGGGTGTGTGTGCGTGTGTGCAGTGGGACTCCAGTTCTGAGGGCAGCTGGTGGCGAGGCAGGCCTACAGCAGCAGCTCGGGCAAGACCTACACTGAGGTCTCCAAACAGAGCTTTCCCCGTCTTCACATGGCCCCTGGCTGTGCCCACCTTCTGCTCCAGGCAGGTGCCGGGGTGGCTGGTGCAGAGGGGTGGAGCTTTGTCTGCAGCTCACTGACGTTCTGTGATTTTCCACTAGTTTTTCCCCCTGTGTTTCACTGGTGCAAGTTCCCATTGCTCTGTTTTCAGTTCGCCCGTCTTTCCCTTTGAGTCTCATCTGCTGCTAATCCCTCCAGGGTGGTTTTCATGTCAGAGTTAGGGTTGACATCATTGTTGTTTCCTCTAGAAGTTTCCTGGTTGTTTATTTACTTTTTTTGGTATCTTCCATGGCTTAACATGATCAGTCTTTCCTCTAGCTTCTTGAACAAACAGATATAGTAATTCTTTTATTATCTCTATCTAATTATGTGTTATTTCTGAATTGATTTCAAATGGTTTCTCTCCTCACTGTGGGTCATATTTTCCTGCTTCTTTGTATGCTTGGTAATTTTTCACAGGATGCCAGACGTTGTAAATTTTGCCTTGTTGGGTGCTGGATATTTCTGTAGTCCTGTGAGTATTCTTGGGTTTTGTTCCAGGAGACAGTGAAATTATTGGAAATGGCTTAACCCTTTTAGATGTTGCTTTGTTAGGTGAGACCAGGGAAGCATTTACTCTAGGGTGAATTTTGCCCCACTCCTGAGGCAAAACCCTCTGTGTTTTCAACCCAATGGCCTACGAATGACAAAGTCTTCCACCCTGGCCACCCCTGACTCTGCGTGAGTTTCAGGCATGCTTCCCTCTACTCCTTTCGAGTGGCTCTTTCCCCAGGGTTGGGCAGTTTCCTCACATACATTTATGGGAATGAGGCGGAGGCCTGGGGGGCCTTCTGCAGCTCTCTGGAGTTCTGTCTTTGCAGCTCCTCCTCTCCAGGACTCTGGCATGAGAACACCAGCCTTCTCTGTCTGTTTGAACATCAGCCTCCACCCCCCGCCGCTTAGAGGGGGTCTTCAGGCTCTGCTTGAGCCCCCTCCCTGTCCTGCAGCCTAGAGGTAACCATGGGCCTCTCTTCTTTTGATTCTTATCTCAAGGACTGCTGTCCTCTGTTGCCTGATGTCCAATGTCTTAAAAACTACTGTTTCTTTGCCGGGCGCAGTGGCTCACGCCTGTAATCCCAGCACTTTGGGAGACCGAGGCGGGCGGATCACGAGGTCAGGAGATCGAGACCATCCTGGCTAACACGGTGAAACCTCGTCTCTACTAATAATACAAAAAAATTGGCTGGCGTGGTGGCGGTTGCCTGTGGTCCCAGCTACTTGGGATGCTGAGGCAGGAGAATGGCATGAACCTGGGAGGTGGAGCTTGCAGTGAGCTGAGATCGCGCCACTGCACTCCAGCCTGGGCGACAGAGCAAGACTCTGTCTCAAAACAAAACAAAAAAAACTATTGTTTCTTTAGTTTTTTAGTTTTTTTTTTTTTTTTTTTTTTTGGTTTTTAGTTGCTTAAGGCAGGAAGGTAAACCTGCTGCTGCCCCTCATGAAATCTTGGCCAGAAGCAGAATCCTATCTACAAGTTTAGGCAGTTGAGATTTATCCTGAAGGTCATGGAAACACTGAAGCAAGCATCTCAGTCCCTCAGCTCAAGGCTGTGTGGCTGGGTCCTAATAGAACAATTCTTTCTCCCTAGTGCACACCTGTGGTTTACTGGACATTCCACCCATGCGGGCAACTGCACAACTAGGATTCTAAGGGCAAACTTTTGCTTGTAGCTTGCAGAAGTGGCCATTCGACCATAGACCATGCAATGGAGAGACTGATTAGGGATAACACAAGGCTGTGTGAAAGACTGAACGTTTGTGGCCCCCTGAAATTCATACATTAAAACCTAATCGCCAGTGTGATAGTATTTGGAGGTGGGACCTTTGGGCAATGATCAGGTCATGAGGAATCTGCTCTCACGAATGGGACTCGTGTTTTTATCAAATAGGCCCCAGAGAGCTCCTTTGCCCCTTCCACCACGTGGGGCCGCAGTGAGAAGGCGCTGTCCATGAACCAGGAAGTGGGTTCGCAGACAGGAACTGCTGGTGCCTTGATTTGGACTTCTCAGCCCCCAGAACTGTGAGCAATATCTGTCTGTTGTTTCTAAGCCACGCAGTCTATAGCATTTTGTCCTAGGAGCCTGAATGGAGTGACACAACTGGTGGTAGAGGCTTCTGGCTGTCCTTGAATTTATGAAAAGGAATAGATAACAACATGAGCTTTAAGACCCCTGCAAAAACCGAAGTATAATCCTCCCCTAAAAGTTGGGGGCCTCTGCCTCCCCCAGCCTGAGGTGACCTTGACAGGCAGTTGTCCCACAGTCTCATTATTGTTCGGGAATGGCTACAGATGATAGAATTCTTTCCTTTCTTTCTTTCTTTCTTTCTGTTTTTTTTTTTTTTTTTGATGGAGTTTTGCTCTTGTCACCCAGGCTGGAGTGCAGTGGTGTGATCTCGGCTCATTGCAACCTCTGCCTCCCAGGTTCAAGTGATTCTCCTGGCTCAGCCTACCAAATAGCGGGGATTACAAGTGCGCACCACCATGCCCGGCTAATTTTTGTATTTTTTAGTAGAGATGGGGTTTTGTCATGTTGGCCAGGCTGGTCACGAACTCCTGACCTCAAGTGATCCACCCGACTTGGCCTTCCAAAGTGCTGGGATTATAGGCATGAACCTCCACGCCCAGCCCAGATAATATATTTCAAAACTAGAGTGATGGACTTCTCTTCCTCAGAGGTGGACGTGACTGTCCTGACACAGCCACATTGCACTTAGAGTTCTAGGAGGTAACTCGTATTTTCTTGATTATTTGCTTGTTAGAATGTAAACCTGACACATAGTAGTTGTTCAAGAATATTTGTTGAATGAATTAGTGTTGCTCAAAGCTAGGTTTTTAATGAACCGGTATGGTTTGGCTCTGTGTCCCCACCCAAATCTCATGTAGAATTGTAATTCCCAGTGCTGGAGGTGTGGCCTGGTGAGAGGTGATTGGGTCACAGGGGCGGTTTCTCATGAATTAGCACCATCTCCTTGGTGCTGTTCTCGTGAAGCAGAGTGAGTTCTCATGAGACTGGCTGTTTCAAAGCGTGTGGCACCTTCTCCTCTCTCTCTCTATCTCTCTCATTGCTGTGGCCACATGATTGCCTGCCTGCTCCCCCTTCGCCTGCCTGCTCCCCCTTCGCCTTTCCCCACGAGTGTCAGTTTCCTGAGGCCTCCCTTGCTATGCTTTCTGTACAGCCTGCAGAGCTGTGAGCCCATTAAACCTCTTTTCCTGATAAATCACCTGGTCTCAAGTATTTCTTTACAGCAATATGAGAACAGACGAATATATGATTGGTTTACGAATATTTGGTTTTGATGGAGGTGGGCATTAGTGACACTTGCATTTATTGCCATTTGCATTTTCATTTCTGTGATTTCTGGGGGGACTTGCTGTTCTGCTGGTGCACCTGCTAAGAAGTACACAGTTACTCTGCTTGGACACTGAGGTGCACTGATGGTTCTTTGCCCTGAAAGATATTTAAACCAAGCGATCAACAGTGAGCTGATGGGCATGAGATCTCTTGGTTTCGTGCTTATGAAGGGCCAAGGCTCTTTGTGATTTTTCTACCCAGCTGCTTCCAGATCACACCCATGCTTCGTCAGCTATGCCCATGCTGGCTGCAGGGAGATGTGGCTGAGAACCCTGGCTGTTCTCTCCTGTTTCAGACTTGCCATTCCTTGTACCTTGGCACTGGGAGTGGGGGTGGGGGGACTCACATATGCATCAGGCTCCTCCTGACAGAAGATGGTCTCCATCAGACAGTCCCGCAGCCCCTACAGGGCGACCTCCGGTGCTGGGCCCGAGACCTTTCAGAAAACATGACCCATTCCTTCATGCATCCAACAATTGAGATCCCGCGTGTCAGGCACAGTTCTTGTGCCGAGGGCCATCCCCCAACACAGGACCTGGAGGCAGAATGGGCTCTTCTTCCAGGCTACAGGGAGGGCTCTGTCCAGGCCCTTGCCTTCCCCGCAGCCCTCCTCAGGCATGGGGGCTCTGGCCCTCAGCCATCTTTGGATTGAACAGAACCCATTTCCTCCTATCCTGCCTGGTAGATGAAATTTCACGCTCTTGAGATTTCAATTTCGGGGTCCCGGGGTGGGGGTGGTGTTTAAGAACGACATTCGCATGTCACAGTGTACAAAGCATTTTACCCCCATGATCTCATTTAATCTTCATAGCAGCTGGTGGAGGAAGCACCTCCTCTCCTTTCACAGGGTGGCAGATGGAAGGCCAGAGACCTTGCTCTTTGCTCACCGTCTCCTGGCCAGGAAGTCTTAGAGTTGGGCCTTAACCCCTTTTCTTGGACTCCAAGACCCAGGTTCTTACTGTGGCATGACAGCTGCCAGGATCTGACGTCCTTCCGGGATGGCTTGCCCTACAAGTTGCTGGAGAGCTCTTTGCATCTGCCGAGTTTCTGAAGGGTAGACCCTTCTGTATCCTGCTGTGAAGGTCTCTGGATCTCAGCGTTCTTGTGGGAATTGATTCACTTCTTTCAGAGCATGAGGGCCACACCTGTGTTTGGAGCACACCCCTGAAAACAAAGAGTAGCTTCTCCTTCCGAGGGCACGGAGCCCAGGGTGCCGCAGGCATCATTCAAGGTCAAGGAAGATAGAGCAGTGTGCTTCATCCCAGTGACCTGCTCTTGAAGGGAAAAGGGGCACTGCCAGGTGGGGTGTGACGTCACCAACCTTTTTATCGCCCCCCTCCCCCGCCCCGTGGCCACCCGCCGCTGCCCCCGTGTGACAGGTATGGCAGACACCGTTCCCATCTTACCAGTGAGAGGAGGCTCAGGCTCACTGACTCCTGAAAGTTAAGTCACCCGGGATCTAAGCCCAGGTCCTCCAACCCCAACTCCAGCAAGCTGCCTCCCTCCGGTTATTCAGGGGGCTCTGGGCGGACGGGAGGGACTTTCTTGTCAGGGGTCCTTCATTTCTCTCTCCTGCTGCACGGCCCTTCTGCAGGACGGCTCCTCCCTCGGGCCTCTCCTCCTCTTTCCTTCCCTCCCATGCATCTCCATGGCAGGTGGATTTCCATGGGGCAGTCCTGAGTGTTGCTGAGCTGCGGGGCCCAGAGCATGTGGACATTGTGGGGCCACGGTTGGGGTTGCTCCCTGCCCTCCTGCCAAGGTCCCACCCACCCAGCCAGCCCCATCCAGAGGGTGTGGCTCCTATGAGAGCTGGGGCCTCCGGCCACAGCCACTGCCCACGCTCCTACCTGAGGAAGGGACGTGCACTGTCTTCCCTGCTCCCCCAGCCCGGATTCAGACCCAAAGTACCAGATGCGGGGCTGAACACATGGACACAAGTGTGTTTTCATGACTGGATAAGCTGCTGACCTGGTTCTCCCCACTGACAGTAGCCCAGACCTGTCTGGAGCCCGGGAGGCCCCTCAGGGCCACAGTTTCCAACCCCTGCCCTTCTCCCTGCTCATTCTGCACACCCACTTGTGCCCCTACCTCTTCCAAGACGCCCAGGAAGTGCACCTGCCTCCTCCCTGTGCCTTGCGGAGCCCCCTCCTGGAGATTCTCCCCACCCTGGTGCCGTGATTCCCTCTTTGTGCCACTCTGACCAGATACTGCATGTTCGCTGGGTTCTCGTCTGCCCTCCACCCTAGAATAAGCTCTAGGGGGTTGGGGCTCTGTCTGCAGGAGATGGAATTTTGCCCTGCATGTGGCAGGCGCTTATGAGCATTTGTCGAGTGAATGAAAGAATGAAAGGGGGCACTGGGCTGGGGCTTGGGATGCCTTGGTTCTGGGTCCAGCAGGCATGGACAGGCCTGCGGCCGGTGGGTGCCCTTGTTCCGCCCCCTGTCATAACAGCATTTGCAGCCATGATCAGGGCGTGCTTTCTGAGAGATGGCACACTAGCTCAGCTCAGTGGATTCTTCCAGAAACATCATGGTACGGCACTACTGTCCCCATTTTTCTAGGAGGGGAGGGTGGGGCTGGGCTGGGGGGTAGTGAGTGGTAGGGACAGTCTTACCTGTGCACCCAGGGAACCAGAAGCCTGCACTGATGTATGGATGGGGCTGCCAAGGTGAAAAGGATTCTGAGCCATGGGATCTTCGTGGCAAGATGCCCTCTGGCCCTGGTGATGGAGGCAGGTGGGAAGGTGGCCATGGGATTGTGGGGTGGGTGGGTGGCATTTTTTCCCTAGAAAAGCCTGGAGTCTCTGGTGCAGACACTGGGGAGCCCCAGCCATCTTCGTGGTGCTCATGAGGCCGAGCTGAGGCTGGTCCGGGAACCCGACTCTGGCAGGGAGTGTGGCGTGCAGGCTGTGAACTGAGGAGTGCAACCCCATGGATAGGGAAGGAAGCTGGGCCCAGCAGAGGCAGAAATTCAGCCGTAGGAGGCCCCACACCAGCCTTGGCCTCACGGGAGCTGGGGCTAGAGTGACCCCCCAGGGCTGGGCTGAGTTGGGCTGAGGTGCCTGGGCCTTTACACCCCTCATTGGCCAGGCGTTGGATTTGGGGGGCCCAGGAGGATGTGCCCTTGGGTGAGGCCACTCTCTGCAGCGGAGACCACCCCTGCAGCACCAGTGATGCCACATGCAGTCCCAGAAGGGTGTCTGGTCAGCCCATCCCAGTGCTCACCATCACAGCTGGCAGACAGCCAAGGTCACACAGAGGTGGGTGACACCACGGGTGGGCGGTGTGAACTTCTGATTTGGAACAAGACACCCTCTCCCCACCCTGATAGGAACGTTCCCCAAAAATCCCCACAAGGAGGGGAGGCTCCGCACTGTCCTGAGGCCTCCAGAGGGGCTGCCCGCCGACCCTGCCCCACTTTGCTTTCATTTCCCCTCCTACTCTGGGGGCTATGGAGACCCAGGCCCATTGGGGAATGATGGGAGCACTCCGAGACTTGCAAACCCAGCATCTGCATGGCTGTTCCTCCAGATTCAAGTCCTCATCCCAGGGCCCTACGTTCAGGGCTGTGTCCATCGGCGTGCCCCAGGGGAACAGGACAGAAACAGAACCGTGAATGGTGGGGCTGGTGAGTGTGAACTCCGTCGAGCGGGTTGGCAGCCTGGAAACTCAGATAAGGGTGGATTCAGCTTTGAGGCAGAGTTGCTTCTTCTCTGGGAAGCCTGTCTTTCTGCCCAAGGGCTTCTGCTGATGGGACGAGGCCCACACACGTCATGGGGGAGCTTCTGCTTTACATAAAATCAGCGGTCTGTAAGTGTCAATCGTATCTAAAAATTACCTTCACAGCAGCATCTGGTGTTGGTGGGCAACCAACAACTGGGCACCACAGCCTGGCCAAGTTGGCATACAAAACTAGCCATCATGGGCCTAACGGAGTTTAGACAATGACCCTGCCAGTTAACAGAGCAGATTTTCCCCAGGAGGCTGGGGGAGAGAGAGAGAGACAGAGAGAGAGAGAGAGAGTTGAGTGACATGCAAGGAGAGGGTGTCCCATCCAAGGAGACGGTTGTGCTTTGGTGTCTTTGGCCCCAAGGGAAGCGTCAGCCCGACCCCTGTCCCATAGCTGCGCTTATCTGTGCAGTGGGGCAAACCTCCTGCTTCACAGCTGTCCCAGGCCCGGGTCTCATTCCCTATACCCCAGGGCACCAGGCCCCAGCTCTACGGTCAGGATGGTGAGGGCCATGACCCAGGCACTTGGGGCAATCACTGCTGATTCCAGCAAACACCAGAGTCTTCTTTGTGGCCTGGTGCCTCGGGAGCACACCCCCGCAGTCCCACCATCCTGCAGGACGCTGCGGGACGCTGCGGGACCAGCATGCTAGCTCGGAGGACTAAGGACGCGCAGGACTCCTGTCTCACATTTGGGGCAGCGGGTGGGTGCCTCGAAACTTGAGAAACTGTTACTGCAGCTCTGAAAATGGTTGTGGCTTCATGTAAATTCCCCATCATGCCTCTACCTTCACGACAAAGTGCTTTGGGCTGGACTGGTGAGCCCCAGCTTCCAGGCGATTGGACAGTTCTGGGTGAAGTCTCCCGGGGGTCACGCTGGGGAGGCAACTGGGCCCAGCAGTCACTGTCACACCGTCAGCTAGGAGGTGGCCAGTGGAGACAGCTATTCACCTCAGCTCTTACCACTGGAACTGGGTCCTTCTCTGTGCGTTTTGGGAATGGAAAGCTATCTGCCATGTGCAGGAAGGATGTGGAGTGAAAATCTGGGTGAACGTCAAAAGCCATCCGTGCACAGAACTCGGGGCCCTGCAGCGGGCCTGGGGCCTGGGGCCGGGGCATGAGGCCTCCTTGCTGGGTAGACCCTTGTCTAACTCACGCAGAGCTTCTTTCGTTTTTCACTCATGGTGAGCGAGTCTCCTGCTGTCGGTGTGGTCCCCAGGAAGGCGACACCCACTGCTCCATGCTGACCCCTGAGCTCCTGCCATGGGGCACTTTCCAGAAGTTTGATGAAGGACTTCAAATGAGGGGTGGGCAGCTCCTCCAGGTGGGGCCTGGACAGCCTGGACCTCACTTGCCAGTGGGCAGCTTCTCTTCCCGGCAAGAGAGGCAGAAACAGAAGGAGACACCTCTCTGAGCTTGGGGCCAGAGCCTACCAAAAAGGGGTCAGGGGATGTCCCCCTACCTCCACAAAGCTGAGGGGCTGATCCATTTTAGTAACTGTTCCTGAGCGACTACTGGGAGAGTCAGTGCAGGCACCCCCAGCAGGCGCCCTGAGCTGGAAGGGTGGGGTGCCCAGAGTGCTGAGCTGTGTCACCCTGGGCCACAGACACACCCAGCGCATGTGCCCTAGGACCCCGCTTCGAAGGCCTGTTGCTGTGTGCGTTTGCGTGTGCTCAGGGGATCCCATAGACTCTCAATTCCTTCTCAGTTCTACCTTTTGCTGAAGTCTAGACTTCAGCCATGTCCTGTGCTTCCCCAGCCCCGGACAAGGGCAGGCAGGTTCTGGGAAGCAGTGCAGGCAGCTGGCAGCTAGACCTAACGTGCACCGGCTGAGCCAGAATGCTCCCCTCTCCTGGGGTGGCTGTCGGGCTCAAGCACAGAAGGCGAAAGCCACACAGGCTGGCCCGCCGCCAGCTCTGGTGTTCTTTCCATGAGGTGCTTCTGAAGCCCTGATCACTATGGCTCTGTTTGTTTTTTCCTGCCTTCCATTTGCAGCAATCTTGAAAAAGCATCTCAAGACAGTGTCAGGAGTTTATGTCTTGTTGTTCAGCATCTGACATCTTTTAAGGGAATAATCAGGACCCATCTACGTGGGAGGAGGGATCGATCCCGCTCTGGCCCATGCTGCCTGTCTTGCTGTCAGGAGGAAAGATGTATGATGGTTTTATTTAAGATGCTGCTTCCTCAAGGGCCCCCGGAGATAGGCATCTCGTCTGTGTTATGCTAAATCTTTAAGAGCTTCTGACTGTAATCTATGCTGTGAGGATTCTCATCAGCTGGGCTCAGGCACTTCATCCCCTTTTAGAAGGGAAGGCCAGAGGCGGCTGGCGGCTCCTTGAACGGTGCTGCTTGCATTTACCATGTTGGTCTTGGGGGTGGCACAGATGGAAAGGAGGACCACAGTGAAAACACACCTGGGCTGGGGGAGGGGCCGCTCCTTCATTACAGAGGCTCCTGACCTCTCTGGCAGCGCCCGGTGGCCTCGGGTGCTTGGACATGAACCAAGGTCCGGGCTCTGTACCCCAGGCCCATTGCGGTGAGGAGGACCAGCCGTCACCTGGAAGGGCCCATGAAGGTGCTGGGGCTGCAGGGAGGTTCTGGGCCCATCTGAGATGATCCGGAAAGAACCAGGGCCTCCTCCGAATGTTCGAGGGGTTAAGGAAAGAGTCCGGGGCACGTGTCTGGGGTGCTGGACATCATATCTGTGCAAGTGCACCTCCTCCCAGCTCCTGATTGTGCCTCGATCCCCAGCAGTTTCTGAAAATGGTGGTGGGCAGGCGGGAGAGCCAGCCTGGGGCAGCCGTGGAGGCATTTACATCCGCTGGGCGGGCCCTCCTGCTTCAAGGCTCGAAGCTTTGGTCACCTGGTCCCATACTTTGGACTTCTGGAAAGAGAACGGAGGCATGGAGGGGCCAGAAGACCACAGACTCCACCTGGGCTGCTGGAGGGAACTGCCCCTGGCCCCACCTGACATGCTCAGAAGCCCCAACTGTGCTGGAACCCCTGCTCACTGCACTTCCGGGTCCCTGCTCCCCAGGCCCCACCTGGGCCTCTGCCTGTCCTTGTTTCCTGGAGTCTCCCTCACCTTCCATCTGATGCGCGTCTGCACCCCGAGGGCACCATCTAGCCATGCTCTTGCAGGCTGCTCCCACAGCAGCCACGCCTCCTTCCCCTTCCTGCAGATTTGATGGATGTTTTAATCCCAATCTTGAAGCTACTTCAAATAATTTTGGGAATAAAGCAGTCAAATTGGCCTCCATTCCAGGGATAGCACGACTTTGCATTCATTAAACACACTTCACCCCTCACTGGATGGGAGGGATTGGTTTGCTGAGTTGGGTGTGAGGCTCTGTGCCTGATCTCCTCTGGCTGGGCAGCTGGGAAGGGGTGGCCTAGAGCTGCTCTCTCCTCCTGCTGCAGCCACTGGGGACCAGCTGTTCGCATCTCTCTCTGCTCAAGGCACCTTTACGGGCCATGGGGTTGCCACTGAGGAGCGGAGACACAGTTCCTCGTGAGCTGTGGACCATGAAGTGTGGGACGACCAGCCCAGCGCTCTCCTGACAGTGAAAAGGGCACACGGACAGAGTTGTCCCAGGAGAACCAGCAGCAAGACCAGCCTGTGGGGCCCCGCGGACAGCCCATGGGTCCAGGCCTGGGGACGCGTCTTCGGAGGGTGGGGTAGCCCTGAGAAGTACACATGTTTGCTTCAAAGGGCCAACGTGGCTGCCCACCCGCTTGCCCGCCCGCCTGCCCTCTTTTCTTTTCTCAGAGCGTGGAGATTTAACGTTGAGTCCTTTCTTCCCCACCCAGCCCTCAGCAGGGATGTCTGTCCACAGGGACCCTGGAGGGTGTGTTGCGTTGTCCTGGGAGCCAAGGACCAGGTGCCGCGCTGTGGCTTGCCTGCGGGGAGGGAACAGTTGCCTGTCCGGTGCAGAGCTGGTGCGAGGCGTGCAGGGCTTGCTGTGTTTGGGCGGCAGCAGTTACTGAATCAGGCTGGGCCCAGTGTACTCAGGGCTGGCGCCCAGGACATGGCTGTCCCTGCATCTTGGGACCCATTCCCTCTCTTCCTGCGACAGGCCCCTGTGATTCTGGAATCCACCACCTCCCTGCAGCATTTCCCCTCCCCACCTGTCTCTTGGCTCCTGGCCCCTCCCGCCTCCAGCCCCGTGAAGTTGCCGCATGTCACGAGTTCCCAAGATCAGGTTGATGTTGCCCTCCTTCCTAAGTCAGAGGCAAATCCCGTGCCTGGCATGTGGGGCAGATGTGGGCCAAGAAGGTCTGGGTCTGAGAGGTGCAGGTGCATGCCTGCCGCATGGATGAGCAGTAAGGAGTGACTCCCATGCCCTCTCGCTCAGGGTCTCCAGTGATTAGAAGACTTGGGGGCAAGAATGGGTGACCCAGAACATTTCTGAGTTGACCAAAGCATGCTGTCTTGGGGGTTCTCCCGTAATATTTTTCTGCCCACTGAACTTTTCAGAGGGAAACGCTGGCTCACGCTCCTGCTTAGGGAGTTGAGATTCTAGTCTGCCCATGAGAGCTGCCTCAAAGTAAAGCCAGTGGGTTGATTGCTCTCAAAAGTCACAACTGGGCTGTGTAGGAATAAGTACTGGGCCCCTGCACCGCCTCAAACCAGGATACACCCTGGTTGGATAACCTTGCCCCTTTCTGTGGCTGTGTAGAGAGTACATGTCCCTGGCTAGCTGAGGGACGGGGCTGGGGCCAGCGACAGCTCCTAGGAGCATGTGATCATGGGAGGGGCAGTTCACAAAGGGCGGTGTGTGATTTCCCCACAGCAGGACTTATCAGTACCTCTGAGAGGCTAACATACACGGCCGCCCTTGCAGGAGAGGTGGAGCTTGCAGATTTCATGCAGCAGTTTTGCTGTGAAAACATTTGTCAAGAGGCAATTTGTGGACTAGTGCTCCATGGAACCCAGTTTGGCAAAGGCTGCTCCACAGCCCAGTCAGCACACAGCTGCTGCAGAGAAAGCTGAAACCCAACTAGGACAAAGGGCGTGATAAGGAGCATGGCATCCAGCTGCCTTGGGCTGTGACACCAAACCTTGCTTGTCTCGGGGGCCTGTGAGGTCTACCCCTTCCCCAGCCTGCACCCCACTTGTTGCAGCGGCCTCACTGGCTGGTCTTCCAGCTCCTTGAGGTCCCTCCCAGCCATGAGCCACTGTACAGCATCTTCCTGCCTTCCCCGTCTGAGCCCGGTCACCCTAATGTCCTCCATTACGTCTCCTTCCATGATGCATGCTCGTGGAGACCAGGCCCCCAGTGCAGCCCCCATCAAGGTCCACACGAGCTCACTGATGGCTGTGTGATGCACTGTCTGCTCCATGTCTGTCTGCCGCATATACCTGTCAGCTCCTGGAGGCAGGAACCGCATCCCTTGACTCCCTGGCACTGCCTGGGATCTGGGAGAAACCCACAAACATTTGTAAGACACGTGAATGAGTGCCACTGCCTTTGGATGGTGATGTGTGACACATGACACGTCACCACTGGTCACGTGTCAGCATGGGGGCCCACGAGGAGGTGCATCGCATGGCCCACAGCATTGCTGACCACTGACCCAGCCAGTTGGAGTGACCGTGAGTCTAACTGGGCAGGCAACAGAAATGCATCGAGGGTCCCTGTGCCGGGCCTGGGAGCTCCAGCCACTGGCACCTTCGGGGATGCGGCAGACCAGCAGGGCTGGGGGCCACCTTCTCGAATTTGTCTGCTTCTGTGGGCAATTGATTTCAGTGGATCGCTATGGAATGACCCAGACAGCACATAATTCTGTTGTGATGATTTAAACTGTGCAGGGGCAGGAATGGAAAACCCAGGTGTGTTGGGGTCAGCTGATAGGGGCTCTTGAGGCTGACCCAGACCACCCAGGGTGGAACCCGCCAGGGCCACGAGGGTGCAGTGGGGAGGGGTAGGACCTTCCCAAGCTTGCCCTGGTGTGGCTATGAGAGGCATTCGAGATGCATTGAGTGATGATTTGCCCAGCAGCCGCACCCTGAGGTTCTTCATCCCTCATGCCCTAATGGGCCAGGAGAGAAGCCACTTTGCTGTGAGCTGCCATGGTGATAGGGCTTGCTGTAGCCCTGGTCCACCCAAGGCTGGCCATCAAGATGGCCCCCTGTGTTGACACCCTACCAAACTGGCCTTGGGACCGTGGGCATGAGGGATGCCACGTGCTAAGCCCCATGCCCAGCCCTCTGGGGTCTGGAGCAGGAGCCCTGAGCTGACGCCTGGCCCTGCAGCAGGACCCCAGGCCCCCTCCTTCCCCCTCTGAACGGGGAAGATGTTCCTAGAGAGGTCAGGACTGGGGGATCAGTCCTGAAGACAATGCCCAGATGTTTCCTTGGCTTCTGGTTAGAAGGAAGCTGCGGCGCGGAGGAGTAATTTCCACACTGGGTGCTGTGCGGCCAGCTCCTGTGCCCTCCTCCTCACTACCACCCCAGGTGGTGGGTGCAGACGCTGAGTCCTGGGGTGTAGGGATCAAAGGAGCTGCCCAAGGTCGCAGAGCGGGCAGTAGGGGTGCCATGGACATGGTGGTGGTGGGGGAGGGTGTTTCAGCCCTGTCTACCTGATCCCAAACCATTCTTTTCCTTTTCCAGAAGCAGAATGAGGTTGGACCTGTGTTAGGGGCATGGAGGCCAGCCTGGGAAAAGGCTGCGCTGCAGATAACCCCCTGCCCACCCCCAGCCCTGATTGCATCACGCCTCTGACTCAGCCCAGGGTTTATGGCCCAGAAAAAATTAGCTGGTTTCTCCTCCAGCCACATGCAATTAATTTATGCTTAAATTAGCAAGGCTGTTTACTGAGACCTGCAGAATGTCCAAAAACCTTTTTATAGCTGAGAAGGTTTAATATTTTGTAAAATCATGTGATCACAGGGTTTCAAAGTTATTTCATGAAAAGTGTGAGTCAGAAACTCCAAACTTGTTAAACTGGTGAATTCTAAACCTGGTAAGACACTTTCTGTATCTTTTAAGTGTGAGAAACCGGCAACCTACCCCACCCCCTAATTACTTGGTTGCATTGAAACTGAAGTGGTTCAAATGGAAATTCAGCCATTCAAATTCTGCCCAGATCTAGGTATAATTTTTCTTTTTTTTTTTTTTTAGAAAATTTATTTATTTTTGAGACAGGATCTCACTCTGTTGCCCAGGCTAGAGTGCAGCGGCATGAACATGGCTCACTGTAGCCTCAACCTCCTGGGCTCAAGCGATCCTCCTACCTCAGCCTCCCACGTAGCTGGGACCACAGGTGCATGCCACCACACTTGGCTAATTTTTTAATTTTGTGGAGACAGGGTCTTGCCATGTTGCCCGGGCTGGTCTCGAAATCCCGGGATCAAGCAATCCTCCTGTCTCAGCTTCCCAAAGTCTGGAGTTACAGGCATGAGCCACAACGCCCGGCGCTATTTTTTAGTGATATGTAACATATGTAGAGTGACATGCACAAATATAAAAGGTGTGGCTTGATGAAATTTTACAAAGGTTATCACCTTTTCTAAAAACTACAAGTACCACTGAGATCAACATACAGAACATTTCCCACGTCACGTGAGATTTCTTGTGTCCCTTCCAAGACAATATCTCTCCTGTCAACCTTCACTCATAGTGTATGAGCTTTGCTTATTCTGGGACTTCATATAAATGGAATCATATGCTATGCAGTCTTTTAGGTCTGGCTTTTTTTTTTCTTTTTTTTTTTTGACAGTCTCGCTCTCTCACCCAGGCTGGAGTGCGGTGGTGTGATCTCGGCTCACTGCAACCTCTGCCTCCCGGGTTCAACCGATTCTCCTGCTTCAGTCTCCTGAGTAGCTGGGATTATAGGTGCCCGCCACCAAGCCTGGCTAATTTTTGTATTTTTAGTACAGACGGGGTTTCACCATATTGACCAGGATGGTCTCAAACTCCTGACCTCAGGTGCTCCACCTGCCTCGGCCTCCCAAAGTGCTGGGATTCCAGGCACGAGCCACCACGCCCAGTCGGTCTGGCATCTTTTATTAGACTTTGTGTCTATGGGATTCATCCCTGTTGTTGCCTGTAGCAGTGTTTTTTTTTCTCTTTCATATTTATGCCTGACACTATATAAAGATATTACAGTTATTTTATACATTTTCTTGTCGATGGCCATCTGAATTGTTCCTGATTTGGGGCTGTGCTGAATAACTCTGCTATGGACGTGCTGGTCCATGTCGTGGGTACACTCTGTTTACCCATGTTTATTACACAAAGTCTTCCAAAGCGATCTTACCCATTGCTGTTCCCACCAGTAATGCACAAATGCTGCCATTCCTGCCTGTCCTCCCCAATACTGTGCATTCAGTGATTTTAAAACTTTAGCCAGATTGACGGATGTGTGAGGAGGAGGTGGCAATTTGAAATTACCTGTAAGTAATGATGCAGATCATCTTTTCGTGTGCTTTTTTTCACTTTAATTTTAGGTTTGGGAGTACATGTGAAGGTTTGCTGAATAGGTAAACTCATGTCATGGGGGTTTAATTGTGAAGATTATTTCATCAGCCAGTGTTCATTCTAGTGCCCAATAGTTCTATTTCCTGCTCCTCTCCCTCCTCTCAGGTGTAACTTTTCTATCCTGGTGGGGATGAGAAGGGTAGCTCAAACACTGTTGATTACCAGAAATGCCGGAGCAAGAAAGAAGGAGAAAAACCTGTCCTCTTGGACAATGGGGGCAAATACAGAGGGGGCCCTTCAAACTCTGCCCTTGACCGGTAGGAAGAGCCCTGGACTAGGGGTCAGAAGGCTCCAGCAGCCCCGGGAGCCCCGCAACTTTCTGAGCTGTAGTTTCTTCCTGGATAGGAGGAGAAGGGGCGTGTCCACCTGCTGGAGAGCTGCTGAGATCCAGGTGCACGTGGACCTTCCCTGGAAGGATGGTTCTGGATGACGATAGCTGTCGGTGCCCCCACTCATGAGCTGAGGGACACTGGGCACTCTGATCAGCCTCAGTCTCAGCCTGCTCATCTGTCAGATGGGATAAGATGACCCATTTCAGGGTGCCTAGAAGATTAATTGACATAACCCCCCAGAAGTGGTCAGAGGAGAGAGGGGTCAGGCGCTTGCACAGGGGCGTCGTGTCTGCACTGTGCGGCTGTAAGCACTTCTCCGCACACTGCATCTTTCTCCTGCATGTGGATGTGCATGTGAATTTGTGAGAGTCCCAGTCTGAGTGTGAGAGGCCGGGGATGAGATCAGGTGGTGCAAGGGGCTTGTCCTTGAGGCAGGAAGAGAAGCAGCTCGGGCTTAGTCAAAGCATCGGTGCCAGAAAGGGCTCCAGGTGTGACCATTCACCCTCAGCCCCTCCAGGACAGGGTCTGTGGGAGGATTGCACAGGGAGATGGGCCGTGTTTGTAACACCCACCATGAGGCACTCAGCCTCCTGGAATCGGGGGGCCAGAGACACAAAAAGCAGCAGCATTTGGGTCGGCACCTGCTCCCCACTCCCTGGTACCCAAGGGCACTGTCCAAAAAACAAGCCTGCCGTGGAGCGTGGGGTCTGGCGTCCACCCGTCCCTCCGCCCGAAGTTCTGCCTCTTCGGGTTCAAGCCAGAGGCACAGGCTGGTGCCCACAGGACTGGGTCAGGATTGGGCAGGGACCAGCTCTGGCAGCCCTGCCTCAGTGGCCACCAGCCAAGGTGGTCTCTCTCCTTCCTTGTGGTGACCCTATCCATCCCAGGGACCTCGTTGTCCCTCCCTGATACCAGCCTGGACCAGGGCCCCCGAGCTCCTCGGGGTTCATCCCCCAACTCCAAAGTTCGGAAGGCAAACTGTGTCACTGTTTCCCATCCCTGCCCCTCCCTGTACTCACATCCTGTGCTGCGTGGGCCACTCAGGGACCCCGGGAGGCAGACGCCAAGACAGGGTTCGACAGCAGGAGGATATGGGGTGGGGCCATGAAGGTGCCATGTGTCCTGGGGCTGCCGGAAGGAACCCACACACTGGGCAGCTTCAGGTCACTGAGCTTCGCTGTCTTCCAGGCTGGAGGCCCTGGTCCCCTGGTGCACCATCACGAAGGCGTGCCATCACGAGGGTGCACCGTCACGAGAGTGCACTGTCACGAGGGTGCACCATCACGAAGGCGTGCCATCACGAGGGTGCACCGTCACGAGAGTGCACTGTCACGAGGGTGCACCATCACGAAGGCGTGCCATCACGAGGGTGCACCGTCACGAGAGTGCACTGTCACGAGGGTGCACCATCACGAAGGCGTGCCATCACGAGGGTGCACCGTCACGAGAGTGCACTGTCACGAGGGTGCACCATCACGAAGGCGTGCCATCACGAGGGTGCACCGTCACGAGAGTGCACTGTCACGAGGGTGCACCATCACGAAGGCGTGCCATCACGAGGGTGCACCGTCACGAGAGTGCACTGTCACGAGGGTGCACCATCACGAAGGCGTGCCATCACGAGGGTGCACCGTCACGAGAGTGCACTGTCACGAGGGTGCACCATCACGAAGGCGTGCCATCACGAGGGTGCACCGTCACGAGAGTGCACTGTCACGAGGGTGCACCATCACGAAGGCGTGCCATCACGAGGGTGCACCGTCACGAGAGTGCACTGTCACGAGGGTGCACCATCACGAAGGCGTGCCATCACGAGGGTGCACCGTCACGAGGTTGCACTATCACGAGGGTGCACCATCACGAGGGTGTGTCTTCACGAGGGTGCACTGTCACGAGGGTGCACTGTCACGAGGGTGCACTATCATGAGGGTGTGCCATCCCTGTTCTCCCCATCCTGCCCAGCTTGTGGAGATGCTCAGGTGTGGTCACGTGCCCTATGGGACTCAGACTGCCCAAATCAGGTCAGGCTCTGTAGGAGCTCAGTCGGTTTCCCTGCTGGTGAAGGCAATATGGGAAGAGACACTTTCCTCCCAGGGGTCCTGGCCCCTGCTTCCAGCCCCTTGAGGGGCAACGCTGGGTAGTGCCATAGACGTGGCCTCACTTAGCGGGGTACACCGCATCTGGTAACTGCCGCCATCATGCACAGGGCTTGTGACTGCTGGGCCTTGGATGCATCACCCCATGAAGGGCTGAGCTCATGGGATGCTTGCTCCAGGAACCCCCCAGAGACGTCCGAGGAATGGAATGTGGGTCTGAGGGGGCCAGCCTGGATGCGGCTGCTCAGGCAGGACCAGCAGACTTCACATCCAGCGTGAACACTTTGGGGTGTGCAGGCAGTTAAGAGCCTTCCTGAAGCTCCTGGGGGGTAAAGAGAGATTGCTGTGGGAACTGGGGCCCTTGGCCCAGTTGTCTCCCTTTAGCTGGAAAACAGCATGGTCCCCATTAAAATGGAGATGGTGCATTTCACAGCCAGGGCCTTTGGGAGGCCACAGCCATAGAAAGTAGGCCTGTGGGGCTCATTCCAAATCCTTTCTTGTGGCATCTTTCCACTGAAGTAAAAAGAAGCCACCGGGGAGTGTTTTCCCTCCTTCTCACCATTTTCAATTCAGAGACTTGATTCTAAGGGACACAGATGGGTGGGCTAGGAGAGCCAGGCAGCTTCCTGGTGGCCCAGCCAGGTCAGTGCTACCTGCCTCTCCTGCCTTCTTATGGAGGTCATTGTACTCCTGAGGAGGGAGGTGGCATGGCCCTGCTGGCTGGAGGCAGGGAGAGGACCCCAGGCCATGTGAGTGCAGGTGCCTCTCCCCCAAGGGCCTGGATGGGGTCACCAGGTTCCATGTAGATGTGTAGCTGGAGGCCAAGTGTGCAGGCTGCAGGGCTGTGCCCATGGGCAGGGGAGGCTCAGGGCACCAGGAAGGTGTGCATGACCTCCCCTTGGGGTCTGCTCCTGAGCATGGCCGAGCCTCCCCAAAAGGCCTTTGGGTGTGCAGCCTGTGGCAGCCTGCTGGGGCCCTGTGTGTGCCAGGAGCAAGGGTTTGAGTTTCAGCTCACCATTGCTGCTAGTGGGGCCTCAGGGAAGTGGCTTTAATATTGTTAGGTCTGTCTCCTCATCTATAAACTGGGGATGACATTTTCGGGGTGCTTTGAACAAAGTAGCTGTGCAAATCTCATAGGCAGTAGGTGCTCAATGCTCCCTTCCTTTCCTTTCCACAAAAGCAGGTTACTAAGACCCAGTAAACCCTCCGGCCGGCGGCCGACAGCTGCTTTTGAGCCCTTGCTTCTTTTTCCCCTGTACAATTTGAATGTTCTGTGCACTGAAGGGGGACTCAGGGACCCGGCCAGTCAGCCTAATGCTGGGGCACAAGTGATGATTAGAATGCTATGATCCCCTGTCTTGTTTTGCAGACACCAGATTGGAGCCTTCATTGTGGCCTCCTCCAAATCCCCACGGGCACCTGGGAGGAGGGAAGAGGCACAGATTCACCCTGCAGAGAACCAAGAGAGCTGGGAGGCAGAGATGCCAGCATGGGAAACCCACCCAGGCAGGACCTCATGAAGCAGAGGACAGCATGCAGGTAGCGCTGGCCTGGCCGGGCCCTCAGGAAGCGACCTGGCTCTCCTAGCCCCACCGGTCTGTGTCCCTTGGAAATCAAGTCTCTGAATTGAAAATGTTGAGAAGGAATGAAAAACACTCCCGAGTGACTTCTTTTTTCTTCAATGGAAAGACCCTGCACAGGGACCCGGCTCTGAGCTGGTGACAGGACAGCCCACCCACCTGTCACCTGCAGAGATGCCCCCCTCCTCCCTCCTACACCCTCACTTCCTCCCATCTTCCCTAATCCAGCCCGAGCCGGCATCTCCCAGAAACTGCTCAGAAGAACTAGAGAGGGGTGCTGTTGGGAATTAGATAGTGACCGCAAAGTATATCTTCATCCAGAACCTCATAATGACCTTAGACCCCAAGGTCTTTCTTGGAAATCGGTTCTTTACAGATATAATTAGTTAAGGATCTTGAGATGAGATCATCTTCGGGCAGGTGGGCCCTAAATTCAATGCCTACTACCCTCATAAGAAGAGGAGAGCACACAGAGACACACAGGAAGAGCGCCCTGTGAAGAGGGAGGCGGAGATGGACGTGATGCAGCCACAAGCCAAGGAATGACTGGAGCCGCCAGAAGCTGGAAGAGGCAGAAGAACCCTCCGCAGAGCCTCAGGAGGGAGCATGAATTTCGCATGTCACCTTCAGAACTGTGAGAGAAGAAACGTCTGTGTTTTAAGCCCCCATCCTCTGTTTGTGATCATTGTTATGGCAGCCAGGACCCTTATGCAATTGGGGTCCAGGAGTGAGGCGGCCGGGCATTGCTGCTTAAATGTGGGTGCACCCAGCAGAGTGCTCACAGCTGTGGGGTGAAGAGGCTGGCATTGCAGAGCAGAAAGGCTCACAGGGGGGCTCTGATGGGGACACAAACTGGACTTGGAAATAAACGCACAAGAGAGGAGTGAAAGACAACATTGAGGCTAAAAAGGAGGATCAAGGATGTGGAAAATCCACGGTGGAGGTACTCCAAAAGCGTAATCCAAGGTGAAAGTGGAGGAGGAGGTGTCGGCTGGGGGCAGAGAATGAGGGGAGTGTGGAGCTCAACCATGCTCTTCAGCGCACAGCAGTGTAGCATCCTACCTGAGGGTAGGATTGGTGGATTCCTGCCTGGGTTCCATTGCTCAATGCTGTGTGACTTCAAACAAATCACCCAACCTCTCTGTGCCTCATGTGTATCATCTGTGAAAAGGGACAATAGCTGTTTTTTATGCTTCTTGTGAGGAGTAAATAAAAGGACAGCTGGTAAGGAGCTTAGAACAGTTCCTGGCAGATGGAAAGTATCCAAATAGATTTCATCTGTTAATATTAAGAGAACAGAAACAAAAGTCAAAGACATAATCAAAGAAAACTCCCCAGGCTGCAGAAAGGCAGTGCAGGCAGAGTTGGTCAGTGCACCACTGGGGGAAAAAAACACCCCAGCATGTATGGAATGACAAAGCGTAAAAACAAATGTGTGTATGTGTGCCCTGCACAACACCACAGAGCTACTATAAGCCAAGCTCTATGCATTACTGACTTGGAGTGACCATGTAATGTGCTGTTAATGGAATGAAACAAGTTGTGGGAAAAACACAGAGCACAATCCTGTTTATAAACATCTTGGTGCTCATGTCTCCTGCTGGACAGGTGTTGGGAGGCTCCCTGCAGGTGTCGCCTGTGAAGGGCTGAGTGAGGCATGGAGCCACTGTGAGTAGGTGTTCCTGTCCCTGCAGCACCTTATGGCTCAGAATCGCCTCATTTGATGCATAGAAGGTGGGAGGCCAGGTGCTTGTCCCCTACTCACTTGCAGAGGAGACTGAGTCCCTTCAACTCAGTGCTGGCTGGGAGCTGGGCAGGGGCTCCAGGTCCCTTCTCTGCCCCCTGCACACTGTGCCTTGCGCCTGATTCTCCTCAAGTTCCCGAGGAGACCCAGAGTTCCTGGGTGCAGCTTTGGGGCATCTGGGGCTCAGAGCTGTCCTTGTAACCAGGCAACACTGACAACTTTTAAACTGGTTTGATTACCCAGAAAAAACCAAATGTCCCATCTGATTCTATCGCTCTCATCATTGCAGGAAGCATCTGCCGTTGCCAGGCAACAGCTGGGTGCTGCACGTCAAAGGCCAGAGCCAGCCTGGCTTTTTGCACCCTGTACGCAAGCCCGAGCCACTAGCTTGTGTGACTGCGTGTGGCCGAGGCTCTGACCCTGTGCCCCGTGGACAAGGCTGCGGTCGGGATAACATCTCTCTCCCCAAGCTATAAAATCCCAACTCCCCGCCTCACTGCAGCTCCTCCATCAGAGGTCCCTGGAGGAAGCGCTTTCCCTGAATTATGCATTTCTCACTGACCTTTCCAACCCGCTGTGGCCTCTCCTTGCATTTCTGGCAGTGCTGTGACTTGCTGATTGGAGGAGGCTCGAGTCAGGGGTCAGAAGGGCCTCTGGGGATTATCCCGTCCAAAGCCTCTCACCAAGGCCTTTCACAGTATCTTCTTTTTAGCGCCAGAACCCTGTGTGTGTGCACGTGTGTGTGCACCTGCGTGCGCGTGTACGTGTGTGTGCACCTGCATGTGTGCACCTGCGTGTGTGTACGTGTGCACCTGCATGTGTGTGCGTGTGTGCACCTGTGTGTGTGTACGTGTGTGCACCTGCGTGTGTGCACCTGCGTGTGTGTGCGTGTGTGCACCTGCATGTGTGTGCACGTGTGTGTACCTGCGTGTGTGCACCTGCATGTGTGTGCACGTGTGTGTGCGCACCTGCGTGTGTGTGTGTGTGTGTGCATGCGCATGCCTGTTCTCCAGATGAGACCTTGGTGCAGAACCCTGGCATGTAAAGCAGATCAAGGAGGGGCTGGGCTGACAACTCGGGGAGGGGCTCCCGAGGCTTCACCCACCCAGGCCCACAGCTCCCTCCTCTCTCCCTGCCCTGGAGACACCTCTGGGAGGCTACTTGGGAATCCCTTGTCTAGTTCCATTGTCTGGTTTCACAGATGGGGAAACTGGCCCCAGACAGGAAAGTGCAATGCACTCACGCTTGGGGTGGAGCTGGGTGGCCCAGGCGTCCAGGTGTGTCCTGGTGGGTGGGGTGGTATGGGGTTCTTTCTGTGGAACAAGAGCTGGCCCTGGCAGGAAGAACTCTTCCCCAGGACAGGCCTCCTTCCAGGAGGGAGTCGTGGCATGATTGTGTGTGGAGAGCAGTGCTCCTCTTTCTCTTTGGTCTCGAGCACAGGGGAGACTCCAGGAAACGTGGTCTGGCATGAATCCAGGGATCAGGAGCAGAGAGTGCACGCTGACTGAGCAGCCTTCCATCTGTGGAGGAGCGACACGTTTCCCATTTCCCTCACTCCGCTTCTTCATCTCGGGGTCAGGCCTGGGTGCCTTGGGATCTGGAAGGCTAAGCACCAGTGCCTTAGCACGTGCTGTGCTCAGCCTGGAGCATTCTTATCCTGTCCCACCTGGGACGCTCACCTGTGTCTTTCCCGCCCTGGCTCAATTCTCCCTGCTCTGCAAAATGTTGGCCAGGTCTCCCCACGCCTTCCCAGGCTTCCCCGGGCAGCACCAAGTCACACCATGTGCTGTGATGTGATCTTGTCTCCCCAGCACTTCTTGAACCATCTACTGCCTTATGTTAAGTCTTTTCGTACCTGGGAGTTGCTCAAAGAATCTGGGGTGCAGAAGAATTGATTATTGCTTCTACTTATTATAGATAATTTTTTAAACACTGAAAATGATTTTGTTGGAGGCTTGGGCAGGGCCAGGCAAGGCATGCAAGGTGGTCTACATCCTCAGCAGCTTCAGGGCCCAGGCAAGTCCCTGCCTCTTGCCCAGACACCGAACGATCATGAATGTGGGATTGTGGGAACTCTGGGTGTGAGCTTTGAGGAGCCCTGCAAAGAGGAGAACACTAGAGCAGTCTTTGCTCCAGCCCTGCTTGCTCCTGCTCTCTCTGCCCACAGGGAGTTGCTGTCAACTCTCTGAATTAGCCATGAGTTCTCTCCTCCTGGCCTCTGCACACAGCTTCTCTCTCTCTAGAACACATCCTTTTCTTCCCCCATAATCCAGCCCAATCCCACTCATCTTTCAGTGTCTTACCGGGTCATTCCTTCTTCCAGGGAGCTGTTCCTGAGCCTCTCTGGGTGCACCCTACCCCTTCCCTGTCTGTAGTACCATAAACCTGGTGTACTGTGCGTGCTGTGGGGCTGTGTCTCTGCTGCCCTCGGTGTGCAGAGTCCGCTGGGTGAAGCTCTTCCTAGTTTCTAGCTCATCTTTGGGCAGGCTCACGGCTGTGATGGAAGGAATTAGTCAATTGGTTCACTCCCTCATTCCTCCATTTAGCCGTGTGGCCTGTCAGTGACCTGGGCAGCAGTCCCAGAGCTGCTCAGCTCAGGGTGGAGAAGCAGCCTGGGGAGCAGAGGAGGGGCTTGATTCTGCAGTCAGCTGCCTGGGCCCCAGTCCCACACCTGCTCCCTGTTAGCCACGTGATCCCAGGGAAGTCGCTTCACACCTCTGACCTCAGTTTCCCCAAGTGTGAATTTAGTTGCTTCATAGAATTGTTATGGGCATGGCAAGTGTTAATCAAAAGCGTAGTTTTAGAACTGAGCCAAGCTCAGTAATATGGAAGTATTAGCTATGATTAATTTGATTGTTTTCTAAAATGATTACAAAGCGTGGTACAGAAAGGTCAACTGATTTTCCCAGAGTCACAATCAAAAGATGTGTTTTTATTTATGTGGTGGTTTTAAAACAGTCTCAAATTTCTTTGAAACTTCTGCTATGGAGAGGTGGGGTCCGAATTTCCTCCCGTTGAGTGTGGGCTCTGTGGCTGCTTGATCAATAAAACATGGTGGGTGCTGGGGCAGCCTGGCCCAGACTGTAGAAACAGCAGCTTCTGTTTCCTGTCTCTGGGGGCACTTGCTCTGGAACCCAGCTGCCATGTTGGAAGGGAGCCCAAGCAGCCCGTGAAGAACTTCTGCGTGGAGCAGAAATGAGGCCCCAGCCCTCAACCTTGGCTGGTGCAGCTGCACCCGCTGGCCTGCCCTGTGCCTGGGCTGCTTTGGAAGGGGTCCTGCAGTCTCCAGTCAAGCCACTCATCTGATGCTGTGTGGAACAGGAGTGTCTGCACCTGCCGAGCTACATGGTAAACAAAAGAAATGCTGTGGCTGTCAAGCCTTTGGCTTCCAGGGTGGCTGTTATGTGGCAGTAGTCACTGGAGCACAGCTGCCTTAAGCATCACGTGAGAATCATTATGAATCCCAAATAGACAAATTCAGCCTCAGAGCCTCTCCCCTTTCCTCTTATTTGCCAGCCGTGCCCACCTCTAAACCGTCCTTCCCCCGTGGACCCATGCTGTGTGCTGTGGTGCCCGATGGCAGCCCCTCACCCACCTCTGGTCTCAGCTGGAGCTGTGTGCAGGCTTGTGCACCATGAGGCCCCTTTTCTGTCCCACGTTAGGATCCACCCTGGGCTGCATCAGCACAGTGGGTCAGAAAGGAGCCCCGGGGATGGGGCTGACATCAGGCCTGCCCTCCACCAAGGGCAGCAAGCAGGCGGGCTTCTCTTCCTGACCCCACAGGCCAGCATGAGACCTGGGAAATAGCAGGTGCTCTATAAATATGTGGCCAGATGGATTGAATGACTGAATGAATGGAAACCCCCAGCCTGGAGAGGCCTCTCACCTGGGTCTTATTCCACCAAAAGCCCTGGCCCTGCCCAAAGTGACCACACAGCTCCTGACTCGGAGCTGAGGCCCGAGGCCAACAGGTCAGAGGAAGAGGAAGTGGGGATCCTGAGGCAGCGAGGAGGGTGGCTTCTCCCCTAGCTTGCCCCTGAGTGACCCTCTCATGCTGCCCCTACCCTGACTGGCCACCAGGCTGCAGCTCCCCTTCCTGCCTCCCATCCCAACAAGCCCTTCCCCTGCATCCCTAGGTCAGACCTTCTTGGCCTCATATGGAATCTTGTCCCTGAGGGTCTCCTAAATGGCCCTGGTGGCCTGGGGAAGCCCCTCCTGTCCACTCCCCATGCTGCTGAGACCCACCTTCTGTCCACAGCTCTGAGCCTCCCGCACTTGCCTCTTTACCTCCTCACCCCCTCTGCCTCCCTCCCCGGGGAGCTCCACACCCCCGTCCTTCCACGCTCTGTACTCTCTCACCCTGGGGGTTTGCACATGCTGTCCTTCTGCCTGCAACACTTTTCCCTGCCCCAACCTGGAAAATGCCTAGTTATCCAGCAAGAGTGACTCAGGCATCCCCTTCGGAACTCTCCAAACAGGTGAGGCTCTGCAGGAACACCCATAGCCCCTCATGCAGTCATTCATTCATTCAACAAATACCTACCAAGCACTACTGAGTGCCAAGCTGTGCCTTAGGCCCTGGGGAGTTGGTGGGGGGGTGGACAAACCCTGCCTTCTTGTAACTATTAAGAGCAAACCGCCCTGCCCAGCTGGGTTAGATGCCTTTCCACACACCATCTTTGCTGGATCGCCGGCCCCTTCGATCTCCAGGATCTTTCCTCCTCAGACTGAGAGGCACTTGGGCAAGGTCCTTCCTGATCCCCGCACCAAGGCCACACATGGGGGCTGCCTTTTGAAAGGCGGATGTTCAGATTCCGCCTGGGGAGCCTGTGGTCTGGGCTGAGCCCCCTGGACTCTGGTGCAGGTGTTGGGAGGGGGTGAACATCTGGAGAAGCCCCTCCTGGGCACAGTGGCCCCCGCCCTGTCCCGGCAAGCTGGGCACTCCAGGACCCTGCATGGGATCCTGGCTCCGCTGTCCACCCTCCACCCAGCTCAACAGACTCTGCCCCGACATGTGCGGGACCCCACCTCGTGCATTCTCCTTAGACCTGAGCCCCTGTCCCTCTTCGTAGGTGCCCGTGTGTGTTGGTTGCAGGAATGGAGGATGCACGAGGTTAGAGAGGTTTTCAGAACATGTAGCCTTCTGTGATGACACTAACTTGATTTCTGTCTTTCACTACCAGGTTGCCCCAGGCTTTTCCTGCCTCTAATCTTCCCTTTTTGAAAGAATCCTCAAAAGCACATGCGTTAAAGCCTTCTCAAAGCTCCCACATGATCTTGAGCATCAAATGAACATGAATGGCGGCCAGATCCACAATGGAACTGGCCTGCCTCCTCCATGGAACCCCTGCCTCTGCAAAGGAGCTGGAGCCCACCTGCCTGCACAAAAGAACCTGCCGGCCTCCACAATGGAGCCTGCCTGCCTGCCTGCACCATGGACCCCACCTCAAGACTTGGCTTCTGGCCTCTCTCCTCTTGACGCTAGGCTCTGGACTTGGGGGACATCCTGAGCCTGCTAATATCAGGGTACAGGGACAAATCTCAGTGGACCTTACCAGGAGGTTTCTATTGAGAAATAAATGTGGAGACAGGCGGCATCAGCTTATCTCTACAGAAGGCTGGATGGGGCCACCAAACCCTCCTCAAAGGTCTCAAATTCCAGCTGTTAGTTGTGGCGCCCTGCAGCTGAGCTGGGATGGTGTCGATGTCCCACCAGGCTGCAGCAGCAAAGGAAGGGGTGTTGCCACTGCTTCATGCTCTGCTGACCTGGCCTCTTGCTTGTTTTTTATTTTATTTTATTTTATTTATTTTTTTGAGATGGAGTCTTGCTCTGTGGCCCAGGCTGGAGTGCAGTGGCATGATCTTGGCTCACTGCAACCTCCGCCTTCCAGGTTCAAGCAATTCTCCTGCCTCAGCCTCCCAAATAGCTGGGATTACAAGCGTGCACCATCGCACTCGGCTAATTTTTGTATTTTTAGTAGAAACAGGGTTTCACAACGTTGGCCAGGCTGGTCTCAAACTCCTGACCTCAGGTGATCTGCCTGCCTCATCCTCCCAAAGTACTGGGATTACAGGTGTGAGCCAGTGCACCCAGCCCCCTTGCTTGTTTTGAATGGTGTAGTCTTGTGTGTTCTCCTGTTTACAGTGGGAAATCGGACAGTGGGTCAGAGATGAACAAGGAGTAGGCACTGGAAGGACCAAAAGAGAATTATTTGAGTCAAAGCCCCAAGTGATGACATCATCATCACCACCGTTATTATCACTGATATCTACCGAGGGTGTTCTGTGTGCCAGACATTATTTTAATTGCATAATGCACCATCTCATCTAATCTACAGCACCCTAAGTGGTGAGTTTTGTCGTCATGCCTATTCTGCAGATGTGAGAACTGACACTCAGACAGTTGGGGAACTTGCCCAGGATTGCACAGATGATGAGGGAGGGGTACAGGCAGAATTTGAAACTGGGCAGGATGATTCCGGAGCCTGTTGTCCACCATGCTAGGGCAGAAGAGTGGCATTTTCCAGAGCAATCAGGAATCCATGGCGCAGGTGCAGAGCAAGGTGGTGCGGCAGAGGCATATTGCAGGCCTGGCCGTCGGCTCAGAGCAGGAGGAGGTCACAGAGCAGCCCTTGCTGCCTGTGGTAAGCAACTGAGGAGGTCACAGAGCAGCCCTTGCTGCCCGTGGTAAGCAACTGAGGAGGTCACAGAGCAGCCCTTGCTGCCTGTGGTAAGCAACTGAGGAGGTCACAGAGCAGCCCTTGCTGCCCGTGGTAAGCGACTGGTGCCAGGTCACCCAGTGGCAGTGGCAGTGCCTGGCTAGTGTCTGGGCCTCCTGAGCTCCACAGAAGCCTGATGCAGAGAGACCCCTGATCCTCAACCAACTCCCACTGCCCAGTCTCTGATTTGCTCAGAAACTTGCAGAGTCAGCAGCTATCAGCCACCAAGTTGTAATTAACTCTTCCTGGAGTCATGAAAAACTGCCGTTTCCTTGTTGGCTTTTAGGTCCAGTGTAAACAGCCCTTCCAGAGCCTTAGTCCAAGTCTTGGAAACCCTAGAGAGAAGCAATGGGGACCCTCGGGGAGCAGAGGGTTCCTTCGTGATGATCCTCCACTGCCTCAGGTTATCAAACAAATCCCCATCCAGGTTATTTTCATCTGCCGGCTCCTGTAGCCTGGGTAGTGAGACCCCCAGGTGCACTTCGGGAGATCTTCCTGCAGGGTCTAGAGGGAGGACCTCTCATTCAGCAAGAAGTGAGCCCAGGCCCCGCAGCCTCTCCCTGAGAACTTGGCAAGGTCCACATGGGCTGGGCGGTGGGGAGGCTGGGATTCTCTCCAAGATCACCCAGATTTCTTTGCATAATGTTAGGTGGTGATGGAGTAGGGTCCTGAAAACCAGGGGTGCTGATGGCTTCATCCATACAATGGGTCAAATTGTCCCCCGGCACCCCCAGATCTGTCTACGTCCTCATCTTCAGAACCTGTGAATGTGATTTTCTGTGGAGAAGGATCTTTGCAGATGTAATTACATTAAGGGTCTTGAGACAAGGAGATCATCCTGGATTAGCCAGGGGAGCAAAAATCCAATGAAATGTATCCTTGTAGGAAAGCAGAGGGAGATTTGAGAATACAGAGAAGAGAAGACACAGGAGTGGGGGCCATGTGACCAGGGAGGCAGAGCTCGGAGTCGTGTGGGCTCAGATTCTCCCCTAGAGGCCTGCGGGGAGCATGGCCTTGCCAGATTTCCAGCTTCCAGCCTGCAGGATGCTGAGACAGTAAATCCTCACCGTTTTAAGCCACCAAGTTTGTGGTGATCTGTTACAGCAGCTTCAGTAAACACATACAACCTGCATAACTGGGTGCCTGGTAAGTAGGACTTTATGTAAATCTCTGTCATTGAATTCACATTATCCTTAATTTTTTTTTTTAATTTGAGATAACTGTAGATTCACATGCAGCTGAAGAAACACTACAGAGTGATCAGGGTGCCTTTCACTTTGTTTCCCCTGAGGTACTGTCTTAGGTAACCACATGACAAATTATAGCCATGAACTTGACCTCAGTACCATCCACACACACAGTTCGGATGTCACCAGTGTCACACGCACTCACCTGTGTGTGTGTTTATCTCTGTGGCACTTTACCCCCTGGTGTAGGTTTGGGTAGCCAGCACCACAGTGAAGGCACAGAACCGTCCGTCCATCTGCAGATCGCTGGTGCCGCCCTTATTAGCCACGACTAGCTCCTTGTTCCCCTCACACCCCGTGTCTGCTAACCCCTCCCTAGCGCCATCACTTTGTCATTTCAAGAACGTTATGTCAAAGGACTCATGCCAGTTGTCCTTATTTTTAGTAGAGACAGGGTTTCACCAAGTCGGCCAGGCTGGTCTTGAGCTCCTGACCGCAAGTGATCCAGCCGCCTCAGCCTCCCAAACTGCTGGGATTACTGGTGTGAGCCATTGCGCCTGGTCCACTAATTTTTATTTTAGCCATTCTGACAGGTGTGTGGCTATATCTCACTACAGTTTCAATATAATTAGTTTTTTGTTTTTCTTTTAAATCTTTCTTCTTTATTCAACTGTTGGTCTTCCTGGGGAGCAACCGTGGCTTATTCTTTTCTGACCATACTCCCCAGCTTAGTGGCAGTTTATTCAATTTTATGTTTAATGTCAATGTTTAAGGGTAAACAAGGCCAGACTGGACTGGCCACCAGGTCCCTTAGAGTCTCTCTGTAAGACCTCTGACTCTGAGAAGTGTGCACTGATCCCTGTGACAGGCAGCTGCAAAGGAGAAAAACAGGCGAGGCTCCGTGAGTCGGCTGGGTGCCAGGTGAGGTGACACTGAGAGCGTTATGTGGGTGGCTGCCTTCCCTCCTCTCGCTGGGTAGATAGTATTTTACCCCAGTTTTATAGATGAGGAAAGGGAGGCAAAAAGAGGTGAAGTACAATAAGCTATGGTTTATAACGTTGAGTTGCTTTCACTTTAGTTAAGGAGATGAGCACATTAACTATTGAAACACGCAAGAGATCATGGCACAGGGTTTGAGAACATCACTGGCGTGGTACTAGGGCCTCTGGAACAAGGTTGCACAGAGGCGGGGGCAGTGTGCCTGTCCTGTTCTTGACCTTGGGAAGGACGGCTCCTGCTTTTTTGCCTGTAGTATGGAGATGTAGCCCTCCAATATCAGCCCTTCTTGCACTGGAAAGCTATACATATTCCTGAAGTCTTAGCTTGACCTGCATCCATAAGTTTTGACAGACCTTATATCAAATTTTTGATATGCTATAGCTTTTTCATCATTTTTCAGTTCTGAGAATTGAAAAATTCTAAAAATGTCATTAAAGTTGAATTCATGACAACTGGGGCATTTATTTAGAAATGTGGTTTTACATTTCCAAATTAAATTTACTATAGATTTCTAACATTATCGGATTTATGGTAAGAAAAAGTAGTCTACTTTAAACTGATTTTTAAAAAATTTGTGAAAATTTGATCTAGTATTGGTGGACATTCTTATAAATGTTGCATATGTACTTGGGAAGAATGTATATTTTCTAACTGTTGAGTGTAGGATTCTATATATTTTCATTAGATCTAGCTTGCATTATTCAGAGTTTTTACACTGTTGCTAATTCTGTGTTTACCTTTACAATTACTGAGCGAGGCATATGAAAATTTACTATGATGGTGGATTTATCATGTATTCTCTTTGAATTCTACCGGTCCCAGTCTTACAGATCTTATGGTCATGTTATTAGGTTTATTTTGTTTAGAGTTTTTATGTCTTCCTGGTGAACTAAGCTTTTGTCATTCTTTGGTAGTGACTCCTTTTATTTCTCATAATATTTTAGCCTTCAAATATATGGAAAAATAAATTCGAAGGCTAAAATACTAATATATTTGTCTTTATATACATATATAATATACACATATAATGTTTGTCTGACATATGTTTTACAACTTTTTATTCACATAAGTTTTAAATATCTCTAAACAGCATAAAGCTGGATTAAAATTAAAACATTGGATCTGACAGTTTGATTACCTGTTAAATTTTGCCCATTTATATTTTTTGTGATTGCTGATACATTTTAAATTATTTTTTCCATCTTATTTTGTGATTTCTTTTTGTTCTAAATATCCTATATTTTTCTGCCTTATTTTGAATTGATTACATATTTAAAATCCATATTCTGTCCTCTGTCTTTCAGAATTAGACAAAACACAATCTATGTTTATCCCTCTGATGGTGACCCTTAGAATTTTAGCATACAAACTTAACTCAGGATCTAAACTTAATTGAAAGACCTACAGCCCTCCTGAACAATTTAAGGAGCTGAGAATATCTTTTACTTCATCATATTGCCAATAGTCTTACTGATTATTGCCAATAGTCTTATTGATGTTTTATTTCTGTCCTTTGCCCAATTAGGATTTATTGTAATGTAACTTTCATGTCAATGTTTATTTAGATTTCTCTATATTTTTATTCTTTTTGCATTGCTTTTTCTTGTCACTAAGCATCTTTGTTCTAGAATTATTTTCCTTTTTTCCTAAACAGCTTCCTTTACCGTTTCTCTAGTGATGGGACTTCTGGTGGCAAAATCTTGCAGTTTCTATTTAAGAGTCTAGAACGCGGAACATGTGACTGGGTATAAGGAGCCATGGGACTGGTTGGATAGATGAGAGAAGTAACTCTCCAGTGACTGTTACCCTGAGGATTATCTAAGGGCACTGTAAGCACTTGAAAGAAGGGATGGATTCCTTCCTCCCTGGAATTCCCAGTCTGTGCTTGACAGGCCAGTGGAGAGACCACTGGGTACCGGTCTCCGCCACCCTTCCAAACATGTTCAGGGTGAGGGTTATCTAAAGAAAAGATTGTAATCTGGCTCTTCCACACAGCGGGGACTCCTCTCTACTCTCCAGGGTGCTGAGCTGAATTTCTCACTCCTTAGTAAGTTCATCTGATCTCTTGCAGGCCCCACCCTGATTTTGGCTTCTGGTGCCCAGTCTCTTGCAGACCAGCTCAGGCACTGACCATGTGAGAATTCCTGAGGCCCAAGTACAAGTCCTGGCCCTACCTTTAATACCATCACTGACCAGGAACGACTCTCGGAGGCTTTCAGAGCATCTTGTTCCTAACCCACTCGAAGGAAGTCATCTCCTGGGTGGTTTCTGGGCCCCCTTTGACCTTGACTCCCCATGTGTCCACTTTCTGGGTTTATTAGTCCCTTCAGCATGAAGAAGCAGACTGGCCCAGACCTGTATCTTGAAGGTGATTCTAGGTAAGAGCATTAGATTGAAAGGACATTGGTGAAATCCTGTAAACTGAACCCAGAGTGTTCAACATTTTTGTCCTTCATGAAGACTTCCATGAATACAATGAAGATAGAAAAGGAAAAGCTTGAGTTGTTTGAAATCATGTAATGTAATTGTCTTTCCCAGAAACTGACTGTCGTTTTCTCTTACGCACAGCGGGTTGAGGTATGGAATATGAATTGGATGAGATGTTTATCTCTGATGAATACATGTTGACTGGTGTGAGTAATTGCTGCCTAGGAAAAGGACTTTAATCTCCTTCATACCTCCTGGTAAATTCTGCTGATTTAGTAGGAGGAAGGAAAATTTAGAGACAATTGGGTGTGTTGGAAATCAACTTGGTCAGCACAATAGCCCAGAAGTCAAGAATTGAGGAGTATTTCCAGGCTTACCATTGACTCTCTTGGATCACATCAGTTAATAATTTCTATTACTACTCCGAGGCACTCATGAGCAGCAGAAATCACCTCTGTCAAAATAGCTCTGTGAATGAGGACCCAACTTTTGCCACCCGTGCCCTTGGTCCAATTTTAGGAAAGGAGGGCTTCACTCTTGTGTGAAGGGAAAAAAAGGCCCTGCTGTGCTATTAGAGACCTGGATTTGAGATTCACTTGAGCCCTAGCTCCAGGACCAAGGGAAGCCACTTATTCTCAATCTGAATACATTTTTAAAACACTTCTAGCCATTTTTAGTAGAAATACATTTATTTTATGATACATTAAACCTTTTTGTTTTGGATAAATTGAGAAGGATGAATAGTGAAATGGATATGCCACTTGCAGGACAACTTTGTGGACACAATACCTAGTAATTTTTAGAACAGATGCTTCTAATTGAAGTATGAGAGAGTGCTCAAATGGCAAGGGAAATCTCTGAAATGATGAAACCTCTGTGTAGCCACCACCTACATCAAGAACCAGATCATTGCCAGGAACCCAGAAGACTTTTTTCATGCCCTTTTCAGTTCCCACCTCCCCACCACACCCTCAAAGATAACCATGATTTTGCCTTTGAACAGTTGAACCCGCTTTGGGTGAATGGCATCACACATTGCATATTCTCTTAACTCTAGTGGTTTTCACTTAGCGTTTTGTTTATGAGATTTATCTGTGGTGGGTGTAGCAGCTGCTTGCCAACTGTGTGTTTCCATGAAATGGGCACAATAGCCCTTACGGATAGAGTTCTGCTGGGGATTGGGCTGGGGAAGGCACAAGAGGCAGGGAGAGGTGGGCTTGCAGACACACGGGATGAGCATGATTGTTCTTCAGCCGAGGGTGCTCAGTAACCCGCAATCCTAACTCACACAGACACTGGAATTTAAGCCTCAGTATTAAGGCTTTTAAGACTCAACCAGATCCTTCATGCTCCAACTGGCTCATCAGGAAGTTCAAAGCAGATTTTTCCAGCATGCGCAGAGGACTCTGGGAAAACTTCCAGGATTCCTGAACCAGGCGGAAACTTCAGAGCTGTCAGACACTGCTGCGCCTCCTCCTGCTGCTGCCTGGCTGCTGAGATTGGTGCATCTGGATGAATCTGATGTGTATGTTTTCATTCCTTTCCTTCCAGAACCCTTGGTAAAGAAAGTACACAGAGGGATTCATGAGTGCTTGGCCAACTCCAAGGTCCTGGGAGGACATGAACCAGTGACTTTGAATGTGATGCTGAGCCCAGCAGGGAGCCAGTATGACTCTCCCCAAATCACAAGTGAGACTCAGAGGCCCCACTGGGCTCCCACATGGACTCAGGCCACCGTCTTTGCTTAGAGGACGCAGCAGAAAGACTTGGCTCATTTTCCAGGGGCAGACTTGGAGAGTTCTGGCAGGTCCATACATTTCAACTCCCTCCTCCCACCACAGCAGGCCTGCTCTTTTATGTATCCAATGGGAATATTTTTCATTATCTTCCCTCTCAATTTAATTAATCCACATTCCGTAATGAACCTTGAAATTTCATTAAACACATCATTACTAATCAGCACAGAGCTGGTGGTAGTTGGCATCTTCTTGCAGCCATGCAGGATGTTTGGCTGTGCCAGGTGCTGTCATCTGACTCTGGGCCTGGGGACTCCCTCCTTCTCCTGCAGAGCTAGGGCTCAGGACCATTCCTGAGTGGCCAGGGTGGCTCTGGCCAGGATGCTACACTGGCCCCTCCCGCAAGGCTGGGGAGGTTGGTCTTGCAGTGGGCGGCTGTACGGCCTTTTGTGGAATCGTGGTGGCTCAGTAGAGGCTGTGAGGATGACGGTGGATGGTGTCTCATGAAAGCAGGTGTGGATGACATCACAGCAGTGTGGGGGGATTCCCACGATGCCCTTCTCTGAGACTCAGTTTCTGAGGGTATCAGCTTCATCAGCTCTCTCCTACTCCCTCCTATAACAGCACCCATTGGCCATGATGCCAGTGGGTCTGGTGTCACGTGGGCACAGGGGAGGTGCTGGCACCGAGTGAGAGCGCCTGTGAGTGGTTGGGGCTATTCCTGGCGGGCCCACAGCTGCCTCCCCCGTGTTTCCTGTACCACTTCCTGCCTCGGCCACCATCTTTCTCCAGTTGTGAACATGTGGCCCAGAGACAGCCACCTCCTGGCAAGCTCTTCCACTCCTTGGCCCATTTCTTCCTCCCGTTTTCAACCCTGGATGAAACCCCAGCCCCAGGAGAAGCCACCTCTTCCCCTTCCCTGGAGTCGTTCAGACTCCTGGCCATAAGCCTCAGTGGGGCCGCCTGCCCTAGGCTCATGGGTCCCTGCGGGGTGTCTCCTGTACCCTCCTCCTCCCCTCACACTTTCCCCTCCCTCAGGTTCAGAGGTGCTCCCCTCCTCTTTCTCTGAGGAGATGGAAGCTTCCAGAAGCCCCTGCATTCCTCCTGTCCTCGATCTGCAGGCCTGCCCACCGCCTTCCCTCCTGTCACCTGGAAGGAGTGTGACAGCCACCAAGGCCACCCTCTGCCGTCCGGAGCCCAGGCCCCTCTCTTCCTTTCCTGAGAGCATGGCGCTGGCAATCATCTCTGGTCTCTTGTTTATGGGGTTACCCCCACCCTCGGACAGAGACAGCGACGCCTACCTCCCAGGGAAAAACGCCTGCCCCACATCACCCTCCAGTTAGGACCCCTCCCCAGCGCCATGCCCCTGCCCTGAATTCTGTGTCCAGCCCCTGCTCCCTGTGGCTTCTGTCCCACCCCCCAGCCTTCCATGGAAACTTCTCTGCCTGGGGACTTCAAAGAGCCACATGTGACAAAAGCCGGCAGCTTTCCCAACTGTGACCCAGCCTCTCAGAAGCACCCTCCAGAACCAGCCCTGCCTCCTCGGCTCCCCTGGCCCCGTGCCCTTGGTGGTCCTGCACACTTCCAGCCTTCTGAGTTGGACCTAAGGTTTGGACAGAGCCCATCTCCCTCTCTCCCAGGATTGATCCCTGTCCAGTCTCCACCTCTGCCTGGACATGTCCAGGTGCTGCCCTCCCTGCCCCGTGGGGGCCACTAGCTGCTCTCACAG
Source organism: Homo sapiens (assembly GCF_000001405.40). Taxonomy (NCBI): domain Eukaryota; kingdom Metazoa; phylum Chordata; class Mammalia; order Primates; family Hominidae; genus Homo; species Homo sapiens. The sequence goes on from NC_000002.12 coordinate 239,546,378, forward strand.
TCCTGACACATTGAACAATTCCTTCCTCCAAGTGTGGCCCTGTTGGGGAGAATGGTGGGCGGGAACCTGTGTGACTCCCACTAAGATTGGGGTTCTAAGCCTGATTTTAAGGCTCTAATGAAAGTGGTAAAAGAAAATCCATTTGCCAACAATTTCAGGGGCTTCCCAATCGCCAAAGGAGCCCTTGGGCCACAGGCATGGCAGATGCTGCCCTATTGTGTCCAGACCCACTTCCTGGCCTGTGTGCCCACCCGCCCTCTGTTGCGAGTGTCGTCTGCCCTTGGCCACGGCCATGAGGGGCTGTGGGGGGTGCTGAGCAGTTACTCTCTCCACCTCCCACCCTAATGGTGCCCGTAGCCAACCGCTGACCCTCTGACCAACACGGGGTTTAACAACCCAGCCTCCTTGCCCCTGAGCAGGACAAACTGTGGTGAAATTCACACTGTGGAGCTCCCATGGTTTCAGGCTGGGCTGGGTGTGCCCTGGACCTGAATTTTTGCCCAACCTCTTCCTATTCCCACCCGTCTGGGTTTCTCCTGGGAGTCCTCCTTCTATGAATCTCCTGCACAAGGGCCCTGATTCAGGCTCAGCTGGTGGGGACCCTCACCGAAAGCAGCAGGCGAAGACCCTTCACTGAGATGCCCTGTGTGACTGCACTGAAGCAAAAGGCACAGGGGCTGTGCACCACCACCAGGGAAGCTGACACCCCCTGGGAAACCAGTGGCATCACAGGGGCTGTGCACCACCACCAGGGAAGCTGACACCCCCTGGGAAACCAGTGGCATCACAGGGGCTGTGCACCACCACCAGGGAAGCTGACACCCCCTGGGAAACCAGTGGCATCACAGGGGCTGTGCACCACCACCAGGGAAGCTGACACCCCCTGGGAAATCAGTGGCATCTGCACCAGGCTTTTCAGTTGCAGCGCAAAAGCAGCCTCAGACCACAGCTGAATGGATGGTGTGGCTGTGTGCCAATAAAACTTTATTGACAATAACAGGCACCTGGCCATAGTTTTCAAAGCCCCATTCCAAGTAATATGTCCCTTTAGAAGTGGGATTGTGCTTTGTTATTGAAGTATCCCAGATATAGTCGGCCTTTCATATATGTGGGCTCTGCATCCGTGGATTCAACCATGGATCAAAAATATTGGGGGAAAAACAATAAAAAATAACAATACAACAATAAAAAACAATATATATAAGGAAGCCAATAAAATATAAGAACGGTTTATATGGTATTTCCATTGTTGTGAGGTATTATAAGTAATCTAGAGAATCTAGAGATGATTTAGAGTACATGGGAGGATGTGAGTAGGTTCCCTGCAAATCCTATGCCATTCTATATCAGGGACTTGAGCATCCCAGGATTTTGGTATCTACGGGGGGTTGGGGGTGTCTTGGAACCAATCCCCTATTGGTGCCAAGGGAAGATTGTACTCTTATCACAAAATCAAATGCATATTATGTGTCAGGTCACCACTGTCACCTGCTCAGCTACCTCAAGCTACTTCCCCAGTTCTCCAGCCCAAGGCTCATTCAAACCCCTGCCATTTAGAGGCTCACTGCTTTGAGAGGATAAACTGCAGAGCACACAGGACCTGAGAGGTGAGAAGTGTCCCTGCTAATACACTAGAGAAAGATTTCAGGGCAGGGCATGACCACAGAACCCTGTATCCAAGGACCATCTGGTCTGGGGCTTGCCTTCAAGCATATGTCATCTGTCCCATGTAACATATCAGTCCCATGTAAAATGCCTGGCCCGTTGTATGTCAGTCCCATCCGAGGTGTCAGTCCCCTGTGAGACATCAGTCCCATATAGGTGTCATGGGGTGGGACACTTGATCCTGCATCTCAGTGTCGTGCCGTTCCTGTCATGGTGGGGATGTGACATTCGAACTTCTGAGAAATGAATCCTAAAGTTGAAGATTGTTTTGAGACCGAGAACTTTTAGCAAGAAAGTCCACCTTGTTTCTGAATAATTTCCCTGGAAGAAAAAGGGAGGGAAGTGAGGCAGAGCCCCGCTTCCCAGCTCCAATCCCTTCCTGGGATCAGAGGGTCCAGGTTGCGCATGGCTACCATGGGCTCTCAGGCCATCTGCCCGCTATGGGCTGCACTCTGGGTTATGTTTCAGGCTCCCAGTGTGGGTGGACAGAGACACACTGCCGTTGTTTTCTTTGAAAGTCACTTTACCCAACGACAAGCCGTCAAGGGCGACGGCACGGCTCTACCTCCCCCCTACTCCTCCCGCACCTGCTAACCTCACTGGGCACTTTCAGTCTGAGGGTGGAGAGGCAGGAGGGAACGTGCTTTCTGTGGCTTGTCTGATGATTCAGACCTCAGAGGAAGATGAGGTGAAGGTGGGTCTGAGTCAGGTCTGAGAGGCGGGCAGAGCCTGCCTTGGAGGATGAACACTCCGTTCAGGGGAGCTGGGCCCAGCCGGTTGCAGGCAAGGTGTGTCTTCCTGCTGTCTCAAGCTGAGCACCCCTGAGAGAAATGGGCCCTGCTGAGCTAACATCAAGTCATCAGCAGGGCTGGTTCCTCAGGAGGCTCTAGGGGAAAGTAGGTTTTCTGGCTTTTCCAACTTCCAGAGGTGCCCACATTCCTTGGCTGGTGGCTCCCTCCCCCATCTTCAAAGCCAACAGAGCAGCACCTTCACATCTCTCTCGCCTCTGCCTCTATGGTCACACCTCTTTTTACTACTGTGAGCCTCCTGCCTCGCCTTCTCCCTTATAAGAGCCCTTTGATGGCATCGAGCCCACCTGGCTAATCCAAGATAACCCCCCACCTCAGAATCGCTAACTCAATCGCATCTGCACAGTCCCTTTGCATTGCGAGGTCACATATTCGCAGGCTGCGGGGATGAGGACGTGCACATCTTTCCAGGACCATCACTCTGCCCACAAGAAGGTGTGGCAGGATAGAAAGCCCTGCGTGAGGGTCGGTGCCAGGAGGCGAATGTGAGGATCTTGTCGGGTGTGGAGTACAGACAAGCCCAGCGGGTTCAGATGGGATGATAGCATTTGCTGCAGCTGCGCAGATCTGAAACTAGAGCCCTTCCTCTCTCCTGTGTCTTGTGTCTCTGCTTTCCTTCCCTGCTGACTGTGGACGCATGCTGGGTGGGGGAGAGGCAGCTGAGGACCCAAAACCCTCTTTCTTTCCCAAGCTTCACAGGAGCCCTCCAGCCTTCCAGACCTCCCTCCCTGCTGTAGTAATCCCTAATAACCATGAGTTCACCTCCCTGTAAATGAGCATTTGCTGATTTCCTTCTGTGTATCTTCCCACAGTGGTGGAAAGCAAGTGTCCCTCTGAGTGGTCACTGTATTATCTCTCTGATTGCCTCAGACCCCCGCATTTACTCCTCCTTTTCTACCTATGGGTCTTGAGTTAAAGCCACATCTGCGTGACTCTCAAGTCTCAGGGGCATTTTGCCCCAGGCATGCACACCATCCTGTAGAACATGTGCAACTGCACAGAGCTGGACAGAATGTGACCACTGCTCCTGAACTGAGCGATGCCACGGGGAAGACGGTGCAGTGCGAGGTAGGACCACACTTGCCACCTGGGCCAAGTGGGAGCGACTCTTTCTATCCAGAGAACTTAAACGCTCCTTCCACGGCCATAGAAAACAGAAGGCTGAGAGCACCAGAGACAGTGCAGCTGCCAAAACAAAGTCCCAGTGGGCTCAGCTTGGAGGATGAAGACCTGCAGGGCTGCTGGATCAGGCAACCAACATTTTGTAAGATGACATTGAAAATAAACAGTGATTTCATGAAAACCACTGAAGGAAGACTCTGGTGGGTGTGTAGGGAAAGCATTAAGAACAAACGCTCAACCAAAAGCTGAAAATGTATTTATTGCACCAAAGGCCTTTCAAAACCCTTCCAGATGACCCAGCCTTGGTGCTTTCTTCAAAAAGGTGGAAGAGGGACCCTGCCCCTGCCCCTGTGAGGAGAACGGGACCCTTAAACAATCCTGCACAAAACGTGGCTGGTTTAATTTAGTAAATGCTATAACTTGTATCTGCCTCAATGAATCACACACACACGCACACACACACACACACACACTGGGGATGTTTGCTGTATACAAAGGAATGCTCTGATAGATGATGAGACTGATAAAGCCTTGTCTTCATCCATTCAGGTTGCTATAACAAAATACCATGGCCTGGGCAGCTTACAAACCACAGACATTTGTCTCTCATAGTTCTGGAGGCTGGGAAGTGCAAGATCAAGGTGCCAGCAGATTTGGGGTTTGGTGAGGACCTGCTTCCTGGTTCACAGATGGTGTCTTCTTCTTGTGTCCTCATATAGTGGAAGGGGCGAGGGAGCTCTCTGGGGCCTCTTTTAGAAAAGCACTAAAGCCATTCATGAGGGCTCTGCCCCCATGACTTCATCACCTCCCAATGGGCCACCTTCTAACACCTTCAACTTGGAGGTTAGGATCTCAACAGATGAATTTTAGGGGAACACATTCAGACTATAGCAAGCCTCAGTTGAACTTTCTGAATCAAATTTAGTTGAAGAGTGTCTGTGGGGCTTCCTTTGGGAGAAGGAGCAAAGGGAGCTTCCTCCTTCTTTTGGGAGATCCCTCTGCATGTCTCCGCGGGGCCATTCCTGTCCACCTGGGGAGGCTGCGTCATCTTCATGGTATTTTGGAGAGTCATTACAAGTTCAAAGGGCAAAGCAAAGTATCCAGGCTTATTGACTGATTGATGTATAGATGGCTAAGGATGGCCTTTTCATCTGATGGCTCATCTCTATGGTTCTGTGTCAGAGAAGATGAAAAATAGGACTTTCCCAAGCACTCTGGCCGGGCTGTGCTATGGAGCTTACCCTGCCACCATTCCTTCTAGTTACGGACTGAATGTTTGTGTTGCCTCAAAATTCATACATCCAACCTAATCACCAAGGTGATGGTGTAGGAGGTGGGGCCTTTGGGAGGCAATTAGGTCCTCAGGGTGTAGCCTCACGAATAAGACCAGTGCTCTTACAAAGGGACCTCAGGGGGCTGCCTCCCCTTCTGCAGGCACAGCAAAAAGGCACTGTCTGTGAACCAGGATGCGGGCCTTCCTCAGACACGAAATATGCCAGCGCCTTGATTTTGGACTTGCAGGCTCCAGAACTGTGAGAAATGAGTGTCTGCTGTCTCGACTGCCCAGTCTACAGTAACTTATTAGAGTAGCCAGACTGATGGGGACACTTCACCTTAGATGCAGAGGCTGAAGAGGCAGTGGTTTTAGCAGATGCAGTTCCCTGGGGGGTCACAAGGACCCTCAGTGGATTGCTGGTTCCTAACCTTACCCCCTAGCACCTGTTGAGCCTCATCCCTGGAAATCAGCCTGAGGCCACGTTTCTGGGCTGCTCCCTCAGTGGGGTGCAGTCCCAGGGCAATGACAGGGAGGGGTGAGGGCTGGGGGAGGAGAGACAGCAGAGCGGGTGCCAGGGTTCCATGACCCAGCAGCTCCAGTCTTGGGAGCTGTAATTCCAGCACTTTGGGAGGCTGAGGCGATGAATCACTTGAGGTCAGGAGTTTGAGACCAGCCTGGGCAACTTGGCGAAACCCCGTCTCTGCTAAAAATACAAAAAATTAGCTGGGCATGGTGGCTCACACCTGAATTCCCAGCAACTCAGGAGGCTGAGGTGGAAGAATCACCTGAGCCCGGGAGGTCAAGGCTGCAGTGAGCTGAGGTCGCACCACTGCACTCCCACCTGGGCAACCCAACTGGACTGAGATCGTCTCCAAAACGAAAAAAGAAAAGAAAAAGAAACAAGGTTTCATTGACTCGGAGTTCTGCAGGCTGTACAGGAAGCAGGCTGTACAGCTCTTCATGAGGTCTAATGAATGACTCCCTCTCAGGCCAGCCCAGCCTGGGGGTGGAGGGAGAAGGATTTATCAGCTGCTGGGCTTGCGCCGGTCCAGGGTTTACCCCATGGAGCATCTTCTGCATGGTTGGTGCCTCTGTCTTGCAAGCTTAGTGGTGGCCTTGCTGGGGGGTGAGGGATGAGTGGATTGGGTGAGGCCCGCCTGTGCTGCCCAGGTGAGCCTATGCAGCTTGGCTCCCTGGGAATTGGCGATGGGTTCTGGGGACTGATGTGGCTAAGGACCCAGGGGGCACACAAGGGGGTCTGTGCTGGCCTCTGCACAGGACAGGCGGCTGGTTCACTCTCACTACACGCCTCTGTAAATGAGAAAACAGAAGGTCCACTCCTTGGGCCACACAAGGAATGAGCAGTGGATGTGGAAGCTGAGGCTGCCAGAGTGGCCCCAGGGTCAACGAAGAGGGCGTCGACTGGCAGGGTCCGAGGGGCTCTGATACGGTTTGATCTGTGTCCCCACAAACTCTCATGCTGAACTGCAATTCCCAGTGCTGCAGGTGGGGCCTGGTGGGAGGCGATTGGATCACAGAACTGGATCCTTCATGAATGGTTTAGTCACATGCCCTTGGTGCTGTTCTCTTGATCGTGAGAGACTTCTCACAAGATCCAGTTATTGAAAAGTGTATAACGCCTGCCCCGTGTCCCTCTTGTTGCTGCTCACGCCATGAGATGTATCTGTTCCCCTTTGCCTTCCGCCATGAGGACAAGCTCCTGGAAGCCCCTGCAGATGCCAGCATCATGCCATCCTGCTTCCTGTACAGCCTGCAGAACTCCGAGTCAATGAAACCTCGTTTCTTTTTCTTTTCTTTTTTCGTTTTGGAGACGATCTCAGTCCAGTTGGGTTGCCCAGGCGGGAGTGCAGTGGTGCAACCTCAGCTCACTGCAGCCTTGACCTCCTGGGCTCAGGTGATTCTTCCACCTCAGCCTCCTGAGTTGCTGGGAATTCAGGTGTGAGCCACCATGCCCAGCTAATTTTTTGTATTTTTAGCAGAGACAGGATTTCGCCAAGTTGCCCAGGCTGGTCTCAAACTCCTGACCTCAAGTGATTCATCGCCTCAGCCTCCCAAAGTGCTGGGATTACAGGCATGAGCCACTATGCCCAGCCAAACCTCTTTTCTTTATGACATACCCAGTCTCAGGTATTTCTTTATAGCAATGCGAGAATGGACTAATACAGGATCTTCCTGGCTGAGTATGACACTTTTCCAGCCGTGCATGTCAGATAGAGACCTGGGCCACTCTGACTCTAGAGTTTCACACACATTTAATAAGTTCCAAATCCCAGTAACCCACATCCTCTCTCACCGTTTCCTGCCCCGCCCCCATGGCAGGTGGGGAGGCCTTTGGCTTTCCATCTCTCCCTGGGTCCTCTCCTGCCTCTGGGAGCACTTGCCACTGGGTTAGCAGCTGACGGTGAGTGACAGTCTGAGAAACAGGCCTAACTTGGTTGAACAGAGGGAGGGCTTCATGTGGCCGGTGTCCCTGGAACAAGGAGCAAGGCTTGAAGTTGCCCGTCTCCTAGGGGCGACCGCTTCCATTTATCCACCTCTGGGTGCTGTGCAATTGGGATGACGCACCCCGGGCCCCTCTGCACCTCCAGGGTATAAATCTCCCAGCCTTTCTCTTTCTTGTCCTCACCTTCCTTCCTGAGGTTTAGGCGCACATATGGCAAGCTCCTAATAGGCAGAGGACAACAGCAGCGAGAAAACAGCAGCAACAGAGGCAGGGCAGGCTATTCAGCAACTGCAAAATAAAGCAAACCGACCCAAAAAACGTGATGAGTCTGTCCCAGCTCTGTGGATTTTGAGCAGCTGTGGAGAGAGAGAGATGGATCTGTCTCTGCAATTAGTCCTGATGCCAGGTCTGCCTGCTGGGGAGACAGATCTTGGAAGAAGCTAGGAGGGAAAGTCTTAACCACCTGCCTGGCTGAGAAACAGGCATTGAGCATTTGCCTGCCCAGCGCTGGGCTGAAGTCCTCAACAAACAGACCCCATGAGTCCATAGAAGCCATCCAGGGATCCACTCACCCAGTGTGCACTGGGCTGAGATGAAAGTGGGGATCGATGAGCTCGGGAAGGATTATAAAAATATTAAACATAAAATAGCAGGGGCAACGTGCCCTTCAGCGGTTGCACTTAGCAGAATAAAGATTCTTATTAAAAAGGAAGAGTAATGAGTGTGGCTTTGTCAGAGGTTGAAGCCCACAGCTACAAAATTTCAGTAGTGTGGATTGGCCCAGGACTACAAGGACAGCTTTGATTAATAGTTTAGGAAGCCTGGAAACAAATCCAAGTATCCTTAATAAGTTACTGTATTATTAAGGTGATATTTCAAATCAGTGGCAAGAGGATTGATTATTCAATAAGTGGTACTGTGAGATCTACCTAAACCTCTGGGGGGAAAAATGAAGTCAGAGACTCTACTTTGCATCTTATACCTCATATATTCCAGGTGGGCCAATGCTCAAAGTCTGAATATTTAATATTCACATAATCTTGGCAGTGCAGAAAAACTTCCTAAGGGTTCAACATATGCAAAACCCGTGAAACAGAAAATTAACAGATCAGACCACTTAAAGGTCTTCTTTACGTCCAAAATACCAAAGCAGGTGGGCTCTCAGGAAGCAGCCTCTGAGAGGGAGATGAACAGGCACAGCCTGTGCTTGGGAGAGCAGTTAGGATCCACACCCGACAGAGAGGAGAGGGAGGAGCAGGGGTGGGCAGAGGAACAAGGAGGACCCCCATGGGGTCTCAACCCCAGCCCTAGCTGAGCCCACAAAGCCATCTGGTGCAGGTGGCCTTTCAGAGGAGCCCTGGATTGGGGCAGGGAGTGTTTTTTGGTTTGTTTGCTTGTTTTTTTCACAGGGTCTTGCTCTGTCCCCTGGGCTGGAGAGCACGATCATGACTCACTGCAGCCTCGACTTCCTGGGCTCAAGCCAACCTCCTGCCTCAGCCTTCCAAGTAGTTGGGACTACAGGTGGGTGCCACCATGCTGGGCTATTTTTAAATTTTTGTTTTTGTAGAGATGGAGCCTTGCTGTCTACCCAGGCAAGAGAGCAGGTTTTATATCCCACCATGCACTAGTGATGGGATAAGCCAGGCAGGGTGCAGGAACTTGTAGAAGTGAAACTCCTCTTTCCAGCTAGCCAAGGCCATTCCTGGCCCAGTGGCGTCAGCTGAGGACTCTGTCCAGTGGTCCTTCAGCCAGGAGGGGTCTGGGCTGCCTCTGAGTATGTGCCACTAACACGGTAATCCACACTAGAAGACGGTGGGAAAGCTGGGACAACTTTTTCAAAAAGCATCAGATTGAAAAATAAACCTTTAATATAGGAAGCTATTACAACATCTAACAAATGGCTAAGCGAAACTATGAACATTCCAGTAGAAAGTTGGGCAACAGATGTGAACAGGTGATTCATTCGAGAAACCACACAAACGTACACTAAAGAGATGGGGGCAACGCTCAGCCCCACACCCCAGGAGAGGAGCTGCTGTTTGTCGTTTGTCAAGTTAGCAAAGATTGCTTCAAATGGCAGATGGTGATGATTAGGAATTCAATAGGTTTTCATGCTCTACGGGTGGGTTGTAGGATTGCACAGCTTTTCAAGAAGACAGTTTGCTCAAATGCACAGAATGCCTTTAAGTATCTGCATAGAGGTGGACTCAGCTCGTTGATTGAGAAGCATCTTTCCCCACTGCATTGATGGCTTATGTGTGTGTCTGTTACTGGGCCCAGCTCCACACCATGGGTCAGTTTGTCTATCTTGTGCCAATATCACGCTCATCTAGTTATTAAAACTTTGTAATAAGTCTTGATATTTTACATCATTGTTCTTATTTTTCCAAGACTGACTTAGGGAACCTGAGTTTTTGAATCAGCCTGTCAATTTCTGCAAAAATAATATGCTGGGATTTTGATTGGGGCTGCCCTGAATTTAAAGATTAATCCAGAGAGAACTGTCCTCTACAAAGCAAAACTTTCAGTTTATTGAGACGTTAACAACTATCCCTCAATAATATTTTGTAGATATCTGGGAGCAGGTTCCATACATCTTTTGTTAAATCTATTTTTATTTATAACTTCTTTCATTTCTCTCAATGAGGTTTTGTAGATTTTTGTGTAGAGGTTTTTGTACATACTTTGTTAGATTTATTCTTAGACATTTGATGTTTTTTTTTTCCTTCAACTTTCATTTTAAGTTCCAGGGTACATGTGCAGGATGTGCAGGTTTGTTACACAGGTAAACGTGTGCCATGGTGGTTTGTTGCACAGATCAACCCATCACCTAGGTATTAAGCCAGCATGCATTAGGTATTTATCCTGATGCTCTCCCTCCCCCCACCTCCCCAACAGGCCCCAGTGTGTGTTGTTCCCCCAATGTGTCTGTGTTCTGATCGTTCAGCTCCCACTTATAAGTGAGAACATGTGGTGTTTGGTTTTCTGTTCCTGCATTAGTTTGCTGAGGATAATGGCTTCCAGCTCCATCCATGTTCCTGCAAAGAACATAACCTCATTCCTTTTTATGGCTGCATAGTATTCCATGGTGTATATTTACCACATTTTCTTTTGCTATCAATGATAGCTTTCAATGCTGTCATTGATAAGCATTTGGGTTGGGTCCATCCCTTTGCTATTGTGACCAGTGCTGCAATGAACATACACATGCAGGTATCTTTATAATAGAATGATTTATATTCCTTTGGGTATATACCCAGTAATGGAATTGCTGGGTCAAATGGTATTTCTGCTTCTAGATCCTTGAGAGATTGCCATACTGCCTTCCATAGTGGTTTAACTAATTTACACTTCCACCAACACTGTAAAAGTGTTTCTTTTCCCCTGCAACCTCGCCAGCATCTGTTGTGAAATTTGATGTTTTCAATGCTATCATAAATACTGTTGTGTGTAAATCTCTTTTTCTGTTTGTGTATGACTCACATAGAAATACAATTAATTTTTGCATACTGACTTTATAGCTAGCAAATTTACCAAATTCACTTATTAATTGTAAGTCTTTACATTCTTTTAGATTTATAATTATGTTTTTCATTTTCATAAGCCCAAATTATTAGATATTTTTCTTAATGATTTTTGGCTTTGATATTAGATTGAGAAAACCTTTTCCTACTCCAAGGTTATAAAAAATGTTTCTCTTTTTTCTAATGATGCTTTTAATGGCTTTATGGTTTAATATATAAAACCTACTCTCTTTCTCATTTTTTTTTTTTGCACTGTTAATGTGTTTTACTTTTTCTGCAGAATTCTAGAATTATTTTGACAAAGTAAGAAAAATTCCCCTTGGAATTTTCGTTAGTATTTCAGTAGCTCTTATTTAAGAATTATTGTCAGTTTTATAACATTCACTTTTACCATTCATGTATGTTTGCATAAGATGTTTGCATTTATTCAGGTCTTCAGTTCACTTATCTTAACATATTGTGGTTTTGAGATAAGTGAGACGGTTAGATAAAGCAAGAATAGCGAAATGTGGATACATATTGATGCTGGGCGACGGGCTCAAGGGAGTCATTTTCCATCTTCTTTACTCTTGTATACATTTGAAAATCTCCAATACAAAAATGGGGAAAAATCTGTCTACCTACTGACCTAGTCATTTGCTTCATACAGATTCTGAATCTTTCTTATAAAGGCCATTCTTTTAATTTATTCCAACCACGAATAAGCTCGTTCTCAGTACACACTTGAAATTGTTGCCCTGTCTTTATAAACCATAAAGCAGTGAAGCAAAGGTTGACTCTAAACCTCTGTTCATTGATTCGTGTAAATGGAACACAAAAATTCCTGAGTGCTTTTCAATAATTCATGGTTTGATGAACATGGAAATTCATTTCAACATGTCTTGAGGAGACGGCTACACTCAAATGGACCACCCTCTCCTGGGAACTTAGAGGTGCAGCTCTGTCGTCCCAGGACTGAGGCAGCAGGCGGGAAGACACGACGGCCTTCCCTGGCCATCATCTCCCCTTCTCCCAGATGCCACGTGATTTAGCATTTTAGAAATGCCGTTTGCCATGAGAGCATCTGGAGAACGACACACAGGTAACACTGATGAGCTGCCCGCCCTGAAAATAGAGAGAGGTACTTCAGACTTTAGGCCAATCCCAGCCTCCCTGCTCCTTGGTCAATTAAGCATGAGGTAATAAAAATACCACTTAATAAAAATCGCATTAGGTGCTCTGAGGTTGAGAGAATTTCCAGAATTGGAGTTTGTTTGGCTCACAGGGCCCTGACCCTGCTTTCTCAGGGTGGACCTTCTCCTCGCGGCCCACGGCAAGGATCCCTTTCCCCATCATGGTGGCCCCTGGAGATATGCTGACTTTCCTGAATTCCAGTCTGTGGGACGACTCACAGCTGTCTCTTGATTCTCCCACAACACCTGGTTTTGGCGTGGGTGGGACAGGGCTGAGAGGATGATTTGCACTAGGTTAGGGGACACACACACTCATCCACGTGCATGTGTGCACACCCAGGGATCCCCCTCCATGCCGACTCTCTTCAGTCCCCGCCTCCTGGATCCCACCCACGCCAGCTGACTCACGATGCCCGGTAGACTCTCCCGGTGCAGCGGCCTCACACCCTGCCACCCTGGCCAGCCAGCCTGTGCTTCTCTTCCTGATCCTGTTCATGATCACACCCCAGTACCATGAAGGGGGACCCCCCGGATATGCCCAACTCCATGCCTGTGCCCAAGAGGCTTGGCTTCCAATCTCCTGCAATTGCAGGTTTGTAACACAAACACATGCCATGTTCGCGAGCTCCTGGAGTCAGCCCTTTTCACTTACGTTGGCAAGGCCCCTTTGCAGGCTGTATATCTGTTTCTTGCTTCTGTCCATTTTCTTAATCTGATACCTTTAGGAGCAATGAAAAATCAAGTCAGTTCCTTTGTTTCACAGATGAGAAAGTCCAGGGTGCTGCTCCTTGCCCCAAACCACACAGAGGAAACTTCAGAACAAATGAAAATGAGCTTGGAGGTATGATTATCATCTCATATCCCCGCTAAATTCGGGGCAACCTGAATGGGTGCCCTAGTTTCTGAAGCTGCTCACATTGGTCACCTCCGGCGACTCCCACTGCCCTCCTAGGCAGGGGAGGTGGCTCAAGGAGTGCTGGTGATGACGCAGGGGAGCTGTTGGGGCATGGAGGACTCCGGCGAAGAGCTGCACCCCTCTGCACTTCATCCAGGGCTGCGTTCCCACCCCGCTGCCCCTCCGGTCTCCTAAAGCTGTTGGTCCTCACTCGGTGGGAGAATGGGAGGCCGGCTCTGCCTCGGCTGACTGATCTCTGGCCCATGGGGAAGGTGCCCATGCAGCTGGCCCGGCTCCTGTGGCCACTGCCCGCCTTCTCGGACTAGGGCTAGAAACTGCTCCTTGAAGAGGGGAAGCCCAGCAACGCCATGTCGGGAAGGGACAGCCTCTGCACTGCAGCTGCCCACACTTCTGGCCATGAGTAGTTCCAAGCAAGTGGCCACAGAGGTGCTTGGGCAGAGAAAGGAAGAAGCGGCACTGCACAGCAGATGGGCAGGAGGGTGAGGCGGGGTGGGGGGCTGGCGCCGGGTGAGCCTTGAGAAAGGTGGGGAAGGTCCATGGCAGGGGGCTGGGGTCACAGCAGGACAGTGGCCTGGTCAGCCAGGGAGAGGCCTCCAGTGACAGGGTTGGCCAAGGACA